>NC_000010.11:92112792-92415822 GCF_000001405.40 Homo sapiens | reverse complement strand
AATATATAATTTCTAGTTACATATAATAGCTCAAATAAAATAAGGGAGGCTGGGCGCAGTGGTTCATGCCTATAATCCCAGCAATTTGGGAGGCTGAAGGGGGGGGGTGGATCACCTGAGGTCAGGAGTTCAAGACCAGCCTGACCAACATAGTGAAACCCCACCTCTACTAAAAATACAAAATTAGCCAGGCGTAGTGGCAGGTGCCTGTAATCCCAGCTACTTGGGAGGCTGAGGCAGGAGACTTGCTTGAACCTGGGAGGCAGGGGTTGCAGTGAGTGGAGATCATGCCATGGCACTCCAGCCTGGGCAACAGAGTAAAACTCTGTCTCAAAAAAAAAAAAAGAAAAGTCTTAATGCAGCACTCTCAGAAGCTGGGTGAATGGATAGGACCCCCTACTGGTTCTCCCAACAAGGGCCCAAAACAAATCTGCTTTATCCACCATAATCTGGAAGAATTTGGAAAGCCTCAAGGCAAAGATAACAATTATAAACCTGAACTTTAATAACCTGGAGTGATGGTCCCAAGTCTAATCAAGATAAGAACTAACAAAAGTATCTGGGTCCATGGCCAGGTGTGGGGGCTCCCTCCTGTAATCCCAGCACTTTGGGAGGCCAAGGCGGGTGGATCACTTGAGGTCAGGAGTTCGAGACCATCCTGACCAACATGGAGAAACCCCATCTCTACTAAAAATACAAAATTAGCCGGGTGTGGTGGCACATGCACCTGTAATCCCAGTTACTCGAGAGGCTGAGGCAAGAGAATCTCTTGAACCTGGCAGGCGGAGGTTGCGGTGAGCCGAGATCATACCACTGCACTCCAACCTGGGCAACAAAAGCGAAACTCCATCTCAAAAAAAAAAAAGAAAAATTATTTGGGTATGGTGGCAGGCAGCTGTAGTCCCAGCTACTCAACCTGTAGTCCCAGCTACTTGGGAGGCTGAGGCAGGAGAATCACTTGAACCCAGAGGCAGAGGTTGCAGTGAGCCAAGATCGCCCCACTGCACTCCAGCCTGGGTGACAGCGAGGCTCCTTCTAAAAAAAACACACACACACATACATACAATCTGGGTCTCTTGGCTTGACTCCCTGCTACAGTCCCAAGGCCATATGCACATGATGGGTAAAATGGTCAGGGGGTGGCATTTCTGGGACTCCTTGACATGTAAGCACTCATGCACTGTGATTCTGAAACCTATTGGTAAAGTCCTAATCAGGGCTATAGTTAAATTGGGAGGACGTAGGAATATAGGGTTGATTAAAGTGAAAGTTTGAATGATTAGTAATATGTTTGAACTGGCTTTATGGGAAGTGGTTGTGTCTCACTTACTTGAAGTTTTAACGGGAATGGATATTATATCTGACTGGAGAACACTTCCCCCACCTAGTATTGTAAAACAAGGCATGGAAACCTACCATTGTGCCCATACTGCTTGGACATCCAAATGAGAACCAATAAGATTGCATGAGCCCACAGAGCCCACACGTGTTGTTACTTTCAAGCAGTACAGAGTAGAAGCAGATGTGATGGTATGGACAAATTATCTGTACAATAGCCGTGGATGAAATACAGACTGAGGTTTATGGCAAAAGCCTATGAGCATCAGCCGGTAATGACTGCTGGGTTTTGGACAAGAACATTTCCATAAAGACTAGCTAGTTATTGGGCACTAATATTTTATGTCCTTTCATCACAGGAGTAGTCAGACTACTACTACTTCAGACTACTCCTCCGACTGAAGGATATCAAGTAATACTGAAACCTAAAACACCCATGATGTATTGGGTGGCATTGGCAAAATGCTCTAATGGGGAAGACAGTGCTCAGAAGTGTGCCATAATAAAATGGAAATGGTTTTACAGGAACCTGTTACCAGGGATGTGCAAAAAGTATTCACAAGCAGGGAGCCTCTTTTTCCCTAGGGCTGACCTTAAGACCACCTGAAGACCCTTTAGGCCCTATTGTCACTTGGGTGGTACCCTAATAATAGCTGTTGATTGACCAAAAAGAACTATCCGGATGTAGCTCTTGTATGGATGGCAGTTCTAAGGCAAATGGACCGCATCCTGTTTGGAAGGTTGCCACGCTGAAAAAAGTGGAAAGAACTCAGCTCAGTTGGCTGAACTGTATGCTGTCTGCCCCATGTTCAGGTTTTTACTGACTCAGGAGAGGTGCCAATACCCTGGTCATATGGTCAGTCAGAGTGATATAGGAGTTAAAAAGAAATTACTTAGGCAGATAGTGAGGGTACAGAAGTCCTCGATAAGGTTTTCCTTTTATGAAAAGCAGCCCCCAAATATTTTCTTTTCTAACAAAGAGCAGCCGGTAAAATCGAGCTGCAGACATAAAAAAGCAAGCTAGAATCTTGCACAGGTGAATGCCAGCAATTGCGCCAATAGGAAAAAAATGCTACCTGGGACTAGGCGTTATCAAAATGGTGGCTCCATCTTCTCTTTGCCAGCTGCCTGTACAGTAAGGAGCAGACGAGATGGCGCTGGCCAAGTGGAAAGAGCATAATCTTATTATGCAAATGGTTGCATAATAAGATTAGCGTGGGGCAACCATCCTTCCCCACGCACTATGTAAATGTAGACGTCACACCTGATCGAACCAATCTGTGAGCCCTACCTAAGTCAGACACTGCCTCCTCAAGCCTGCCTATAAAATCTGCTGCGGTTGGCTACCTTTCCCTATTTTTAGACGTCTCTCTCTCACAAGAGAGCTGGTCTCCTCTCTCCTCTCTTTTGTCTATTAAGCTTTTCCCTCCTTAATCCACTCCAATATGTGTGTTTCCTCCTCATTAATCTTCTCGGCACCAGATGACGACCCTAGGGCATTTACCCCAGACAATGATCCTGCTTCAAGAAGGCAATGGAAAACTGGTCTATTAAAGGGATGCTAGGCCGGTCACGGTGGCTCAGGCCTGTAATCCCAGCACTTTGGGAGGCTGAGGCAGGCAGATCACCTGAGGTCCGAAGTTCAAGACCAGCCTGACCAACATGGAGAAACCCGTCTCTACTAAAAATACAAAATTAGTCGGGCGTGGTGGCGCATGCCTGTAATCCCAGCTACTCGGGAGGCTGAGGCAGGAGAATCGGTTGAACCCAGGAGGTGGAAGTTGTGGTGAGCCGAGATCGTGCCACACTGCAGCCTGGGCAACAAGAGTGAAACTCCATCTCAAAAAAAAAAAAAAAAAAAGATGCTATAAGGGCACAGCCCTGTGGAAGTTACTATAAAAATCGAAGGGGTGCATTAAAGTAGGACATGCCAATGTCCATCAGAAGAACCCCCTTTCAGAATTGGAAGTTGCTCAGAGATGGCGAATGGATATCCTGGTGTGTTCACTTGAAATGCCCACCTTGATCCATGAAATGAGTGGATATGTGGGTACTGCAGCAATGCAGAGATGGGCTGAATCTAGACATGTTCTTTCACCCTCTGAAGTGCAAAATGCCAACAAAAGGCAGAGCCTGCAGATTGCTATGGGGGCAGATTCCCCGGTGGAGAGGCATTGCACATAGCTGGCAAGTTGGGAAGATGCCAGTATTCCCTGCAGGTTACGTATGGAGCCTGATGGAAATAGACACTCTGGTCCAGGTTTTGCATACTTGGTGATAGATGCAAATCCCCAAAATACTATGAAGGGACCAGAACAGAATATAGTGTGCCAATTTGGACCATTGAGTCATTTCTTCAGACCAAGGAACACACTTTACAGCTCATAATGTCTGGCAATGAGCAAAGAGATATCCTTGCCGGGTGCAGTGGCTCACGCCTGTAATCCCAGCACTTTGGGAGGCCAAGGCAGGTGGATCACCTGAGGTCAAGAATTCGAGACCAGCCTGACCAATATGGAGAAAACCCATCTCTACTAAAAATACAAAATTAGCCAGGCGTCGTGGCACGTGCCTGTAATCCCAGCTACTCAGGAGGCTGAGGCAGGAGAATCACTTCAACCCAGGAGGCGGAGGTTGTGGTGAGCCGAGACTGCGCCATTGCACTCTAGCCTGGGCAACAAGAGCGAAACTCTATCTCAAAACAAAAACGAAAACACAAAGTAGGGAAATAAAAGAATAAGTTCAGGGATTCAAATTCCCAGCTCAAGCACCATGTAAGTGGCCTGAAAATTTCTTTGTGTGTTCTGAAGAAGATACTTATCTCCCGTGACCACAGGGCTGAGAGTGATTAAAATCTAACCAAGAACTTCATCCTGATACTGGCTGAGTTGAACTTCCAGCCTTGCAGCATTTCTACTGTTTTTTTTTTTGTTGTTGTTGTTTTGTTTTTTGAGACGGAGTCTTGCTCTGCCACCCAGGCTGGAGTGCAATGGCGTGATCTCAGCTCACTGCAACCTCCGCCTCTTAGGTTCAAGCGATTCTCCTGCCTCATCCTTAAGAGTAGCTGGGACTATAGGCGCGTGCCACCACACCTGGCTAATTTTTGTATTTTTCATAGAGACAGGGTTTTGCCATGTTGGCTAGGCTGGTCTCGAACTTCTGACCTCAGGTGATCCACTGCCTCAGCCTCCCACAGTGTTGGGATTACAGGTGTGAGCCACCATGCCCAGCCCGTTTCTACTGTTAAAGTGAGGACATTGATTGGGAAGGAATGGGATCCTGAAAGTTGAACAAGGACATGCAGGAAGACCCTGATGAAGGGGTCATGAAACCCCTAAATTCTGATGAGTCTTCTTTGTCATTGGAGGAGACCTCCTCATCCCCAGTTATCGATGCGACTTGTCGTTCCCCAGTAGAAGCTGCCTTTCTACCCCTATTACAGGGGATTAACCCTGCATTGCCCAAGGAAACTGTAGTGGCCTCCCCTGAGGCAGTTGTTGTGCAAGACAACACCTGAGTCTCCCATCCCCACTACCTCTCTTTACTTCTAGACCTGTAATTTCAAGTCCCAGCAAGCCCCTAAAGGTAAGATAAAAAGTGTGATTGAAGGATCACATTACCCTCCGAAGGATCACACTACCCTCTGAAAGAACTACTTGAGTTTTCCAACTTACACACACAGACATCTGGGGAATGGATAGCAAGGGTATGGCTCAACAACCATTTGATAAAGAGATCATGGGTGCCACTCATGGCCTTAATCAGCCACATCAGCAGAAGCCAGGAAGAGAGATGAGATTATACCAGCAGAAACACTACTAGCCAGGGTTAAAGGGGACAGAAAAAATGAGATGAAATGAAGGTATGCTGTTGGACTCCTTAGATCCCTACAGGACCAGACCGTAGAGCTATTTGACTGTGAATATGCATTATTCTTCAAGAATAGAGAAAAATTAGCCCAAAGGCAATTCAGAGATCACCAGGACTGCCTCCTCAGTTCAAAGAGTGAGGCTATTGCCTTGATTCCAACAGGCAGGATGGCCCTTGCCTGAAGCTTTAGGGGTGAGACCACCATGCAGAGCCATGGGGGGTGGGACCCTCACCCAGCATAGCCTCATGGGTGGAAGTGCTGCCCCAGTTGGTCTAGAAGGAAGGCATGGAGCCAAAAAGATATTCTTGGGCCTAAGATATTGTGGAGGCCAGGCGCGGTGGCTCACGCCTGTAATCCCAGCACTTTGGAGGCTGAGGTGGGTGGATCACCTGAAGTGAGGAGTTCGAGAGCAGCCTGGCCAACATGGTGAAACCCTGTCTCTACTAAAAACACACAAAAAACTAGCTGGGCGTGGTGCTGTGTGCCTGTAATCCCAGCTGTTCGGGAGGCTGAGACAGGAGAATCACTTGAACCTGGGAGGTGGAGGTTGCAGTGAGCCAAGATCACACCACTACACTCCAACCTGGGCAACAGAGCAAGATTCCGTCTCAAAAAAAAAAAAAGATCTCATGGAATTTGCCTCACTAAGTTTTGGGCTTACTTAGGAACCATCGCCTTTTCCTTCATTCCTATTTCTCCCCTTTGAAATGAGAATGTCTGTCTTGTTTTCCCACTATTGCACTTGGAAGCACATAACTTCTCTGGTTTTCCAGGTTCGCAGCTGAAGAGAAATTTTCCCTCAGTATGAATCATATGAATTTTACTGATATCTGACCTAGATGATATTTATTTATTTATGTAAATTTTCTTTCTTTCTTTTTTTTTTGAGATGGAGTCTCGCTCTGTGGCCCAGACTGAAGTGCAGTGGCGTGATCTCAGCTCACTGCAACCTCTGCCTCCCTGGTTCAAGCAATTCTGCCTCAGCCTCCCAAGTAGCTGGGACTACAGGCGTGTGCCACCACACCTGGCTAATTTTTTGTATTTTTAAGTAGAGACGGAGTTTCACCGTGTTAGCCCTCGTCTCCTGACCTCATGATCTGCCTGCCTCGGCCTCCCAAAGTGCTGGGATTATAGGCATGAGCCACCGCACCTGGCCTCTTTTTCTTTCTTTCTTTCTTTTTTTAAGAGATGGTGTCTTGCTATGTTGCCTAGTCTGGTCTCAAACTCCTGGGCTCAAGCAATCCTCCTGCCTCAGCCTCCCAAAGTGCTGGGATTATAGACGTGAGCCACCATGCACAGCCTTAGGTGATATTTAGATGTAATTTTGGATTTAGAGTTTAGAGTTGATGCTGGATTGAATTGAGACTTTTAGGGTGGTTGGGAAGAAATGAATGTATTTTGCATGTGGTAAGGACTTGAGGTTTGGGGAGCCAAGACTAATTCTATGGACTGAATTACGTCCCTTCAAAAGTCATATATTGATGCCCTAACCCCTAATGTGACTGTATCTAAAGATAAGGTCTTTAGGAGATAATTAAGATTAAATGAGGTCACAAGAATGAGGCCCTAATCCCATAGGACTGTGGCCTTAGAAGAGGAAGAGACCTGCCCCCTCCTCCCATATGAGGACACAATGAGAAGGTGACTGTCTACAAGCCAAGAAGAGAGTCCTCACCAGAACCTGACCACGCCAGCACCTCAATTTCAAACTTCCAGCCTTCAAAACTGTGAGAAAATAAATTCTGTTGTATAAGCCACCCAGGATATGGTATTTGTAATGGCAGCCCAAACCAACTAATACAGGTATAAATGGAGAGAAGGACTGCCAGCTGGCGGTAAAGGAATTAGTAAGAGAGTTATGCAATGAGGGAACTCCAATATTAAACATACTGTTACACTGGTACCTCATGAAAGGTTCAGAGCAAGAGATGATATTATCTCTTAGCTCAATTATACTGAAACTGCCATTGCAAAATTATAACCGAGACAGTGAAAGATAATCTGACCTAACCAACATCACCTTGCTTCTAACCTCCAACCTGTCCTTGTTCATTCCTAGGCATAGGCTGAACTAATTTTGGGAGGAACTTAGTTTATAGTTTAAAACAGATTTGAGCCGGGTGCGGTGGCTCATGCCTATAATCCCAGCAATTTGGAAGGCTGAGGCAGGCAGATCACTTGAAGTCAGGAGTTTGAGACCAGCCTGGCCAACATGGAGAACCCAATACAAAAATTAGACAGGTGTGGTGGCAGGTGCCTGTAATCTCAGCTACTTGAGAGGCTGAGGCGGCGGATAGCTCGGAACCAGGAGGTGAAGGTTGCAGTGAGCCAAGATCACACCACTGCACTCCAGCCTAGGTGACAGAGTGAGATACCATCTAAAAAAAAAAAAAAAAAAAAAAACAAGCAAACAAAAAACCAAAGACAATAACAGCCCTCTCCCAAAACAAAACCCCTTCTTGCCTTAGGGACTAGACTGCCTTTGCAGAACTAATCAATTAGTCACAAGATTTAAAATTGTGGTCTAGGAGTCATGCAGCTGGAGGCTATGAAATTCTGACCCTCCTCAAATTGCTCCTGGGGACAACATCACTGTTGTAAAGCCCAAGATCAGTGCTTGAGATATTCTGCAGATCCTGCACTTAATGGATCAGCTGACACCACCCAGACCCATAAACTGGCTCATCTGATCTTGTGATCCCCACCCAGGAACTGACTCAGCGCAAGAGTACAGCTTCGACTCCCTATGATTTCGTCTCTGACCTGACCAGCCAACACTCCCAACTCCCTGGCCCCCCACCCACCAAATTACCCTTAAAAACTCTGATCCCCACCAGGTGTGGTGGCTCATGCTTGTAGCTTTGGGAGGCCAAGGCGGGCAAATCACTTGAGGTCAGGAGTTTGAGACCAGCCTGGCCAACATGACAAAACCCTGTCTCCAAAATTAGCCAGGCATGGAGGCACATGTGTGTAATCCCAGTTACTCCAGAGGCTGAGGCAGGAGAATCCCTTGAACCTGGGAGGCGGGAGGCAGAGATTGCAGTGAGCAGAGATTGCACCACTGCAACTCCAGCCTGGGCGATAGAGCAAGACTTTGTCTCAAAAAAAGAAAAACAAAAACAAAAAAACCTTTGTTCCCCAAATGCCTGGGGAGACTGACTGAGTAATAATAAAACTGTAGGGGGCACAGCCAGCTCTGCATGAATTACTCTTTCTCTATTGCACTTCCCCTGTCTTGATGAATTGGCTCTGGCTAGATAGCGGGCGAGGTGAACCCCTCAGGCGGTTACACAGGTACTGTATGAGGCTCCCATCCCCTCCAGACTTTGTCTTGACCTGTTGTAAAATCCAACTGCATGTATTTACTGTCCCTCCTATAGGAAGCATCTCTGAGATCTGAGTTAGGTAGCATTTGCTTTCAGCAAGAGAGCAAGGAGGGGGCAAAACCCAAACTTACACCTAGCTCCTTCTCTCCTCCATATCTAAGTGCCCACAGCCTTCACTGGTGAGGAGGCCTGCCTTCCCCAGCACAGCTCTGTGCACCAAGCTACCCTGTCATTTGGCAAGAGCAGATCAGGAAGTGCTGACCTCTTGGCTCAGTCTCCTGTGAGCCATTCCTGGGCTTGAATGAGATCTCTAGTTTAGAGAGGCAGCACAGAGGAACCTCCAGGTAATAATAAGAACCTGATACCGGCCAGGTGCGGTGGCTCACGCCTGTAATCCCAGCACTTTGGGAGGTTGAGGCGGGGGATCACGAGGTCAGGAGTTCAAGACCAGCCTGGCCAAAATGGTGAACCCCCGTCTCTACTAAATATACAAAAATTAGCCAGGTGTGGTGGCAGTTGCCTGTAATCCCAGCTACTCGGGAGGCTGAGGCAGGAGAATCACTTGAACCCGGGAGGCAGAGGTTGCAATGAGCTGATATTATGCCACTGCACTCCAGCCTAGGTGACAGAGTGAGACTCCGTCTTAAAAAAAAAAAAAAAAGAACCAGATACCAAAGAAAACACAGGACACCTGGCATCTGGTCCAGCCTCACTAACTGGCCATGTGAACCTGGATGAACCATTTGGGCTCAGTTTGCCTGTCTGTGAAATGAGGAAGGTTTTTTATTTTTTGTAGAGAAAGGGTTTCATTATGTTGCCTAGGCTGGTCTTGAACTCCTGGGCTCAAGTGATGTCTTGCCTCAGCCTCCCAAAGAGATGGGATTACAGATATGAGCCACCGTGCCTGGCCTAAGCCACTGAATTTTGAGGTGATTTATTATATTGCAATAACTAACTGAAACATGAGGAGAACCTGGTCACAAAATCCATCACATCCTTAGAGAAGTTAGAAAAAACATCTAAAATTCTTAGTTCTGGGCCAGGTGAGGTGGCTTATGCCTGTAATCCCAGCACTTTGGGAGGCTGAGGCAGGTTGATCACAAGTTAAGGAGTTTGAGACAAGCCTGGCCAACATGGTGAAACCCCGTCTCTACTAAAAATACAAAAATTAGCCGGGCGTGGTGGCGCACACCTGTAATCCCAGCTACTCAGGAGGCTGAGGCAGGAGAATTGCTTGAACCTGGGAAGCGGAGGTTGCAGTGAGCTGAGATCATGCCACTGCACTCCAGCCTGGGTGACAGAGCAAGACTCCGTCTTGAAAAAATAAAATTAAAAAAGTTCTTAGTACCTCTGGTTTCTTCTCTGGGTTCTTAATATTCTTCTTCCCTGTATTCCGGACACCATCTCTCCCCCAGCTCCAAGGTTACTGCGCCCCTGCCAGCCTTGAGATGAAGGTTCTGGGCTGTCTGTGCTCTGTGGCTCAAGCTGTGTTCTTCCCGATGCTGCTGTTGCTCTCCTCTCACCTGCACTTGGTGCAGGAGGAGCCAGTCCTTACCATGCAACCTTATGCCAAGGGCTTTGATTCAGCTGCTGCCTTGTAGGCTGTCATGAGGCCAGTTTCCCTTTCTCTTTCCCTTGGGGGTAGGGAGACAAGGGTGGCCCCTGGGGAGGATACTGGACTCCCAGGAGCAGATGCTGAGGAGAAAGGTAAGCCCTGATCTCACCCTCAGCCTGGGAACCTGGGCCATGCTTCTACTCTCTTCCTCGGGAGGCCTGCTAGAGACCCATGCTGCTCCAAGGGCCCTGGAAGCAGCCTGCGCCTCTGGAAGCTCGGCTCCCAAATCCAACTTCCTCCTTGTAAATTTCAGTCTCTCCCAGCCCTCTTGGGTCAGGATACCACGATTGCTGCAGGATCTGCCCTGGCTGAAGGTTTAAGAACTGCCAAACTTTTCATTAGAGAGCTTTAAAGAGGAGCAGAAAGGGATTGCACATTTTAGTAGGATCACTGTGGCTGCTGAGTGAAAAAGAGACTGCGAGGCAGCCCAGGCAGAACAGGAGGCTGGGCGGGAGGTGAAAGATGAGAGGGGTTTAGACTGTGGCTGGAGCCAGACAGGAGCCTGCAGTGTGTTGACATGGGGTTGGATTCCACGTGTATATTGAGGGTAGAGGCAGCAGCATTTGCTGATGGATTAGATGTGAGGAGCAAAAGAAAAAGCTTCAAGATTTAGGGACTGAGCAACCGGAAGGGTGAAGATGAACTGAGGTGAGGAAGGATGGGAAGAACAAGCTGGGATGCACAGGGGAAGAGAAAGAGCTCGGGATGCTGGATTGGGAATCCAGGAATCAAAGCCCTAATATCATGTCTGCCGCACGCTAATAACAACACTTAACTAATCACTTACATAGGCCAGGCCCTCTTCCAAGCACTTTCCATACATCATCTCCATCTCCTCATGATGGCCCTACAAGGTAGATTTCATCATCCTCATTTCACAGAGAGGAAACAGGGAGGCTAAGGGATTTGCTGCACAGGGACACAGCAGCAGAGCTGGGCTCGTAAGCAGGCAGAAAACTGCCTCCTGTTGTACATATATCCATTTCACTTGCTGAGCTTGTTTCCTCCTCTGAAAATCAAGAGGTTGGAGTGCAGATCTCTAAGTCCTGACACCGTAAATGGGCCCAGTGTAGGCTGTGGCTCTTTCTGGCAGAGGACATTTCATGCCAACACTTAGCACGTGGGCTTTCACTGCTGCAGTGAAAAGCAGTACAAAGAAAATACCCAATGACCCACATTCTGGTTTTGAGAATATTGTGATGTATTATGAATGGATCCTTCCGAAGTGTGGTTTGAACACCTAGTTAAATAATAATTCATTCCTGGATATGAGACATTTTGAAGGATAGGCTCTAATGGAATAATATTATGAATTGTGAATTGGAACATTAAATTAAATATGAAGTTACATTCTTTTCTGTCACCTCCAGCTTTCTTCTTGGGGGAATCAATGAATTTCTATAGAAAGCAGAGCTTCCTGAGCCCCTCACATGTATTTTTGTGTGTCTGTGTTTTTTTGTGTGTCTCATTAATGAGCCAATTAGTGGGAATAGGAGGAGAAACACAATCTCGTTGCAGGATTTTTTACTCACATAGTCCTCCGTAGCCTCCACAGGTGTTACACTCTGTTCAGGCGACTACAACAAAAATACCATAGACTGGGTGGCTTACAACAACAACATTTATTTATTTATTTAGAGATGCGATCTCTGTCACTCAGGCTGGAGTGCAGTGGGGCAATCATGGCTCACTGCAGCCTCAATCTTTCTGGCTCAACCAATTCTCCTACCTCAGCCTCCAGAGTAGGTGGGACCACAAGTGCACACCACCATACCCCACTAATTGTTTTTTTAATTTCTGTACAGGTGGGGTCTTGACTTGTTGCCCAGGCTGGTCTTGAACTCCTGGGCTCAAGCAATTCTCCTGCCTCAGACTCCCAAAGTGCTGGGATTACAAGCATGAGCCTGGTAAGTCCAAGATCAAGGTGGCAGCAGATCTGGTGTCTGCAGAGTATCCGCTTTCTGGTGTGCAGGTGACCATCTTCTCATTGTACTGAAGCAGCGTCATTGTCTGGGGTAAATACCCAAGGTTTGTTGTCTCTTGCCAAGGGAATGGAGGACATGGACACACAAGGAGTGAGTTTAAGAGCGGAGGTTTATTGGCCGAGTGCGGTGGCTCATGCCTGTAATCCCAGCACTTTGGGAGGCTGAAGTGGGTGGATCACTTGAGGTCAGGAATTCAAGACCAGCCTGGCCAACATGGTGAAACCCTGTCTCTACAAATATACAAAAATTAGTCCAGCGTCATGGTGCACGCCCGTGATCCCAGCTACTCGGGAGACTGAGGCTGGAGAATTGCTTGAGCCCAAGAGGCAGAGGTTGCAGTGAGCCAAAATCGAGCCACTGCCCTCCAGCCTGGGTGACAGAGTGAGACTCCATCTCAGAAAAAAAGGAAAAAAAAAAAGAGCAGAGGTTTAATAGGCAAAAGAGAAAAGAGAATAGCTCTCTCTCTCCTGCAGAAAGAAAGGGGTGCCTGAGTGGGTCTTCTGGTTTTGTGGTGAAATGCACTGGTTTTTATAGGAAAGCTGGAGGAGGGAGTGTCTCTGATTTACACAGGGCCCAAGAGATTGGTCAGACCAGGTGTGACATTTGGATAGCAGGTAAGAAGCTGGCCATCCCACCCTAATCTTTTATTGTGCAGATGGGGTCTCTAACTGGCTGGCACCATGTTGTCTGTTCCTTACTGTACACGTGGTTGACAAAGAAAAGGGAAGATGGAGCCGCCATGTTGAACATGCCTGGCCCCCGGGTAGCCTTTTCCTATTGACGCAGCTGCCAGCATTCACCCATGCAAACTTCCAGCTTACTTATCTATGTCTGCAGCTCAATTTTACAGGCTGCTCTTTGTTAGAAAAGAAATTATTTTAGGGCTGCTTTCCATTAACAGAAAAACCTTACTGAGGACTTTCTTACCCTCACTATCTGCCTAAACAATTTCTGAACTCCTATATCAGTATCGTCACATGGTGGAGAGCAGAGAGAGGAAGCAACTTCTGTGACTCTTCTCACAAGGGCACTGATCCCATTCATGAGGGGGTAACCACCCAGTCGGTTCACCTTGCCCGCTGCCTAGACAGAGCAGATTTATCAAGACAGGGGAACTGCGATAGAGAAAGAGTAATTCATGCAGAGCCAGCTGTGCAGGAGACTGGAGTTTTCTTATTACTCAAATCAGTCTCCCTGAGCATTTGGGGATCAGAGTTTTTAAGGACAACTTGGTGGGTGGGGGGAGGCCAGTGAGCCAGGAGTACTGATTGGTCGGAGATGAAATCATAGTGAGTCAAAGCTGTCTTCTTGCGCTGAGCCAGTTCCTGGGTGGGGGCCACAAGATCAGATGAGCCAGTTTATCAATCTGGGTGGTGCCAGGGTCTGCAAGTACAGGGTCTGAAAAATATCTCAAGCACTGATCTTAGGAGAAGTTTAGGGAGGGTCAGAATCTTGTAGCCTGCTGCATGACCCCTAAACCATAATTTCTAATCTTGTGGCTAATGTTAGTTCTACAAAGGCAATCTAGTCCCCAGGCAAGAAGGAGGTCTGCTTTGGGAAAGGGCTGTTGAGGTCTTTGTTTTAGACTTAAGTTTCTCCCAAAGTTAGTTCAGCCTATGCCCAAGAATGGAAAAGGACAGCTTGGAAGTTAGGGCCGGGCACGGTGGCTCACGCCTGTAATACCAGCACTTTGGGAGGTCGAGGCGGGCGGATCACGAGGTCAGGAGATCAAGACCATCCTGGCTAACACGGTGAAACCCCATCTCTACTAAAAATACAAAAAATTAGCCCGGCGTGGTGGCGGGTGCCTGTGGTCCCAGCTACTCGGGAGGCTGAGGCAGGAGAATGATGTGAACCCGAGAGGCAGAGCTTGCGGTGAGTCAAGATCGCGCCACTGCACTCCAGTCTAGGCGACAGAGCAAGACTCCGTCTCAAAAAAAAAAAAAAAAAAAAAAAAGAAAGAAAGAAAGGACAGCTTGGAAGTTTGGAAGTTAGAAGCAAGATGGGGTCGATTAAGTCAGCTCTCTTCCACTGTCTCAGTCATCATTGTGCAAAGGTGGTTTCAAGGGCTCCACCCTCATGACCTAATTACTTCCCAAAGGCCCCCACCTTCTAATACCATCACACTGGGGATCAGGAGGCCATCCTCAGAATTTTGGGGGAACATGAACATTCAGTTCATAGCTGCAGGGAAGTAAGTGTTCAAAGTGTTATTCACTGGGCTGGGCAGACCTCTGTGTGAGTCCCAGATCAGCTGCTTACCAGCCAAGAGGAGTTACTTAACCTTGTTAAGACTACAAGACTGCTATACAGTGACCTTTCAGAAAACTTTTCTCTTGTGATTTCTTCTTTAAACCTGGGGTTATTTAAAAGTATGTTGTTATCTGTCTCTAAAAAAATTTTAAAAATTAGCTGGTGACACATGCCTATAGTCCCAGCTACTTGGGAGACTGAGGCAGGAGGATTGCTTGAGCTCAGGAGGCTGAGGCTGCAGTAAGTCATGATCACATTACTGCACTTCAGCTTGGGTGACAAAGGGAGACCCTTTCTCAGGAAAAACAAAAAAACAAAAAAAACCTGTGTTGTTTAGTTTCCAAATATTTGTGGAATTCCTAAATTTCCTATCACTTTTTCTTTTTCTTTTTTTTTTTGAGGTGGAGTCTGGCTCTGTAGCCCAGGCTGGAGTGCAGTGGCATGATCTCGGCTCACTGCAAGCTCTGCCTCCCGGGTTCACACGGTTCTCCTGCCTCAGCCTCCCGAGTAGCTGGGACTACAGGCGCCCTCCACCATGCCTAATTTTTCTGTATTTTGAGTAGAGAGGGGGTTTCACCATGTTAGCCAGGATGTTCTTGATCTCCTGACCTCGTGATCCACCCGCCTCGGCCTCCCAAAGTGCTAGGATTACAGGCGTGAGCCACTGTGCCTGGCCCATTTTTGATTTTTCATATAATTTCATTATGGCCAGTAAACACACTTTGTGTGATTTCCACCCTTTTATAGTTATTGAGACTTGCTTTTTATCCTAGAGAATGTTCTAAGTGGGCCTGAAAAGAATGTATATTCTGCTACCATTGAGTGGAGTGCTCTATAATGATGAGTTAGGTCAAATAGGAGGATGTGTATCTCTACTTATTTTCGTTGAGTTCTATTTCTCATTTTAACTCTTATTTTTTTCATATATTTTGATTATCTATTGATTGATACATATATAATTATAATTGTTACAACTTCACATATTGACCCTTTTAAATATTCTTTTTCTTTTTTTTCAATAGAGATGGGGTCTCGCTATGTTGGCCAGCCTGGTTTTGAATTCCTGGTCTGAAGCAATCCTCCCACCTCAGCTTCCCAAAGTGCTGAGATTACAGGAGTGAGCCACTGTGCCCAGACAATTCACCCTTTTATTCTTGTGAAATGTCCCTCTTTTTTTTTTTTTTTTTTTTTTTTTGAGACAGAGTTTTCACTCTTGTTGCCCAGGCTAGAGTGCAATGGTGTGATCTCAGCTCACTGCAACCTCTGCCTCCTGGGTTCAAGCGATTCTCCTGTCTCAACCTCCCAAGTAGCTGGGATTACAGGTGCATGCCACCACACCTGGCTAATTTTTGTATTGTTAGTAGAGATGGGGTTTCATCATATTGGCCAGGCTGGTCTCGAACTCCTGACCTCAGGTGATCCGCCCACCTCGGCCTCCCAAAGTGCTGGGATCACAGGCATGAACCACCGTGTCCAGCCAAAATGTCCCTTTTTGTTTCTAGTATTGTTGCTTGGCTTAAAGTCTATTTTGTCTAATATGAATATAGCCACTCCAGCTCTCTTTTGGTTATTGTTTGCATGGTATATCTTCTTTCATCCTTTTACTTTCTGAGAAATTCTTTATTTCTCCTTTGCTTTAAGGATTATTTCACAGAATACAGAATTGTAAGTTGGTGGGGTTTTTTTCTCTCAATACTTTTTTTTTTGTTTGAGACGGAGTCTTGCTCTGGTGCCCAGGTTGGAGTGCAGTGGTGCGATCTCCGCTCACTGCAAGCTCTGCCTCCCGGGTTCACGCCATTCTCCTGCATCAGCCTCCCGAGTAGCTGGAGGCTACAGGTGCCTGCCACCACGCCCTGCTAATTTTTTTTTTGTATTTTTAGTAGAGACAGGGTTTCACCGTGTTAGCCAGGATGGTCTCAATCTCCTGACCTCGTGATCCGCCCGCCTCGGCCTCCCAAAGTGCTGGGATTACAAGCGTGAGCCACCCAGCCTGGCCCTCTCAATTTCACTTCACCCACTTTTTGCTTGCATGGCTTCTGATGAAAAGTTGGATGTAATTCTTTTCTTTGCTCCCCTACAGGTAAGGTGTTCCCTGCCCCCTCCCCTGATTTCTTTCAGTATTTTTCTTTTTTCTTTTTCTTTGAGATAGGATCTCACTGTGTTGCCCAGGCTGGTCTCAAACTCCTGGGCTCAAGCAATTCTCCCCACTCAGCCTCCCAAGTAGCTGGGATTACAGGTGTGAGCCACCACACCTGCTAGTATTTCTCTTTATCTTTGATTTTCTGTCATTTGGCAATGATATGCCTCAGTATAGTTTTTCTGGCATTTATCCTGCTTGTGTTCTCTGAGCTTCCTAGATCTGTGGTTTTGAATCTAACATTAATTTGGGAAATTCCCAGTAATTATTGTTTCAAATATTTCTTCTGATCATTTTTCTCTTTTTTTCCCCTGGTATTCCCATTATGTGTATAATTCTCCCACAGTTCTTGAATATTCTGGGGTTGGCTTTTTAGTCTTTTTTCTCTTTGCTTTTCAACTTTGGGGATTTTTTACTGAGCTATCCTCAAATGCAGAGATTCCTCAGCTGTGTCTAGTTTACTAATAAGTCCATTAAAGGCGTTCTTCATTTCTGTTACATAGCATTTATTTTTGATCATTTCTTAGAATTTCCATTTCTCTGCCTACATTGCACACCTGCTCTTGCATGCCTGTCTACTTTATCCATTGGATCCCTTAGAATATTAATCAGAGTTGTTTTAAATTCCTAGTCTGACAGTTCCAACATCCTTGCCATCTCAGCCTGATTTTGATACTTGCTCTGTCTCTTCAAACTGTGTTTTTGCCTTGTAGTATGTCTTGTGATTTTTTTTTTTTTTTTTTTTTTTTTTTTTTTTGAGACGGAGTCTCGCTCTGTCACCCAGGCTGGAGTGCAGTGGCGGGATCTCGGCTCACTGCAAGCTCCGCCTCCCGGGTTCACGCCATTCTCCTGCCTCAGCCTCCCAAGTAGCTGGGACTACAGGCGCCCGCCACTACGCCCGGCTAATTTTTTGTATTTTTAGTAGAGACGGGGTTTCACCGTTTTAGCCGGGATGGTCTCGATCTCCTGACCTCGTGATCCGCCCGCCTCGGCCTCCCAAAGTGCTGGGATTACAGGCGTGAGCCACCGCGCCCGGCCCTCTTGTGATTTTTTTCTTGCTAGCCAAACATGATATACTGGGTAAAAGGAACAGCTGTACATCGGCCTTGAGTGATGTGGTGGTGAGGTGTGGGGGAGGGGGAGTATTCTATGTTCCCATGATTAGGTGTCAGCCTTGCAGTGAGCCTGTGCCTCTGGCCTGTGAACTTTACACATGTTTCTTGGTTCACCTGCCTTCCCATTTAGTGAGACAGGCTGGCTAGAATGGGCTGGGGTTGGGTATTTCCCATGCTCCGTGTTGAAGGCTAGAGCCAGCAAGTTGGATATTTACTCTTTTCCCAGGTCAGTCAGGCTCTGATAAAACCCCAGCAGGTTAGACCCTAGTTAATTAGTTTCCCCTAAGGGTAGACCTCGTTAAGAAAAACCAAATGCTCTGTTTACAGTCATGCCTTGATTAACGATGGGGATACATTCTGAGAAATGTATCGTTAGGTGATTTCATCATCGTGGAATCATCATAGAGTGAACTTCCACAAACCGAGATGGTATCGCCTACTACACAGCTGTATGGTATATGGTATAGCCTGTTGCTCCTGGGCTACGAACCTCACAGCATGTTACTGTATTGAATGCCATAGGCAATTGTAAGACAATGGTGAGTATTTATGCATCTAAACATAGAAAAGGTACAGTGAGGCCGGGCACAGTGGCTTATGCCTGTAATCCCAGCACTTTGGGAGGCCGAGGAGAGTGGATCATCAGAGGTCAGGAGTTCGAGACCAGCCTGGCCAACATGATGAAACCCTATCTCTACTAAAAATACAAAAATTAGCTGGGCATGGTGGCAGGCGCCTGTAATCCCAGCTACTCAGGAGGCTGAGGCAGGAGAATTGCTTGAACCCAGGAGGCGGAGGTTGCAGTGAGCCGAGATCACGCCATTGTACTCCAGCCTAGATGATAAGAGTGAAACTTCGTCTAAAAAATAATAATAAAGTAAAAATACAATATTAGCATCTTTTATTTTCTAATTTTTATTTTTATTTTTGAGAGATGAGGGTCTCACTATGTTGGCCTTGAACTCCTGGCTTCAAGCAATCCTCCTGCCTCAGCCTTCTGAAGTGCTAGGATTACAGGTGTGAGCCACCATGCCCAGCCAATATTAGCATCTCATGGGACCACCACCATATATGCCCAAAATGGTATGTGGTACGTTACTGTGTTTCAAAATGGTTCCTTTCCCCCTCCCCCTGCAGGAAGCATGAGGGGATTTTTCTCTAATATTTACTGTAGAACCTGGTTGAGCTCCCAGAGGTAAAACTCACAAAAATAAGGGAGCCCCCACTCCATGACTGGAACCCACTGGAGTTTTTGGGATTTTTTTGTGTTTTATTTGTTTGTTTGTTTTTCAGAGACAGGGTCTTGCTCTGCTGCCCAGGCTGGAGTGCTGCGATGCGATCATAGCTCACTGCAACCTCAAACTCCTGGGCTCCAGCAATCCTCAGCCTCCACCTCCCTCCTCAGTAGCTAGGACTACAGGCACGTGCCACCACTCCTGGCTAGTTTAATTTTCAGTAGAGACAAGGTCTTGCTATGTTGCCCAGCTTGGTCTCAAACTTCTACTCCTGGGCTCAAGTGATCCTCCTACCTTGGCCTCCCAAAGTGTTGGGATTATAGGCGTGAACGACCGTGCCCGGCCCCCTGGAGGTTTTGACTTTCAGGCTCCTGCACACTGACCATCCCGCAGCTCATTACTTACAATTTAGGTTTCCCTTCCTGGGTGCTGGTTCCTGTGGCCATTTCAGCTCATGGGTTGCTGCTCCGGTAAGTTGTGATTCTCTGTATTCGCCTGCCCATCTCTCCAAGTGTGGGGGCAGCGATTTGCCCTGTGACCTCACTTCTCTTATGCATCTAAGAAGAGTTGATTTTTCAGTTTGTTCAGCTTTTTACTTGTTGTTAGTATAGAGTGGCGACTGCCGAGCTCCTTGCGTGCCAGACCAGAAACCTGACACCCTCTGTTCAGCTTTTTATTCTTAGTGCGGTGCTGTCTTTTTTTTTTTTTTTTTTTTTTTTGAGACGGAGTTTCGCTCTTGTTGCCCAGGCTGGAGTGCAATGGCGCGATCTCAGCTCACTGCAACCTCCGCCTCCCAGGTTTACGTGATTCTCCTCCCTCAGCCTCCCAAGTAGGTGGGATTACAGGTGTTAGTCATCACGCCTGGCTAATTTTTGGATTTTTAGTAGAGATGGGGTTTCACCACATTGGCCAGGCTGGTCTCAAACTCCTGACCTCAGGTGATCCACCTGCCTTGGCTTCCCAAAGTGCTAGGATTACAGGCATGAGCCACCGCGCCCAGCTATTTTTAGTCTGACTTCTAAGAGACACCCCTGTGTCTGCATTGCTTAGTGGTCAGCCATTGATTAAGGCAGAAGTTGAGCCCATAAGACCTCATCTTTCACTGACGGGGCTGTGTGTGATGGGCAGGGCATCCAAAGTTCAGGCCGTTCTCTAGCCTGCCTCTGATTTCACGTTTCTCCAGGCCCACTTGTTTCTCCCTGCATGTGTGTGTAGTTTCCCAGTCACCCAGACACAGCTGGAGAGCTTAGTTAGGCCTTCTCTTGCTCTATCATTTCCAGAGTCTTCCTATTGAAATTCTGGCCACTCACCCCAACTGGAGCCACAGGCTCAGGCTAGCAGAGCCGCAGGTTCCCATGTTCGTTTTCTACTGAGGTTGCTGCTTCACTGACAATGCTGTCAAGCATGACTTTTCCTCTCTGTTCCAAACCAAGTGTGCTCTTTCTTGCAGCCAAGCAGCTTTTCTAGTCCTGGCCTGCCATGGTGCAGTGACTGCAGCTGTCCAGCTTGGCAGGGAGCTGATGGAAGCAGGTCTTCTGCAAAAGACTGCGGACTCCTATTCCTACCTAAGGTTCCAGTAGTTCTTCCTGAATGCCTCTTTTCTTTTCTTTTTCTTTTTTTTTGAAATGGAATCTCACTGTGTTGCCCAGGCTGGAGTGCAGTGGTGTGATCTCGGCTCACTCCCAGGTTCCAGCGAGTCTCCTGCCTCAGCCTCCCAAGTAGCTGGGATCACAGGCACCTATCACCACGCCTGGCTAATTTTTGTATTTTTAGTAGATACAGGGTTTCACCATGTTGGCCAGGCTGGTGTCGAACTCCTGACCTAAAGTGATCCACCTGCCTCAGCCTCCCGAAGTGCTGGGCTTACAGCCATGAGCCACTGTGCCTGGCATGAATGTCTCTCAATGTGTTGTTTGCCTTTGGTTGATCTCCAGGGCCCTCAAATGGTTGTTTTTGATAATTTTGTTCTGATCTTTTTGGGAGAGAAGATTTGCCTACCTCTTCATAAAGCCGTACCTGGAAGTTGCACATTGGCAAATTTTGGTTTTGTTTGTTGTTGTTTTTTTTTAAATTTAAAAAAATAATAAATAGAGACAGGGTCTCAATATGTTACCCAGGTTGGTCTCAAACTCTGGGCTCAAGCAATCTTCCTACCTCAGCCTCCCAAAGTGCTGGGATTTACAAGCATGAGCCGCCACACCCAGTTCAAATTTTGGTTTGTTGTTGTTGTTGTTGTTGTTTGAGATGGAGTCTCACTCTGTCGCCCAGGCTGGAGTGCAGTGGCGCAGTCCTGGCTCACTGCAACCTCTGCCTCATGGGTTTAAGTGATTCTCCTGCCTCAGCCTCCCGAGTAGCTGGGACCACAGGCATGCACCACCATGCCTGGGTAATTTTTGTATTTTTAGTAGAGACAGGGTTTCACCGTGTTGGCCAGGATGGTCTCAAACTCCTGACCTCATGATCCACCAGCCTTGGCCTCCCAAAGTGCTGGGATTACAAGCGTTAGCCACCGTGCCCAGCCAAATTTTTGATAATTTTAATACCAGCCATCAAACGTCTTTCAAAAAGTCTTCACTCCCACCAGCAAGATTTATTTATTTATTTTTTAAACTGGGAGCTGCCCTATGAACTGATCACCAGCAAGATTTAAAAGCACAAGGAGGCCAGGCGCGGTGGCTCACGCCTGTAATCCCAGCACTTTGGTGGGCTGAGGCGAGTGGATCATGAGGTCAGGAGTTTGAGACCAGCCTGGTCAATATGGTGAAACCCGTCTCTACTAAAAATATAAAAAATTAGCCGGGCATGGTGGCACACGCCTGTAGTCCTAGCTACTCGGGAGGCTGAGGCAGGAGAATCGCTTCAACCCAGGAGGCGGACATTGCAGTGAGCCAAGGCCATTGCACTCCAGCCTAGGTGACAAAGTGAGACTATGTCTTGAATGAAAAAAAAAAAGGACAAAGAGGCTGGGTGCAGTGGCTTATGCCTGTAATCCCAGCACTTTGGAAGTCTGAGGCAGGTGGATCACTTGAGGTCAGGAGTTCGAGCCCAGCCTGGCCAACATGGCAAAACCCTGTCTCTACTAAAAATATAAAACTTAGCCGGATGTGGTGGCATGCGACTGTAATCCCAGCTACTCAGGAGGCTGAGACATGAGAATCGCTTGAACCCGAGAGGAAGAGGTTGCAGTGAGCTGAGACTATGCCACTGCACTCTAGCCTGGCAACAGAGCTAGACTCAGTCTCAAAATAAATAAATATAAATAAAAATAACAAAATACATGTATGGTATTTTAAAAATCTCAAACAATACCAAAAACTGTGTATGATAAGGAGTAATTTTTCTGCCAAGCCTTACTATCAAGTTCCTAGTTCCCTGCCCCAGTGGCGATCACCATAACCAATTGCTTGCATTTTATTCAAGGGATATTCCATGTAGATTCACTCATGTGTCTGTGAGCATGTATATGTGTGTATGTGTATGTGTGTGTGTATGTGTGTATGTATGTGTATGTGTGTGTATGTGTGTGTGTATGTGTTGTGTGTATGTGTGTGTATGTGTTGTGTGTATGTGTGTGTATGTGTGTGTGTCTATGTGTTGTGTGTATGTATGTGTATGTGTGTGTATGTATGTGTATGTGTGTGTATGTGTGTGTATGTGTTGTGTGTATGTGTGTGTATGTGTGTGTGTTGTGTGTATGTGTGTGTATGTGTGTGTGTCTATGTGTTGTGTGTATGTATGTGTATGTATGTGTGTGTGTGTGTATGTGTTGTGTGCACATATCACTCCTTTTTGTACAAAGGATAATATCCTGCCACACGTAGCTTTTCCTCTTGCATTTTCACTCAACAATGTATTTTGGAGATTATTCCATATCAGTACTGATGAGCTGTCTCATTTTTTAAGCCTGATAATTTTGAATTTTGAAATAATACCAGGCCGTGTGTGGTGGCTCACACCTGTAATGCCAGCACTTTGGGAGGCTGAGGTGGGCGATCACTTGAAACCAGCCTGGCCAACACGGAGAAACCCCATCTCTATCAAAAAATGCAAAAATTAGCTGTGAGTGGTGATGTGCACCTGTAGTCCCAGCTACTTGGGAGGCTGAGGCATGAGAATTGCTTGAACCTGTGAGGTGGAGGTTGCAGTGAGCCAAGATCATGCACTGCACTCCAGCCTGGGTGACAGAGTAAGACCCTGTCTCAAAAAAAAAAAAAAGGGCCGCGAGTGGTGGCTCATGCCCATAATCCCAGCACTTTGGGAGGCCAAGGCAGGTGGATCACCTGAGGTCAGGAGTTCGAGGCCTACTTGGTAAAACCCCATCTCTAATAAAAATACAAAAAATTGGCCAAGCATGGTGGCTCACGCCTGTAATCCCAGCACTTTGGGAGGCTGAGGCGGGTGGATCACCTGAGGTCAGGAGTTTGAGACCAGCCTGACCAACATGACAAAACCCCATCTCTACTAAAAATACAAAATTACCCAGGTGTGGTGGTACATGCCTGTAATCTCAGCTACTCGGGAGGCTGAGGCAGGAGAATTGCTTGAACCTGGGAGGCGGAGGTTGCGGTGAGCCAACATCGCACCGCTGCACTTCAGCCCAGGCAACAAGAGCGAAACTCCATCCCCAGCCCCCCCCGAAAAAATACAAAAAATTAGCCGGACATGGTGGCAGATGCCTGTGATTCCAGCTACTTGGGAGGCTGAGGCAGGAGAATTGCTTGAACCTGGAAGACAGAGGTTGCAGTGAGCCAATATCGCGCCACTGCATTCCAGCCTGGGCAACAGAGCAAGACTCTGTCTCCAAAAAAAAGGGGGAAAAAAAGAAAAAAAGAAATAATACCAGGCTTAAAAGTAAAGTTGCACAATTAGTACAAAGAATTCCTGTATACCTCTCTATAGCTTCTCCAACATGCTCATATCATAGATAACCATAGGACAAGGATCAAAACAAGGAAATTGGCATCGACACAGTACTGTTCAGCAATCTACTGACCCTATTCAAATATTTCCAGTTATCTCACTAGTGTTCTTTTTTTTTCTCTTTTTTTTTTTTTTTCCGAGATGGAGTCTCGCTCCATTGCCCAGGCTGGAGTGCCGTGGCACAATCTTGGCTCACTGCAACCTCCTTCTCCTGGGTTCAAGCGATTCTTCTGCCTCAGCCTCCCAAGTACCTGGGACAACAGACGCACACCACCACACCCGGCTAATTTTTGTATTTTTAGTAGAGAGGGGGTTTCACCATATTGGCCAGGCTGGTCTCGAACTCCTGACCTTGTGATCTGCCCACCTTGGCCTCCCAAAGTGCTGGGATTGCAGGTGTGAGCCACCACACTCAGCCACTAATGATCTTTTTCTGGTCCAGGATCAAATCCAGGATCATATATTGCATTTAGTTTTCCAATTTCCTTAGATTTCTCCAGTCTGGAAGACTTCCTCTGTCTTTTTTTTTTTCATTCATGATCTTGACATTTTTGAAGAGCATTGTTTCATAATTTATAGACTGTCTCTCAGTTTGCGTTTGTGTTTCCTCATGGTTAAATTCAGGTTGTGTGTGTGTGTGTGTGTGTGTGTGTGTTTTAGAGTTGGAGTCTCTTCACAGTGTCATCCAGGCTGAAATGCAGTAAGACTCGGTCTCAATAAATCAATAAATAAAAGCATCTTGAGAGATTGTAAATATCCTGTTTCTATCATGCATTTACCCACTAATTATAGCATCCATTGATAATCTTTTCCTTTACTCTGTTTGGGCTGCTCTGGCAAAATACCATAAATTGCATGGCTTATGAACAAAACTTATTTCTCACAGTTCTGGAGGCTGGGAAGTCCAAGATCAGATTCAGTGTCTAGTTTATAGATGGCACCTTCTAGCTGTGTCCTCACGTGGCCTAAGGAGTAAGGCAGATCTCTGGGGTCTCTTTTTTTTTTTTTGATACGGGGTTTTGCTCTTGTCACCTAGGCTGGGTGCAGTGGCATAATCTTGGCTCGCTGCAACATCCATCTCCCAGGTTCAAGTGATTCTTCTGCCTCAACCTCTGAAGTAGCTGAGATTATAGGTGCCTGCCACCACGCCCAGCTAATTTTTGTGTTTGTAGTAGAGATGGGGGTTTCACCATGTTGGTCAGGTTGGTCTTGAACCCCAACCTCAGGTGATCCACCCACCTTGGCCTCCCAAAGTGCTGGGATTACAGGTGTGAGCCACCAAGCCCGGCCTGGGGTCTCTTTTGTAAGAGCACTAATCTCATTCACAAGGGCTCCACTCTCATGACCTAATTGCCTCCCAAAGACCCCATCTTCTAATACCATCTTATTGATATTGGTGATTAGGTTTCAAAGTATGAATTTTGGAGGGACACAAACATTCAGAGCATTCTGTTTTCTTTCTTTCTTTTTTTTTTTTTTAGACAATGTCATGCTCTGTCACCCAGGCTGGAGTGCAGTGGTGCGACCTCAGCTCACTGCAACCTCTGCTTTCCAGGTTCAAGTGATTCTTGTGCCTCAGCCTCCCAGATAGCTGGGATTACAGGTGCGTGCCACCACACCTGGCTAATTTTTTTTATTTTTAGTAGAGATGGGGTTTCCTCACATTGGCCAGGCTGGTCTCGAACTCCTGACCTCAACTGATCCTCTGGCCTTGGCCTCCCAAAGTGCTGAGATTACAAGCATGAGCCACTGCGCCTGGCATAAGAAATAATTAAAAGTGAGCTCTCTTGTAATCATTTTCCAGGCAAAAAATCCGATCAAAACCAGCCTCCAGAATTCACCGTGTGCTTTCTCCCTCCTCTTGACTTTGAGCTACGACATCTTGAAAGGTCAATGTAATATGATGTTCATGATCTAATGACTGCGCCACATTAGAGGGACAACATTTGTCCAAAGAGGCACAAATCATTTTCCTGAGCTCAGAGGCAACTCCCTCACTTCCAAGTTTGATAAAAATTGCACGTCTCCTGACAGTCATTCAAACACCATAATGTTGCCCTAACTCTCTTTTGCTTTCCAGCCTTTTCTAATGACTATTTTCAGATGCCTAGATCCGCTTGTCCTACAATCTGATTTCACATCCCTAAAAATAGCTTTCTTTTATGTTTTATCCTGGCTTTTCAGATCTCCCCAGTGGTCTCTCATCTGAGCTCTCGCCTTCTGCCTAATTACCTCTGCCCTGGAACCTCTTCCAGGTGATTCTCTCTTCTCTCATAGTGCAAACGTTGACCCACTTCAATGCCCATGAATACCTTTTGCCTACTCTGGCCAGACAGAGATACTCTCAAAACCATATGGAAGTGGTTATAGGCATTTTTGTCATGCTTCCCTACTCCCAAATGTACCTCCTACTCAGAGAAATGCTGTCCTAGAATTACACCATTGAGGGTTATTCTCTTCAGTCCTGAAGACCTTTTGACCTTTCTGTGTTTTGGTTATAGGTCTCATACACCTGAGAGTGTAAAGATCATGCCTGTAACCGAGCACTTTGGGAGGCTGAGGCAGGTGGATTACCTGAGTTCGGGAGTTCGAGACCAGCCTGACCAACATGGAGAAACCCCATCTCTACTAAAAACATACAAAATATGCCAGGTATGGTGGCACATGCCTGTAATCTCAGCTACTCAGGAGGCTGAGGCAGGAGAATTGCTTGAACCCTGGAGGCGGAGGTTGCGGTGAGCAGAGATTGCACCCTTGCGCTCCAGCCTGGGCAACAAGAGCAAAACTCCATCTCAGTCTAAAAAAAAAACAAAAAACGATGTGCCCACCCCACAGTGCCATAGGAGGGAGTGAACCTTGAGCTCAGCGTGCTGATGGGTTTGTAAGCCCCAACTCCTCGGAGAGAACAAGCATTGTAAGTGTAAGAAACAAAGTTGCAGTGACCTCAGCCATGGAAACCATGTAGCATAAATCAAAGAGACCCAGGACAGAGTAAAAGTAGCAACATTTTCATTGAGATACAAAAAAAAAATCTGGCAGTGTTCCCCAGTAGTCCCAGCTACTTGGAAGGGTGAGGTAGGAGGATCACTTGGGCCCAGAAGTTTGAGTCTGCAATGAGCCAAGATGTCACCACTGCACTCCAGCCTGGGTGACAGAGTGAGACTTTGTCTCCCTCCACCCCCTTTCCCAAAAATCTGTTAGCACTTTGGTGACACTCAACCTAGGACCCCTCTGCTTGTGGTGTAACAACCTCTCTAGGCCCAGACATGGTTTTTGGTTTTGTTTTCTTTTAGAGACAGGGTCTTACTCTGTCACCCAGGCTGGAGTGCAGTGGCATAATCATACCTCACTGCAGCTTTGAACTCCTGGATTCAAGCAATCCTCCCACCTCAGCCACCTGAGTAGCTAGGACTACAGGTGCTCACCACCACACCTGGCCAATTAAAAAAAAAATTTTTTTTTTTTTTTTTTCCTGAGACAGAGTTTCGCTCTGTCGCCCAGGCTGGAGTGAAGTGGCACCATCTCAGCTCACTGCAACCTCCACATCTCAGGTTCAAGCAATTCTCCTGCCTCAGCCTCCAGAGTATCTGGGATTATAGGTGCCTGCCACCACACCTGGCTAATTTTTGTATTTTTAGTAGAGACGGGGTTTCACCATGTTGGACAGGCTGGTCTTGAACTCCTGACCTCAGGTGATCTGCCTGTCTCGGCCTCCCAAAGTGCTGGGATTACAGGCGTGAGCCATATGCCTGGCCTTACAATTTTTTATAGAGAAGAGTCTCACTATGTTATGCAGCCTGGTCTCGAATTCCTGGTCTTGAGTGATCGTCCTGCCTCAGCCTCTCACCGTGTTAGGATTACAGATATGAGACACTGTGCCCAGTCATCCAGCTATGTTTTTCTTCTCCTTCACTCAAATGGTTTTTTTTTTTTTTTTTTTTTTTTTTTTTCTGAGACTGAGTCTCACTCAGTTGCCCAGGCTGGAGTGCAGTGGCACGATCTCGGCTCACTGCAAGCTCTGCCTCCCGGGTTCGAGCGATTCTCCTGTCTCAGCCTCCTGAGTAATTGGGATTACAGGCGCCTGCCAGCATGCCTGGCTAATTTTTATTTTTAGTAGAGATGGAGTTTCACCTTGTTGGTCAGGCTGGTCTCGAACTCCTGACCTCAGGTGATCCACCCGCCTCGGCCTCCCAAAGTGCTGGATTACAGGAGTGAGCCACCGCATCCAGCATGCCTGACCAATTTTTTATATTTTTTGTAGAGACAGGGTCTCACTATGTTGCTCAGACTGGTTATTCTCCTGCCTTGACCTCCCAAAGTGCTGGGACTACAAGCATGAAGCACTGTGCCTGCCCTGGGATTTTTTTTTGTTTTTTAATGCAGAAACCAACCAAGTCAGAGTACCTGGGATGTGGGACTTTGCAGTCAGTGCTTTTATCGTGCTTTCCCATTGATTCCGATTGGCAGCCATGTTGTAAACTACTGCCCTAACTCTAATGACGTTTCAGGACCAAGGATAGCGGTCTACATGTCCCACTCCTCTGACAGATGGTGTGTGGGCGTGGCTAGGCAAGAAGGAGGGGCCTGAGTGGAAAGAGGCAGGGCTCCAGGAGAGGGAGAAAATTTCCAAAGAGGGCCTTCCCTGTAAAACCCCTTGTCAAGGTAATGCCGGATGAAGGAAAGTGAAGCTGCCTTTCTTTGCCATTCCACTGTTCGTGGGTCCCTTTTTCCATTCTGGATCCTTTGTGGTGGCAAAGCCAGGTGCTTCCTTTGTCCCCAACACCTGGATACAAGGCCTTGCAAAACTTTCATCTTCATCATCCCCTTAAAATAGCAGTAAATCTATAGCTGGTTCCTGGGAAAGAGGCAGCACTGAGAAAAAGGGATGCAGCTGCTAGCTTCACATCCCACCATTGTTCAAAAAGTTGTGTAAGAGGGGAGAAAAGGGTTTTAATGTTCAGCAGTTGAAAGAGATCAAGGATTTTACAGCTGAGTCCTCTCTCAGATCTTCAAGATGTCAGCAACCCTTGAGAAATTCAACCTAGAGTGAAAAAAACCTGTCTGAGAGCTAACAGGAAATGTCTATCCACACGCTGTGTGGGCTGCCAGGAGAAGGCAGTCTGGGGGAGACTAGCCTGTTCTGGAATCCCAGGGAGTGCCTTTTATGGGGTATCCTAAAGTCCATTCCTCTTCCTGAAACCACTTTGCAGAATTATAAATAATGAGAAAAACCTACATGACTGACTCCATCTTGCTTCGAAACTCACAGGCTAAATTATTTCTTATTTTTGTCTTTTGCTTATTGTATCACAGAGGCCAAGAAAACAATGAGAGGAATTTAGTTTATAGTTAAACTTTGAGAATCTGGGCGCGGTGGCTCACACCTGTAATCCCAGCACTTTGGGAGGCCAAGGGGGGCAGATTGCCTGAGGTCAGGAGTTCAAGAGCAGCCTGGCCAACATGGTGAAACCTTGTCTCTACTAATAATACAAAATTAGCCAGGTGTAGTGGTGCACGCCTGTAGTCCCAGCTACTTGGGAGGCTGAGGCATGAGAATCGCTTGAACCCAGGAGGTGGAGATTTCAGTGAGCCAAGATTGCGCCATTGCACTCCAACCTGGGGAATAGAGTAAGACTGTCTCCAAAAAAAAAAAAATTAGCTGGATGTGGTGATGGGTGCCTGTAGTCCCAGCTACTTGGCAGGCTGAGGCATGAGAATCACTTGAACCCAGGGGGTGAGGTTGCAGAGAGCCAAGATCGCCCCACTGCACTCCAGCCTGGGTGACAGAGCAAGACTTCATCTCAAAAAAAAAAAAAAAAAAAAAAACCTTTGAGGTAAGGGAAACCGATGCCCCTCCTTGTTGAGAGATTGAAGCCACATTCATAAGCCAAGGTTAGAATTATGGTAGGGGATTGGACTTTGCTAAAGAATAAGCAGAGTTCACTAATGACCTGCCATTGCTTAGCGTGTTTTCCTGTAAGTTGTTGACTTCCCCAGAGTCAAATAACTGGGGGTTGCAAGATTTATAACTTCCCCAACTACTCCTATAGATAACATCACTATTGTGAAACCTGAAAACTGGTCTTTGAAATATTTTTCAGATTTCAAATTTTGGCAGACCAAGAGATGCCACCTTGTCCTGATACCCTCACCCCAACCTTGGCCCCCACCTCCTGAGGACTGACTCAGCTGTGTGAAAACAGTTTTAGATGCCTCTGTGATTTCATCCCCAGTCACTCAATTGTTCCCATTCCCCAGCCCCCTGCCCACCAAAGTACTCTTAAAAATCCAGGCCTCCGAATTCTCAGGGAGATGGGTTTGAGAAATTTCTCCCTGTTCTCATTTGGTTGCCCTGCAATTATTAAATTCTTTCTTTGCTGCAACACCTGCCATTCTCATTGGTTTAGAAGGGGCAGTGGGCAAAAAGAACCTGTCAGGCTGTGACATTCCTTCTAGGAGCAGCACCACAAATTTCCTGTTGAGGAATCAACATCTCTTTGCCCATGGGGAAGTTGATCAGGCACAAAGTATTCATTAGGGGCTCTTCCCAGTGCGTCCCAAATTGTAACATGCACAGATCTGAGGGCGCTGTTAAGATGCAGGCTCTGGCTGGGTGTGGTGGCTCATGCCTGTAATCCCAGCACTTTGGGAGGCCAAGGTGGGCGGATCACTTGAGGTCAGGAGTTCGAGACCAGCCTGGCCAATATGGTGAAACCCCATTGCTACTAAAAATACAAAAATTAGCTGGGAGTGGTGGTGCACGCCTGAAGGCCCAGCTACTCGGGAGGCTGAGGCACGAGAAACGCTTGAACCCAGGAGGCAGAGGTTGCAGTGAGCTGAGATGGCACTGCAGCACTCCAGCCCAAGAAAGACCTTGTCTCAAAAAAATAAATACATAAAATTAAAAAAGATGCATGTCGTGACTCAGTAAGTCCAGGGTGGAGCCTGAGATTCTGTACTGCTAACAAGTTCCCAGGTGATGATGCTGGCTGGTGTGTCCATTCTCAAGCACTTGGCAGTTGGACACTTCCTCCCTGAAATTAGAATCTAAATAAGAGTGTTGAAAAACCTGGCAGAGCTCAGACCAGATTTTCCTGCTCTTCGGCTGGGTTCCTGTCTTTGCCCCTGTGCACCTGTGGAATCCTGCCTGTTTCTGGTCCAAGCTGTCTAGCCACCCCTCCCACCCTGTGATCTCCCAACATCCTTGCCTAAGCCTTCTCCTCTTCACTTCAATCAGTCTGTCTTGGTTTCTGAGGATGCAAACCAGAGCCCTAAACAACATGGTTTCTGAGCCTCAGTTTCCCAAGCTATAAAAGCGAGACAGTTGTCCCTAGTGGAGATTCATGACATTAAATGGTACCCACGATATTAAAGTGAGCGAGGCTGGGCACAGTGGCTCACACCTGTATTCCAGCACTTTGGGAGGCCAAGGCAGGTGGATAGCTTGAGGTCAGGAGTTCAAGACCAGCCTGGCCAACATGGCAAAAACCCATCTCTACCAAAAATACAAAAGTTAGCCAGGTATGGTGGCGTGCACCTGTAATCCCAGCTACTCGGGAAGCTGAGGCAGGATAATCGCTTGAACCCGGGAGGCAGAGGTTGCAGTGGGCCAAGATTGTACCACTGCACTCCAGCCTGGGTGGCAGAGTGAGACTCTGTCCCCAAAAAATTAATAAATAAATAAACAAAGTGAGCAAGACGGGGGCCTGTACTGAGGTGCTGCCAGTTCCTACACAGTCCTAAATTAATTTGCTAGAGTGGCTCACAGAACCCTCCTTGCCCCTCCCTTCCTCTGGCCTCTGCTTATGACCAGGTAAAATGTTGGGATACAAGAGCAAATGAAGCTGTTAAAACTTTCAGCTAAGAGATTGATTTTTCTAATTACCACTTAATGTCTTCCCTTCTGGGCCTTGGAAGGCCTGTTCTCTGTTATTTAGGATGCAAATTATTTGGATTTTCTAATGCAACTAGCTTAATGTAAAATTCTTCACATACTAAAATAAATTTTCCTTAACTAACCTGTCTGGTGGAATAATTGGCTATAAGTGGTAATGATATCATTACTCTTAACTAATTACTGCTCTCTGAATTTACCCTGTTTTTGCTTTCTTGAGAAGTGACGATTATAATAATGTTTATTAATCTTACTGATACTAATAAATATTAAGAACCAATATTTAATGAGTACTTAGATGTTCTAGGCAATGATCTAAGCTTTTTATATATTCTATGTCATTTAATTCTTACATACATTCTATGATATAAGAACTGTTATGATTCATACTTTACTGATGGGGAAATTGAGGTACAAAGGAGGTCTGGTAACTTGCCCAAGATTATAGAGTGGTGAAGTTGGAGCTAGTATTTTCAACCCAGACAGTTTAACTCCAGAGTCCATTCTGATGACCACTATACTAGGCTTGAGAAATGCTTGCACATGTGTGTAAGGTACTATAAGAGGCCAGGCACAGTGGCTCACGCCTGTAATCCCTGCACTTTGAGAGGTCAAGGCAGGCAAATCACTTGAGCTCAGGAGTTCAAGACCAGCCTGGGCAACATGGCGAGATCCCTGTCTCTATATAAAAAAAATATATATATATATATATTCTTTAAAAGGTACTATAGGCCGAAGCTGGGCACGGTGGCTCATGCCTGTAATCCTAGCACTTTGGGAGGCTGAGGTGGGCGGATCACCTAAGGTCAGGAGTTTGAGACCAGCCTGGCCAACATGGTGAAACCCCGTATCTACTAAAAATAAAAAAAATTAACTGGGCGTGGTGGCGGGTGCCTGTAATCCCAGCTACTCGGGGTCTGAGGTAGGAGAATTGCTTGAACCCGGGAGGCAGAGGCTGCAGTGCAGTGAGCCGAGATCACGCCACTGAACTCCAGCCTGGGAGATAGAGCCAGACTCCATGAAAAAAAAAAAGAAAAAAGAAAAGGGTCTGGAAAGGAAGGTATACACCAAACTGACTCTAAGAAAGAATGTGGAAGGGGAAGAATTTCACTTTAAATTTTGATATGCTTCTGTGATACTGTGAAATATATATTTGGTCTTTGCAGGTTTCCTGGCATACAACTCCTAAAATGCTTGGAATCTTCAAAGTGATGTGTGTCTTTTTATATGCTAATAACTTGACTGATGGCTGACAGCCTCTAGGTAGCATCAGCGGTAGAAGTGGCTCCACAGAAAGATTAAGGCAGGCTTATCAGCTGCACCTCCCAACCTTTGGGGAGAGGAGAAGGGCTGAAGATTGAGTTGATTATCAATGGCCAATGATTTAATCAGTCACACCTGTGTAATGAAGTCTCCATAAGAACTCAAAAGGACTGGGTTCAGAGAGCTTCCGGGGAGCTGAACATGTGGAGATTCCCCGCGAGAACCTCCCCCTTCTCCCATACCTTGCTCTATACATCCCTTCATCTATATCCTTTGTAATATCCTTTTTTTGTTGTTTTATTTTGATTTTTTGAGACAGAGTTTCACTCCTGTTGCCCAGGCTGGAGTGCAATGGTGCAATCTTCACTCACTGCAACCTCCACCCCCTGGGTTCAAGTGATTCTCCTGCCTTAGCCTCCCGAGTAGCTGGTATTACAGGCACGTGCCACCACGCCCAGCTAAGTTTGTATTTTTAGTAGAGACAGGGTTTCACCATGTTGGCCAGGCTGGTTTTGAACCCCCAACCTCAGGTAATCCACCCGCCTCAGCCTCTCAAAGTGCTGAGATTACAGGCGTGGGTCACCGCGTCCAGCTTGTAATATCCTTTATAATAAACCAGTAAACACAATTAAGTGTTTTCTGTGAGTTCTGTTAGCCACTCTAGCAAATTAACGGAACCCAAGGAGGTAGGTTGGTGGGTCAGAAGCACAGGCAAAATAACCTGGGAGTTGCAATTGGCATCACAAGTGGAGCTGAGTCTTGTGGGACTGAGTCCTCAGCCTGTGTGATCTGATGCTATTGAGATGGAACAGAGACCCCTCCTCCCCCCAACACCCACTTAGGTGCCTGTTGAGCACCCCACTCCTAAGCATGGAAATCAAGAAAAATCTTGAGTTCCTTTAAGAGAATTTCCAGGCGCCCAGCAAGCCCTGAGAAGTTGATAAGCAAGGAGATAATAGTAGCCTAAAACAATAGCCCAGAACACCAGAATTTTAGGATGTTTGGTTTCCTTAGAAACTAATGATAATATCTTAACACATGTCTCTGTGTTGTTTTTGAGAAATGTGGACTCCCACGGAATGGATCTGCCAGCATGCAGACATCAGACAATGGGGAGCTGAGGACTGAATTCTGACCACTGTTCTTTGTTATAAATTTATTCCCGAGGGGCCTAGAGGGAGTCACACCCGTGAGCCAGAGCTAACATTCTTTTCTCCTGACCCCGGTTTTTTTTTCTTTTTTTCATGTGGCAGCTCACTGTCACCCAGGTTGGAGTGCAGTGGCATGATCTCAGTTCACTGCAACCTCCGCTTCCCAGACTCAAGCGATCCTCCCACCTCAGCCTCCTGAGTAGCTGGAACCACAGGCACATGCCAGCACGCCTGGCTAATTTTTTGGATTTTTGGTAGAAATGGGGTTTTGTCATGTTGCTCAGGCTGGCCTCGAACTCCTGAGCTCAGGCGATTCACTCGCGTTGGCCTCCCAAAGTGCTGGGATTACAGTTATGAGCCGCTGCGCCCAGTCTGACCCCAAATTTTTAAACAAAGCTTCTCTTCCTTAACTAATTGCAAATCAGAAAATCTTTGAGTCTGTCTATGACTTGTAAGCCCCTGCTGCAAGCTATCCCACCCTTTCAGGCCAAAACCCATGTGTAGCCTCCATGCATTGATTTATGATTTTACCTGTAACTTCTGCTTTCTTAAAATTTACCCCTGCCAGATGGGCATGGTGGCTCACGCCTATAATCCCAGCACTTTGGGAGGCTGAGTTGGGTGGATCACCTGAGATCCGGAGTTCGAGACCAGCCTGACCAACATGGTGAAACCCCGTCTCTACTAAAAATACAAAAATTAGCCGGGCGTGAGGGTGTGAGCCTGTAGTCCCAGCTACTCAGGAGGCTGAGGCAGGAGACTCGCTAGAACCCGGGAGGCGGAGGTTGCAGTGAGCCGAGATCGTGCCACTGCACTCCAGCCTGGGACACAGAGGGAGACTCCATCTCAAAAAACAAACAAAACAAAAACCCTTACCTGCAAGCCATTGGGGAGGTGAGGACTTAAGCATGAGCTACCTGATTTCCTTGCTTGTTGCCTGCAAATAAACGCCTTCCTTTCTCTCACTGCAAACCTCGGTGTGACTATTTGGTCTTACTGTGCCAGGAGATTGGACCCCAGTTAGGTTTGATAACACTGTCTTGAGGTAGGTAGGGTCAGAATTGACTTGAATTAGAGGACAGCCAGCTGGTGTTCACTGCAGAATGCATGGCTGGTGAAATCCCCACACATCTGGTCACAGAAATCTTTTGTGATTGTTAAGCAAGAGGATATAAAAAACACTTTTTTTCCCCTGCATTCTCAGAGCTTCTGTATCAGTTGAAGTTTTTGCAACAAGCACATACCATTTAGGAAATTAAGAAAAACAACAAAAATTTTGCTCTATAGAGAAAAACCAGAAGAATATTCTTCAAGCTATTAACAGTTGTCATTTCTGCAGATCTAGGGAGTGGGTGGAATAGAGGAATGTATGAATTTTATAAGGAGACAGCCACAATAAATATACGTTGTACAAAAGTTATTCTGCCTTGGTAAGGAGAGTTGATGAGAAATCTATAGAATCTTGTCTTGAGAATCCTATCCTAATTTCATTTTTTCCTGCAACATTAATTCTTATTCCCTGTACACTGTTATTCAAATGAAGGTGATATTTCATTGCCAAAAACCACCCTACAGTGGGGATAAACTGTGTTAGGGATGCAGGGACTGAGCATTTCTTCAACTAGAATCCTTTTGGGGGGCCTGGACTCCAGAGCACAACCAAAACAAAACAGAAATCCCCTAAGGCTGAAGGGAAGCATAGCCCTTGCTGGCTCACATAGTTAGCAGTACCTGAAGAATGCCCAACAAAACCTAGTTATTAATCCTGGTACAAGACAAAATTCCAACAAATTTAGTTATAGATTTAATTGGCTTTTATTTGTCATTCATGAGTCAGGGCAGCCTCCATTCTACAAAATAAAATCAAAGCTCTCACTTGGGCAGTAGCAGAACAGTGGGTTTTGTAAGGTGGGAACATGGAAACAGAACAATAGAAAAAATAAATTGATGCAGTGGGGACTTCTTCATTATGTTGACTAAGGCAGACCGGGATCTCTTGTTTCCAGAAAAACTGGTCTGTATCGGGATCTATCTGCTACCTTAAAGTTTCAGTTTGATTATGTGGCATTTAGCATGAGTGACTCCATTTTGGTTTGATCTGGTCTGCTTGGGACTAGTGCTCAGTACAATATAATGACTTCTCATAATTTTTGTTTAACAATCCCAAAGACTTCTGTGATTTACTTTTTTTTTTTTAAGAGATAGGGTCTCACTATGTTGCCCAGGCTGGAGTGCAATGGCTATTCGCAGGCGCAGTCATAGCTCACTGCAGCCTTGAACTCCTGGGCTTAAGCAATCCTCTTGCCTCATCCTCCCAAGTAGCAGGGACTACATATGCACCACCATGCCCAGCTGTTAGTCATTTTTAAAAGAGATGATGGAAATATTAAAAAATGAATAGAGGTGATTTACATGTGGGAAATGGGACTGAAGATATGCTTATGTATCAATTGAAGTTTTTTTTTTGTTTGTTTTTGTTTTTGTTTTTGTTTGTTTTTTTAGAGGGAGTCTTGCTCTGTTGCCCAGGCTGGAGTGCAGTGGCACGATCTCGGCTCACGGCAACCTCCGCCTCCAAGGTTCAAGCAATTCTCCTGTTTCAGCCTCCCAAGTAGCTGGGATTACAGGCACCCACCACCACGCCCGGCTAATTTTTGTATTTTTAGTAGAGACAGGGTTTCACCATGTTGGCCAGGCTGGTCTCGAACTCCTGACCTTAGGTGATCTGCCCTCCTGGGCTTCTCAAAGTGCTGGGATTACAGGCATGAGCCACCGAGCCCGGCCTCAGTTGAAGTTTTTACAGCAAGCACATCAAATTAAAGAGAGACTAGAGCAGGGCAGACTTTAAAAAATTTTCTTCTGTTCTGTTTGAATTTTTAAAATCATAGCACATAATACTGTTATAATAATTTGGTTTTATGAAAAATAGATGATATATTGTACACGTGGGTGGTTTTTGAATCCATGGTATTTTGGGGACTTTCTTAGACTATTTCTGAGTTGCCAAAGTGAAAAGTTACATGGAATTTGGCCATTTCTACAATCTTCCACATTTGTCGACAATGATTACATTCTGGAGAAAGGGTGAGGTTTGTCAGTGTCCAAAGAAAGCCAAATGCTAGGAGTAGAGGGTATGGCACAGAAGATCTTCCTCTCTTGGCACCACTATGTTCAGGACATGGAAAATCTAGAATAAAGCCTAGTAAGCATGGCACGCTAGTGAGTACATTCTCCAAATGATACTTTTGGTAGAATGTGCAACAACCTAAAGAAAAGGGGCCGAGCATGTTGGCTTATGCCTGTAATCCCAACACTCTGGGAGGCTTGAGCCTAGGAGTTCTAGACCAGCCTCGGTAACACAGAGAGACCCCAACTCTCCAAAAAATTTAAAAATCAGCCGAGCATGGTGGTGCATGCCTGTAGTCCCAGCTTCTTGAGAGGCTGAAGTGGGAGGATTGCTTAGTCCAGGAGGTCGAGGTTGCAGTGAGCTGTGATCACATCACTGTGTTCCAGCATGGGCAGCACAGCAACACTGTATCTCAAAAAAAAAAAAGAAAAAAAAAAGTGCCCATTAGCAATTTCACACCTCGAGAAGCTGTGAAAGAGGCTCACAGGCCAGGCTGTCGTCCTATTTCCCTCATTAATTAGTTGCTGGGCCTTGGGACAGCCCATAAAATCCACTTTAACTCATACCCTAGTTGAACCATTGAAGGATTAAAAATCCTCCTAGAGACTCTAAGGAGAAACCAGTTGTTGTTAAATTGTATTTGGTAAAAATGAAAAATGTGGCACTATTAAGTAATGTAGGCAGGAAGAAAAACTTTTTTTTTTTTTTTTTTTTTTTTTTTTTTTTTTGTAAAGGACATATCATATTTATTCATACACATGCTGGAATTATTGGTGCAGACATTTAAATACATTTTCTTTGAGAAAGTCCTTTTTTTTTTTTTTTTTTTTTGATGGAGTTTCCCTCTTGTTGCCCAGGCTGGAGTGCAATGGTGCAATCTCAGCTCACAACAACCTCTGCCTCCTGGGTTCAAGCAATTCTCCTGCCTCAGCCTCCCAAGTAGCTGGGATTACAGGCATGCACCACCACGCCCAGCTAATTTTTTTTATTTTTAGTAGAGACGGGGTTTCTCCGTGTTGGTCAGGCTGGTCTTGAACTCCTGATCTCAGGTGATCTGCCCGCCTTGGCCTGCCACAGTGCTGGGATTACAGTCGTGAGCCACCACAGCTGGCCTGGGAAAGTCCATTCTTTTTTTTTTTTTTTTTTTTTTTTTAATTTATTTTTTTATTGATAATTCTTGGGTGTTTCTCACAGAGGGGGATTTGGCAGGGTCATGGGACAATAGTGGAGGGAAGGTCAGCAGATAAACAAGTGAACAAAGGTCTCTGGTTTTCCTAGGCAGAGGACCCTGCGGCCTTCCGCAGTGTTTGTGTCCCTGATTACTTGAGATTAGGGATTGGTGATGACTCTTAACGAGCATGCTGCCTTCAAGCATCTGTTTAACAAAGCACATCTTGCACCGCCCTTAATCCATTTAACCCTGAGTGGACACAGCACATGTTTCAGAGAGCACAGGGTTGGGGGTAAGGTCACAGATCAACAGGATCCCAAGGCAGAGGAATTTTTCTTAGTGCAGAACAAAATGAAAAGTCTCCCATGTCTACTTCTTTCTACACAGACACGGCAACCATCCGATTTCTCAATCTTTTCCCCACCTTTCCCGCCTTTCTATTCCACAAAGCCGCCATTGTCATCCTGGCCCGTTCTCAATGAGCTGTTGGGCACACCTCCCAGACGGGGTGGTGGCCGGGCAGAGGGGCTCCTCACTTCCCAGTAGGGGCGGCCGGGCAGAGGCGCCCCTCACCTCCCGGACGGGGCGGCTGGCCGGGCAGGGGGGCTGACCCCCCCCACCTCCCTCCCGGACGGGGCGGCTGGCCGGGCGGGGGGCTGACCCCCCAACCTCCCTCCCGGACGGGGCGGCTGACCCCCCCACCTCCCTCCCGGACGGGGCGGCTGGCCGGGCAGAGGGGCTCCTCACTTCCCAGTAGGGGCGGCCGGGCAGAGGCGCCCCTCACCTCCCGGACGGGGCGGCTGGCCGGGCAGGGGCCGACCCCCCCACCTCCCTCCCGGACGGGGCGGCTGGCCGGGCGGGGGGCCGACCCCCCCACCTCCCTCCCGGACGGGGCGGCTGGCCGGGCGGGGGGCCGACCCCCCCACCTCCCTCCGGGACGGGGCGGCTGGCCGGGCAGAGGGGCTCCTCACTTCCCAGTAGGGGCGGCCGGGCAGAGGCGCCCCTCACCTCCCGGACAGGGCGGCTGGCTGGGCGGGGGGGCTGACCCCCCCCCAACCTCCCTCCCGGACGGGGCGGCTGGCCGGGCGGGGGGCTGACCCCCCCACCTCCCTCCCGGACGGGGCGGCTGGCCGGGCAGAGGGGCTCCTCACTTCCCAGTAGGGGCGGCCGGGCAGAGGCGCTCCTCACCTCCCGGACGGGGCGGCTGGCCGGGCAGGGGGGCCGACCCCCCCCCACCTCCCTCCCGGACGGGGCGGCTGGCCGGGCGGGGGGCCGACCCCCCCACCTCCCTCCCGGACGGGGCGGCTGGCCGGGCAGAGGTGCTCCTCACTTCCCAGTAGGGGCGGCCGGGCAGAGGCGCCCCTCACCTCCCGGACAGGGCGGCTGGCTGGGCGGGGGGGCTGACCCCCCCCTCAACCTCCCTCCCGGACGGGGCGGCTGGCCGGGCGGGGGGCTGACCCCCCCACCTCCCTCCCGGACGGGGCGGCTGGCCGGGCAGAGGGGCTCCTCACTTCCCAGTAGGGGCGGCCGGGCAGAGGCGCCCCTCACCTCCCGGACGGGGCGGCTGGCCGGGCAGGGGGGCCGACCCCCCCCCACCTCCCTCCCGGACGGGGCGGCTGGCCGGGCGGGGGGCCGACCCCCCCACCTCCCTCCCGGACGGGGCGGCTGGCCGGGCGGGGGGCCGACCCCCCCACCTCCCTCCCGGACGGGGCGGCTGGCCGGGCGGGGGGCCGACCCCCCCACCTCCCTCCCGGACGGGGCGGCTGGCCGGGCAGAGGGGCTCCTCACTTCCCAGTAGGGGCGGCCGGGCAGAGGCGCCCCTCACCTCCCAGACGGGGCGGCTGGCCGGGCGGAGGGCTGACCCCTCCACCTCCCTCCCGGACAGGGCGGCTGGCCGGGCGGGGGGCTGACCCCCCCACCTCCCTCCCGGACGGGGCGGCTGGCCGGGCAGAGGGGCTCCTCACTTCCCAGTAGGGGCGGCTGGGCAGAGGCGCCCCTCACCTCCCAGACGGGGCGGCTGGCCGGGCGGAGGGCTGACCCCCCCACCTCCCTCCCGGACGGGGCGGCTGGCCGGGCTGAGGGGCTCCTCACTTCCCAGTAGGGGCGGCCGGGCAGAGGCGCCCCTCACCTCCCGGACGGGGCGGCTGGCCGGGCGGGGGGCTGACCCCCCCACCTCCCTCCCGGATGGCACGGCTGGCCAGGCGGGGGGCTGACCCCCCCACCTCCCTCCCGGATGGCACGGCTGGCCGGGCGGGGGGGCTGACCCCCCCACCTCCCTCCCGGATGGGGCGGCTGGCCGGGCGGGGGGCTGACCCCCCCCCACCTCCCTCCCGGACGGGGTGGCTGCCGGGCGGAGACGCTCCTCACTTCCCAGATAGGGTGGCTGCCGGGCGGAGAGGCTCCTCACTTCTCAGACGGGGCAGCTGCCGGGCGGAGGGGCTCCTCACTTCTCAGACGGGGTGGTTGCCAGGCAGAGGGTCTCCTCACTTCTCAGACGGGGCGGCCAGGCAGAGACGCTCCTCACCTCCCAGACGGGGTCTCGGCCGGGCAGAGGCGCTCCTCACATCCCAGATGGGGTTAGGTGGGCTCAGTATATAATCCCAGCACTTTGGGAGGCTGAGGCAGGTGGATCACAAGTTCGGGAGTTCAAGACCAGTCAGGCCAAGATGGTGAAACCCCATCTCTACTAAAAATACACAGACGGGCGTGGTGGTACATGCCTGTAATCCCAGCTACTCAGGAGGCTGAGGCAGAGAATTGCTTGAACCTGGGAGGTGGTGGTTGCTGTGAGCCGAGATCATGCCACTGTACTCCAGCCTGGGCAACAGAGGGAGACTCCATCTAAAAAAAAAAAGTCTTTTTAGGACATTAAGAACCCATGTTGGGTGGATACACATGGACATAAAGATAGGAACAATAGACATTGGGGACTCCAAAAGGAGGGAGGGGAGGGTGGGAAAGGGTCAAAAAACTATGTATTGGGTACTAAGTTCAGTATTTGGGTGATGGGTTCTATTGAAGCCCAAACCCCAGCATCATGCAATATATCCATGTAACAAACCTGCACATGCATACCCTGAATTTAAAATTAAAAAAATTAAAAAGACATGGTGGATGTCTGGGTGCAGTGGCTCACGTCTGTAATCCCAGCACTTTGGGAGGCCAAGGCAGGCTGATCATTTTGAGGCCAGGAGTTCAAGACCAGCCTGGCCAATATGGTGAAACCCCATCTCTACTAAAAATACAAAAATTAGCCGGGCATGATGGTGTGTTCCTGTAGTTCTAGCTACTTGGGAGGCTGAGGCAGGAGAATCGCTTGAACTCAGGATTAGGAGGTTGCAGTGAGCTGAGTTCGCACCACTGCACTCCAGCCTGGGTGACAGAATGAGACCCTGTCTTGGGAAAAAAAAAAAAAAAAGAGAGAGAGAGAATGGGAAGAGAGAAAGTGGAGAAATATACTTTTCTGGGGAGCTTTGCAGAAAGAAGAGCAGAGAAATAAGACTATCTGGAGGGGGAGGTGGGTTAAATTTTAAAGATGGAAAGTGTGTGTGTGTGTGTGTGTGTGTGTGTGTGTGTGTGTGTGTGTGTGTGTTATTAGAAAGCAAAAAAATGTCTGATGCAGGAGAAAAGGGAGAATCTTTGGAGCAGATGGCTTTGGATAGGAACACCAACAATTTGGGTAATATAAGAGGAGTAAAGTCATGTTATATATGGATATAGATGTAGGTAGTTTTGAGGGACTGGGGGAGTTTATGGGTTTTCTGCTTTTAACTTCTCAGTGAAGTAGGAGATAAGAGGCAACGTCATTAGTTGAGAGTGAAGACCAGCAAGAAGTTGTGGAGATTTGAGGACGGAGGAGAAAGTGTGAAGAAGTCATCTACAAGATGTGAGATGCTGAATAGACAGGCAGTATAGGAGAGTCCCTGTTTCCTTACATCCTAACCCACTCAGTTGGCTATCAAACTTTGTGAAATGACTCATGTTGTGAATTTAGAAGGTGTATTAGTCAGGGTTCTCTAGAGGAGCAGAACTAATAGGATATATATATACATAGAGAGAGAGAGAGAGAGGAGTTTTGTTGTTGTTGTTGTTTTTGTTTGTTTGTTTTGCTTGCTCTGTCACCCAGGCTGGAGTGCAGTGGTGCGATCTCGGCTCAGTGCAACCTGCAACCTCTGCCTCCCGGGTTCAAGCAATTCTCCTGCCTCAGCCTCCCGAGTACCTGGGATTACAGGTACCTGCCACCGCGCCTGGCTATTTTTTGTATTTTTAGTAGAGATGGGGTTTCACCTTCTTGGCCAGGCTAGTCTCGAACTCCTGACCTCGTGATCCACCTGCCTCGGCCTCCCAAAGGGGAATTTATTAAGTATTAACTCACACAATCACAAGGCCCCACAATAGGCTGTCTGCAAGCTGAGGAGCAAGTAGAGCCAGTCCGAGTCTCAAACTGAAGAACTTGGAGTCCGATGTTCAAGGGCAGGAAGCGTCCAGCACCAGAGAAAGATGTAGGCCGGGAGGCTAAGGCAGTCTCTCCTTTTCACGTTTTTCTGTCTGCTTTATATTTGCTGGAAGCTGATTAGATGGTGCCCACCAGATGAAGGGTGGATCTGCCTTCCCCAGCCCACTGACTCAAATGGTAATCTCCTTTGGCAACACGCTCATAGACACACCCAGGATTAGTACTTTGTATCCTTCAATCCAATCAAGTTGACACTCAGTATTAACTATCACAGAAGGGTTAATACACAGAAACAATTTTGAACACCATTTGGCATAGAGGAAGTCTCACTGTGTTGCCTAGGCTGGTTTCAAACTCAGGGGCTTAACGATCCTCCTGCCTCAACCTCTTGAGTAGCTGGGATCACAGGCGTGTGCCATAGGGTAGGTGCTTTAATATTTCTTACTATATGCTAATATGATAGGTGAAAATAGTCTTTCATTGTAGTTTTAATTGGATATTTTGTCTGGGCACTGTGGCTCACGCCTGTAATCCCAGCATTTTGGGAGGCTGAGGCAGGCAAATCATGAGGTCAGGAGTTCGAGACCAGCCTGGCCAACATGGTGAAACCCCATCTCTACTAAAAATACAAAAAATTAGCTGTATGTGGTGGTGGGCGCCTGTAATCCCAGCTACTTGGGAGGCTGAGGCAGGAAAATCACTTGAACCTGGGAGGCGGAGGTTGCAATGAGCCGAGATTGCACCACTGCACTCCAACCCGGGAGATAGTGCAAGACTCTGTCTCAAAAAAAAAAAAAAAGGATATTTCTTATTATTAATAAGGTTAAATATATTTTTGTATGATTCAGTGCTGGTTTTTTGTTTGTTTGTTTGTTTTTTTGCAAACATCATATTCTTTGAGTATTTAAAATGTTGTTTTTTGGTCTTTTATTCATTTAAAGAGATTTTTATATATAAAGGAAATTATCTGTGCATGAGTTGTGACTTTTTCCATTTTGCTGTTATTTTAACTTATGTCATTTTATGCTGTTTTTTTTTTTTTTTTTTTTTTTTTCTAGAAACAGGGTCTTGCTATGTTGCTAAGACTGGTCTCAAACTCTTGGGCCCAAGCAATTCTCTTGTCTCTTGTCTCAGCCTCTGAAGTAGTTGGGACCCCAGGCATGTGCCACCATGCTTAGCTTAGCTCTGTCACCCAGGCTGGGGTGCAGTGGTGCGATCTCGGTTCAGTGTAACCTTTTGCCTCTGGGGTTCAAGCGATTCTCCTGCCTCAGCCTCCCAGGTAGCTGGGATTACAGGCATGTGCCACCACACCTGGCTAATTTTGTATTTTTAGCAGAGATGGGGTTTCATCATGTTGGCCAGGCTGGTCTTGAACTCCTAGCCTCAAGTGATCCACCTACCTCAGCCTCCCAAAGTGCTGGGATTACAGGCATGAGCCACTGTGCCCGGCCTTTTATCAGTTTTTAATGTAAAAATGGCAAACTCTTCCATATTTTCTGTAGTATTTAATTTTTTTTTTTTTGAGACAGAGTTTCGCCCTTTTGCCTAGGCTGGAGTGCGGTGGTGCAATCTCGGCTCACTGCAACCTCTGCCTTCCAGTTTCAAGCAATTCTCTTGCCTCAGCCTCCCGAGTAGCTGGGATTCAGGCATGTGCCACCATGCCCGACTAATTTTGTGTTTTTAGTAGAGACAGGGTTTCACCTTGTTAGTCAGGTTGATCTCAAACTCCCGACCTTACAGGCATGAGCCACTGCGCCTGGCGAGATCCTTTTATTGTCTGCATAGTTTTGTCTTTTCCAGAATGTTATATAGTTGGAATCATACAGCCTTTTCAGACTTGCTTTTTTTACTTGGCAATGTGTATTTAGGGTTTTTCCATCTCTTTCTATGGGCCAATAATTCTTTTTTTTTTTTAAATATTCTTTACATTTATTTATTTATTTAGAGATAGAGTCTCGCTTTGTTGCCAGGCTGGTGTGCACTGGCATGATCTTGGCTCACTGCAACCTCCACCTCCAGGGTTCAACAATTCTCCTGGGTAAGCCTCCCTGAGTAGCTGGGACTACGGGCATGTGCCACCATGCCCTGCTAAGTTTCGTATTTTTAGTAGAGACAGGGTTTTGCCATGTTGGCCAGGCTGGTCTCGATCTCCTCGCCTCAGGTGATCTGCTTGCCTTGGCCTTCCAAAGTGCTGGGATTACAGGGATGAGCCACCGCGCCCGGCCTCATTTCTTTTTTTTTTTTTTCCTAAATAATAATCCATTATATAGATGTATTCACCTTGACTGCTTCTAGTTTTTGGCAATTATAAATAAAGCTTCTATAAACACTCAAACTCCTGGGCTCAGGTGAACCTTTCACATCAGCTTCCTAAGTAGCTGGGATTACAGGTGTGTGCCGCTGAGACTGGCTCATCACTGTTGTTTATTCTCTAATGATATATGATGTTGAACATCTTTTCATATGGTTACTTGCCATTGTATAACTTCTTTGGTGAGGTTTCTGTTCAGATCTTTGGCCCATTTTTCTGGTGGGCGCAGTGGCTCACACCTACAATCCCAGCATTTTGGAAGCCTGAGGTGGGTGGATCACCAGAAGTCAAGAGTTCAAGACCAGCCTGACCAACATGGTGAAACTCTGTCTCTGCTACAAGAAATACAAAATTAGCTCAGTGTGGTGGCACATGCCTGTAATCCCAGTTACTTGGGAGGCTGAGGCAGGAGGATCATTTGAACCCGGGAGGTGGAGGTTGCAGTGAGCTGAGATGATGCCATTGCTTTCCAGCCTGGGCAACGGGAGCAAAACCCCATCTCAAAAAAAAAGAAAAACCTTTTGCCCACTTTTTTTTTTTTTTTGAGATGGGAGTCTCGCACTGTCACCTAGGCTGGAGTGCAATGGCAGGATATTGGCTCACTGCAACCTCCACCTCCCAGGTTCAAGTGATTTTCCTGCCTCAGCCTCCCGAGTAGTTGGGATAACAGGTGCCTACCACCACGATGGGCTAATTTTCTGTATTTTTAGTAGAGACGGGGTTTCACTATGTTGGCCAGGCTGTTCTTGAACCCCTGACCTTGTGATCCACCTGCCTTGGCCTCCCAAAGTGTTGGGATTACAGGCGTGAGCCACCTCGTCCAGCCTTGCCCACTTTTTAATTGGGTTCTTTTCTTTTTCTTTCTTTCTTTTTTTTTTTTTGAGATGGAGTCTCGCTCTGTCACCTAGGCTGGAATGCAGTGGCATGATCTTGGCTCACTGTAACCTCCACCTCCCAGGTTCAAGTGATTCTCCTGCCTCAGTTTCCCAAGTAGCTGGGATTGCAGGTGGGTGCCACCATGCTTGGCTAATTTTTGTATTTTTAGTAGAGATGGGGTTTCACCATGTTGGCCAGGCTGGTCTCGAACTCCTGACCTCGTGATCTGCCTGCCTCAGCCTCACAAAGTGCCGGGATTACAGGTGTGAGCCACCGTGTCTGGCCCCCCTTTTTTCTTTTCTTTTCTTTTTAACTATTTAAAAATTTTTACAAGGGGTCTTGCTCTGTTGCACAGGCTTGACCTCCTAGGCTCAAGCAATCCTCCCAACTCAGTTTCCTGAACAGCTGGGACTACAGACATGCACCACCACACCTGGCTAATTTTTTTGATTTTTTTTGTAGAGATGAGGTCTCATTATGTTTCCCAGGCTGGTCTCAAACTCCTGCGCTCAAGTGATCCTCCTGCCTTGATCTCCCAAAATGCTGGGTTTATAGGCATGAGCCACTGTGCCCAGCCCAGCGAGGTCAAGGTTGTAGTGAGCTGTGATGTTGCCACTGTACTCCAGCCTGGGTGACAGAGCAAGACTCTGTCTCAAAAAAAAAAAAAAAAAGAAAAAAAAAAGATATATATATATTTCATTTCTTACAGCTGCATAGTATTTCATTATGGATGTACCATAATTTATTTAACCAATTCCCCACTGATATTTAGTTGGATTCCAATCTCTTGTTATTATATATACTGCAGCAACAAATAACCTTATCGATGTATTGCTCTGCTCATTGTAAGATAGACTCCTAGAACTGGAACTGTTGAGACAAAGTTACATTTGTAATTTTGACAAATACTGTAAAGTTGCTCTCCATACCGATTTACACATCAGCCATAAACGGATAAGAATGCCAGCTTCTTGGCCAGGCTCAGTGGCTCACGCCTGTAATCCCGATGCCTTGAGATCAGAGGTGGGAGGATCCTTGAGTCCGAGACTCGCCTGGGTAACATAGCAAGATTATGTCTCTACAAAAAATTAAGAAATAAAATAGGCCCGGCGCGGTGGCTCACGCCTGTAATCCCAGCACTTTGGGCGGCCGAGGCGGGTGGATCACGAGGTCAGGAGATCGGGAACATCCTGGCTAACACGGTGAAACTCCGTCTCTATTAAAAATACAAAAAAAAAGAAAAAAATTAGCCGGGGCGTGGTGGTGGGTGCCTGTAGTGCCAGCTACTCGGGAGGCTGAGGCAGGAGAATGGCGTGAACCCGGGAGGTGGAGCTTGCAGTGAGCCGAGATCGTGCCACTGCACTCCAGCCTGTGTGACAGAGCAAGACTCCGTCTCAAAAAAAAAAAAAAAAAAAAAAGTAAATAAATACATAAAATTTAAAAAATAATTAAAAAGCCTGTTTCTAAACACCCATGTCAACCCAGTGGGTTTAATAAACCAGTTGCTGAACTTTAGCTCAGCAGGGGAGAAGGACTCTCCTAGTTCTTAGTTCTTTTATTTACTACTCTCCCTCAGCCTAGAGGTAGTACCGATTATTTGACTCCCTGCTACTTTCCTTTAGAGTCCTCTTCTACTCCTGTTAGCAGTTAACTACTTCCTATCAGTTAATAATTTGTTACACTATATTTTTTGTGTTCAAATAATTGGTGTGATTTCTATCTCCTGACTGAAGCCCGTGATCATTTTGTAAAAATTCGCTATGATTTATACTTAAAAGTTGTGCACGGCCGGGCACGGTGGTTCATGCCTGTCATTCCAGCACTCTGGGAGGCCAAGGCCGACGGATCACCTGAGGTCAGGAGTTCGAGACCAGCCTGACCAACATGGTGAAAGCCTGTGTCTACTAAAAATACAAAAATTAGCCAAGCGTGGTGACTAACGCCTGTAATCCCAACTACTTGGGAGGCTGAGGCAGGAGAATTGCTTGAACCCGGGAGGCGGAGGTTGTAGTGAGCTGAGATCGTGCCATTGCACTCCAGCCTGGGCGATAGAGTGAGACTCCGTCTCAAAAAAAAAAAAAAAAAAAAAAAAAAAAAAGTTGTGCATTTTGGGCCAGGCGTGGTGGCTCACGTCTGTAATCCCAGCACTTTGGGAGGCCGAGGCAGGTGGATCACCTGAGGTCAGGAGTTTGAGACCAACCTGGCAAACATGGCAAAACCTCATCTCTACTAAAAATACAAAAATTAGCCAGACATGATGGTGGATACCTGTAATCCCAGCTACTTGGGAGGCTGAGGCAGGAGAATTACTTGAACCCAGGAGGCGGAGGTTGCAGTGAGCTGAGATCATGCCACTGCACTCCAGCCTGGGCAACAGAGCGAGACTCCATCTCAAAAAAAAAAAAAAAAAAAAAAAAAAAGTTGTTCACTTTAGGGTGTTTTATTTTTGGTGTACAATTTATTTTGATAATTGTCAATACAATACAATGATAAAAATGATAAATATGTATTATTAAAAGATCTTGAACATGTTACTTCTCAGTTCCTGTACAGGTTGTATCTTGCAAATTTTAAGGTAGAGACACATTGATTTAAGCAGGGCACCCATGTTCAATGTATATCACAATGGCCCATGAATGCTGTTAAGTTGCATAAGTCTATTAAAAATCAACACTCAGTAATATTTTAGGAATTAGAAAATATCTTTTAGTATATGTTTCAAGTGCTGTAGTATGGTATACATAGTTGGCATTTTTTGGAATGCCTGTCCTAACTCAGAGGCTCTCTATAGAAGAATGAGTTCTGCTATTTAGCTTCTGTCTATACCAAGGGATTCCTCTTAAAAACAAAACAAAACAGCTTTATGACTGTCAAGTCCTAGGGCCTTAAGAAAACAGGCAGTGGCCAGGTAGTGATTACAGTGGGCCTTGGGCGAGACTCAGTGCTGTGCTAGCTTCAGGTCTGATCCAGTGCAGTCACAGTGGTAGTGGCTACAAGGGTTCTTATGCCGTTCCATCCCCAGCCCCAGGTGTCTCTGCACACACAGAGAAAGACTCCATTTGTTTTGGAGAAAGTAAGGAAAGATAACAAGAGTCTCTGGTAATCTGGATAATTCTTCCGGATCTCATGAAGATCCCCAAGTCTTGCAGATTCGTAGAGTCTGAAAGAACCACAGCATTACTGGGCTTGGGGTGCCATCTAATGCAGACATGGCTTAGATCACAACACTGAAATCCTTTTGAATACCTGAAAAGCTTTCCCAAGAAGGATGGATACAATCTAGTCCAGACTGCAAAGACTACAATAAATACCTAACTCTTCAATGCCTAGGCACCAACGAACATCAAAAGACCACCCAGGAAAATATGACCTCACCAAATGAACAAAATAAGGCACTAGAGACCAATCCTGGAGAAATAGAGATATGTGACTTTTCAGACACAGGAGTCAAAATAGTTATTTTGAGGAATCCCAGAGAAATTCAAGATAACACAGAGAAGGAATTCAGTATTCACTGGATACATTCAACATAGAGATTGAAATACTTAAAAAGAATTAAGGAGAAATTCTACAGTTGAAAAACGCATTTGACACACTGAAGAAGGCATCAGAATCCTTTAGTAGCAGAATTATCAAGCAGAATAAAAAGTTAATGAGCTTGAAGGCAGGCTATTTGAAAATACAGAGTCAGAGGAGATGAAAAAAGAATAAAGAAGAATGGACAGAGTGCGGTGGCTCACGCCTGTAATCCCAGCACTTTGGGAGGCCAAGGCAGGTGGATCATCTGAAGTCAGGAGTTTGAGACCAGCCTGGGCACATGGTGAAACCCCATCTCTACTAAAACTACAAAATTAGCTGGGCGTAGTGGCACATGCCTGTAACCCCAGCTACTTGGGGGGCTGAGGCAGGAGAATCGTTTGAACCCAGGAGGCAGAGGTGGCAGTCAGCCGAGATCGCACCACTGGACTCCAGCCTGGATGACAAGAGCGAAACTCCATCTCAAAAAAAAAAGAATAATAATGAAGCCTATCTACAAAATCTAATAGCCTCAAAAGGGCAAATCTTTTTTTTTTCTTTTTTTTTTTGAGACAAAGTCTTTCTCTTGTCCCCAAGGCTAGAGTACAATGGCATGACCTCGGCTCACTGCAACCTCTGTCTCCTGGGTTCAAGCGATTCTCCTGCCTCAGCCTCCCGAGTAGCTGGGATTACAGGAGCCTGCCACCACGCCTAGCTAATTTTTGTATTTTTAGTAGAGACGGGGTTTCACCATGTTGGTCAGGCTGGTCTCAAACTCCTGACCTCAGGTGATCCACCCGCCTCGGCCTCCCAAAGTGCTGGGATTACAGGAGTGAGTCACGGTGCCCGGCCTCAAAAGGGCAAATCTAAGAGTTATTAGCCTTAAAAAGGAGGTAGAGAAAAAGATAGGAGTAGAAAGCTTATTCAAAGGAATAACAGAGAACGTCCCAAACCTTGAGAAAGGTATCAATATCCAAGTACAAGAAGGTTATAGAACACCAAGCAGATTTAACCCAAAGAAGACTACCTCAAGGCATTTAATAATCAAACTCCCAAAGGTCAAGGATAAAGAAAGGACCCTAAAAGCAGCAAGAGAAAAGAAACAAAACACACAATGGAGCTCCAATACGTCTGGCAGCAGACTTTTCAGTGGAAACCTTACAAATCAGGAGATAGTGGCTGAAGAAAAAAACCTTTTATCCTAGAATAGTATATCCGGTGAAAATATCCTTCAAACATGAAGGAGAAATATGGATTTTCCGAGACAAACAAAAGCTGAGGGATTTAATTAACACCAGACCTGTCCTGTGAAAAATGCTAAAGGGAGTCCTTCAATCAGAAAGAGCAACAGGAGTGAAACTCCATCTCAGAAAAAAAAAAAAAAAAAGAAAGAAAGAAAGAATAAGGTAGACCCACCAGGCATGGTGGCTCACTCCTGTAATCCCAGCACTTTGGGAGGCCAAGGTGGATGGATCACGAGGTCAGGAGTTCGAGACCAGCCTGGCCAATATGGTGAAACCCCATCTCTACTAAAAATACAAAAATGATCTGGGAGTGGTGGCACACGCCTGTAGTCCCAGCTCCTTGGGAGGCTGAGGCAGAAGAATCCCTTGAACCCAGGAGGCAGAGGCTGCAGTGAGCCAAGATCACACCACTGCACTCCAAGCATGGCGACAGAGTGAGATTCCATCTCAAAAAAAAAAGAAAGAGGTAGACCCCAATATAATAATAGCTAGAGACTTCAATACCCCACTTTCAGCATTGGATAGATCTTCCAGACAAAAAATGAAGAAATAGAAGACTGAATCTGCACTGTAGATCAAATGGACCTAATAGATATCTGCAGAACATTTTCATCCAGCAGCTGAATACACATTCTATCCCTCAGCACATGGATTATTCTCAAGGACAGACCGTATTTTATATCACAAACAGGTTTCTTTTTTTTTTTTTTTGAGACAGTCTTGCTCTGGCGCCCGGGGTGGAGTACAGTGGCACAATCTTGGCTCACTGCAATCTCTGCCTCCTGAGCTCAAGTGATTCTCTCATCTCAGCCTCCTGAGTAGTTGGACCTACAGGCATGTGCCACCACACCTGGCTAATATTTGTATTTTTTTTTGTAGAGATGGGGTTTTGCGAGGTTGCCCAGGCTGGTCTCAGAACTCCTGGCCTCAAGCAATCTGCCTGCCCCGGCCTCCCAAAGTGTGGAGATTACAGGTGTGAGCCACTGCACCCGGCCCTTTAGGTTCAGGGATACACGTGCAGGCTTGTTATATAAGTAAATTTTGTGTTGTGGGCATTTGGTTTACAGATTTTGTCCCCCAGGCAAAATACCGGGTACTATGGTACCCAATAAGTAGTTTTTGATCCTCACACTCCTCTCACCCTCCACCTTCAGGTAGGCCCCAGTGCTGTTGTTCCCTTCTTTGTGTCCATATGTATTCAGTGTTTCGCTCCCACTTATAAGTGAAAATTCAGTTTTCTATTCCTATGTTAGTTTGCTTAGGATAATATACTCCAGCTCCATCCATGGTGCTGCAAAGAACATGATCTCATTCGCTTTTCAAGGCTGCATAGTATTCCATTGTGTATATGTACTGTATTTTTAAAAATTCAGTCTACAGTTGATGGGTATTTAGGTTGATTCCATGTCTTTGCTGTTGTGAACAGTGTGGCAATGAACATATGTGTGTGTGTGTGTGTGTGTGTGTGCCCTTATGGTAGAACGATTCATATTCCTTTGCATATATACCCAGTAATGGGATCGCTGGGTAGAATGGCAATTCCATTTTAAGTTGTCTGAGAAATTACCAAACTGCTTTCCACAATGGCTGAACTAATTTCCATTCCCACCAGCAATGTATAAGTGTTCCCTTTTCTCTACCACCTTGCCAGCATCTTTTATTTTTTGACTTTTTAACAATGGCCAGTCTGACTGGTATGAAAGGATTTCTTATTGTGGTTTTGATTTGCATTTCTCTAATGATTAGTGATGTTGTGCATTTTTCCATATGCTTGTTGGCCATGCATATGTCTTCTTTTGAAAATTGTCTGTTTGCATCTTTTGCCCACTTTTTTTTTTTTTTTTGAGACAGGATCTCGCTGTCTCCCAGGCTGCAGTGCAGTGGCACGATCTCAGCTCACCACAACCTCAGCCTCCTGAGCTCAAGTGATCCTCCCACCTCAGCCTCCTGAGTAGCTGGGACTACAGGTGTGTGCCACCATGTCCAGCTAATTTTTTTTGGCATTTTTTGTATAGATGGGGTTTCACCATGTTGCCCAAATTTTTTGCCCACTTTTTAATGGAGTTGTTTGGTTTTTGTTTGTAAATTTGTTTAAGTTCCTTATAGATTCTGAATATTAGACCTTTGCTGGATGCACAGTTTGCAAACATTTTCTCCCATTCTGTAGGTTTGTCTGACAAAATACATCTTAAAGCATTAAAAAAAGTTGAAATAGTATCAGTCATCTCCCCTGACCACAATGGGATAAAATTAAAAATCAACAACAAGAAGAACTTTGGAAACTATACAAACATATGGAAATTAAACAATATGCTCCTGAATAACCAGTGGGTCAGTGAAGAAATTATGAAGAAAATTGAAAAATTTCTTGAAACAAATGGAAATATGACATACTAAAACCTATGGGATACAGTGAAAGCAATACTAAGAGGGAAGTTTATAGCTATAAGTGCCTATATCAAAAAATTTTTTTAAAGGGCCAGGTGCAGTGGCTCACGCCTGTAATCCCAGCACTTTGGGAGGCTGAGGTGGGTGGATCATGAGGTCAGGAGTTCGAGACCAGCCTGGCTAACATGGTGAAACCCTGTCTCTACTAAAAATACAAAAATTAGCCAAGGACGGTGGCACGCACCTGTAATCCTAGCTACTCAGGAGGCTGAGGCAGGAGAATTGCTTGAACCCATGAGGCAGAGGTTGCTGTGAACCGAGATCGTGCTGCTGCACCCCAGCCTAGGTGACAGAGCAAGACTGTCTCAAAAAAAAAAAAAAAAAAAAAAGCCCGGATGCAGTGGCTCATGACTATAATCTCAGCACTTTGGGAGGCTGAGGCAGGTGGATCACTTGAGCTCAGGAGTTTGAAGCCAGCCTGGGCAACATGGTGAAGCCCATTCTCTACAAAAAATAGGACAGGCGTGGTGGCTCATGCCTGTAATCCCAGCACTTTGGGAGGCCAAGGCAGGCAGATCACCTGAGATCAGGAGGTGGAGACCAGCCTAGCCAACATGGTGAAACCCTGTCTTTACCAAAAAATACAAAAGTTAGCCAGGCATGGTGGTACACGTCTGTAATCCCAGCTACTTGGGAGGCTGAGGCAGGATAATCACTTGAACCTGGAAGCTGGAGGTTGCAGTGAGCTGAGATCACGCCACTGCCTTCCAGCCTGGGCGACAGAGCAAGACTCTGTCTCAAAAGAACACCAAAAAACAAAAAAGATACAAAAGTTAGTTGGGTGTGGTGGTACAAGACTGTAGTCCCAGCTACTTGGAAGTCTACTTGGGAGGACTGATTGTGTCCAGGAGATCGAGGATGCAGTTAGCCATGTTCATGCCACTGCACTCCATCCTGGGCAACAAAGTGAGACCTCGTCTCAAAAATAAAAACAAAACAAAACAAAACAAAAACTTCAAATAAATGACCTAATGATGCATGTTAAAGGACTGGAAAAGCGAGAGCAAACCAAACACAAAGTTAGAAGGCAAGAAATAAAGATCAAAGCAGTGATAAATGAAATTGAAGAAAACAGTACAAAATATCAACAAAACAAAAAGTTGGCTTTTTGAAAGGAAAAAAAAGGACAAACCTTTTGCCAGACTAACTAGGAAAAAAGAGAGGAGACACAAATAAATAAAACGAGAGATGAAAAAGGAGACATTACAACTGATACTGTAAAAATTCAAAGGATCATTAGTGGCTAGTATGAGCAACTATATGCCAATAAATTGGAAAATCTAGAAGAAATGGATAAATTCCTAGATGCATACAACCTACCAAGATTGAACCATGAAGAAATCCAAAACCTGAATGGACCAATAAGTAACAAGATTGAAGACATAAAAAGACTTCCAGCAAAGAAAAGCCCAGGACCACATGACTTCACTGCTAAATTCTACTAAACATTTAAAGAAGAAATAATACCAATTCTAGTCGAACTATTCTGAAAAACAGAGGAGGAGGGAATACTTATAAACTTATTCTATGAGGCCAGTATTACCCTGATACCAAAACCAGACAAAGACACATCAAAAAAAGAAAACTATAGGCCAATATCACTGATGAATATTGATGCAAAAATCCTCAACAAAATACTAGCAAACTGAATTCAACAACACTTTAAAAAGATCATTCATCATGACCAAGTGGGATTTATCCCAGGGATGCAAGGATGGTTCAACATATGGAAATCAATCAATGTGATACATCATATCAACAGAATGAAGGACAAAAACCATTTGATCATTTCAACTGATGCTGAAAAAGCATGTGATAAAATTCAACATCCCTTCATGATAAAAAAACTCTCAAAAAACTGAGTATAGAAGGAACATACCCCAACACAGTAACAGCCAGGTATGACAGACCCATAGCTAGTATCATACTGAATGGGGAAAAACTAAAAGCCTTTCCTTTAAAATCTGGAACATGACAAGGATGCCCACTGTTTTTTTTTTGTTTGTTTTTTTTGTTCTTTTGGGACGGAGTTTCACTCTTGTTGCCCAGGCTGCAGTTCAATGATGCGATCTTGGCTCACCGCAACCTCCACCTCCTGGGTTCAAGTGATTTCTCCTGCCTCAGCCTCCTGAGTAGCTGGGATTACAGGAATGCACCACCACACCCAGCTAATTTTGTGTTTTTAGTAGAGACAGGGTTTCTCTATTTGGTCAGGCTGGTCTCGAACTGCCGACCTCAGTGATCCTCCCACCTTGGCCTCCCAAAGTGCTGGGATTACAGGTGTGAGCCACCGTGCCTGGCCAGGATGCCTACTTTTACCACTGTTATTCAACATAGTACTGGAAGTCCTACCTAGAGCAATCAAGATATGAAGGGCATCCAAATTGGAAAGGAAGAAGTCAAGTTATCCTTGTTTGCAGATGATATGATCTTATAGTTGGAAAAACCTAAAGACTCCATAAGAAAACTATTAGAACTAGTAAATTCAGTAAAGTTGCAGGATACAAAATCAACATACAAAAATCAGTAGCATTTCTATACGGCAACAGTGAACAATCTGAAAAAGAATTCAAGAAAGTAATCCCATTAACAACAGCTACGAATACAATTAAATACCTAGGAGTTAACTTATCAAAGAAGTGAAAGATCTCTGCAATGAAAACTGTAAAATACTTTGGCTGAGCATGGTGGAGCATGCCTGTAGTCCCAGTTACTTGGGAGGCTGAGGCAGGAGGATCATCTGGACTCAGGAGGTAGAGGTTGCAGTGAGCTGAGATTGCACCACTGTACTCCAGCCTGGGAGACAGAGTGAAACCCTGTTTGAAAAAAGAAAAAAAAAAAAAAAAGAAAACTATAAAACACTGATGCAAGATATTGAAGAGGACACACACAAAAAATGGAAAGATATCCCATGTTCATGGATTAAAAGAATCAATACTGTTAAAATGTCCATACTACCCAAAGTAATCTACAGATTCAATGCAATCCCTATCAAAATACTAATGACTTTCTTCACAGACATAGATAAAACAATCTTAAAATGTTTATGGAACCTCAACAGATCCAGAATAGCCAAAGCTATCCTAAGCAAAAAGAACAAAACTGGAGGAATCACATTAGCTGACTTCAAATTATATTACAAAGCTATAGTAACAAAAATGGCATGATACTGGCATAAAGACAGATACATAGACCAGTGGAACAGAATAGAGAACCCAGAAATAAATCCATACATCTGTGGTGAACTCATTTCTAACAAATGTGCCAAAAACATACACTGGGGGAAGGAAAGTTTCCTTAATAAATGGTGCTGGGAGACTGGATATCTATATGCAGAAGAATGAAACTAGACCCCTATGTCTTGCCATATGCAAAAATCAAGTCAAAATGTATTAAAGACCTAAATCTAATAACTCAAACTATGAAACTGCTACAAGAAAACAATGGGGAAACTTGACTGGGCAAGGTGGCTCATGCTTGTCATCCCAGCACTTTGGGAGGCTGAGGTGGGTGGATCACTTGAGGTCAAGTGTTCAAGACCAGACTGGCCAACAAAGTGAAACCCCATCTTTACTAAAAATACAAAAATTAGCCAGGCATGATGATGCATGCCTGTAGTCTCAACTACTTGTGGGGGGCTGAGGTGGGACAATCACTTCAGCCCAGTAGGCAGAGGTTGCAGTGAGCCACGATTGCACCACTGCACTCCATCCTGGGCAACAGAATGAGACTCTGTCTCCAAAAAATAAAAAAATAAAAAAATAAGAAAAAAAAGAAAGAAAGGAAAGCATTGGGGAAACTCTTTAGCATATTGGAGTGGGCAAAGATCTCTTGAGTAATACCTCAGAAGCACAGGGAACCAAAGTGAGAAGGGACAAATGGGATCACATCAAGTTAAAAAGCTTCTGCACAGCAAAAGATACAATCAATAAAATAAAGAGACAACCTATAACGTGATAAAATATTTGCAAACTACCCATCTGACAAGGGATTAAAAACCAGTATATAGGCGCAGTGGCTCATGCCTCTAATCCCAGCATTTTGGGAGGCCAAGATGGGTGGATCACTTTAGGTCAGGGGTTCGAGACCAGCCTGGCCAACATACAAAACCTCGTCTCTACTAAAAATACAAAAATTAACTGGGCTTGGTGGTACTGTAATCCCAGCTACTCGGGAGGCTGAGGCAGGAGAATCACTTGAACCCGGGAGGCAGAGGTTGCAGTGAGCTGAGATCATGCCACTGCACTCCAGCCTGGGCAGCAGAGTGAAGGCTCTGTCTAAAAAAAGAAAAAAGAAAAAACCCAGAATATATAAGGAACTCAAACAACTCTATAGGAAAAAATATAATAATCTGATTTTTAAATGGGCAAAATGTCTGAAGACATTTCTCAAAAGAAGACATACAAATGGCAAAGAGATATATGAAAAGGTGCTCAGCATCACTGATCATCAGAGAAGTAGAAATCAAAGCTATGAGATATCACCTCACCTCAGTTAAAATGGCTTTTATTTATCCAAAACACAGGCAACAACAAATGCTTGTGGGGATGTGGTAAAAAGGGAAATCTCATACAGTGTTGGTGGGAATCTAAATTAGTACAACTGCTATGGACAACAGTTTGGAATCTCCTCAAAAAACTAAAAATAGAGCTACCATACAATATAGCAATCCCATTCCTAGGTATATACTCAAAAGAAAGAAAATCAGTATATCAAAGAGGTATCTGCACTCCCATGTTTATTGCAGCACCATTCAAAATAGCCAAGATTTGGAAGCAACCTAAGTTTCATCAACAGATGACTGGATAAAGAAAATGTGGTACTTATACACAATGGAGTACTATTCAGCTATAAAAAGGATATCCTGTCATTTGCAACAACACACATGAAACTGGAGGTCATTAAGTTAGTGAATTTATAAGCCAGGCACAGAAAGATAAGCTTTGCATGTTCTTATTTGTGGGAGCTAAAAATTAAAACACAATTGAACTCATGGAGATGCAGAGTAGAAAGATGGTTACCAGAGGCTGGGAAGGGTAGTGGCAGGGGGTGTGGGGAGAAGTGGGGATGGTTAATGGGCACAAAAAATAGAATAAATAAGACCTAGTATTTGGTAGCACAACAGGGTGATTATAGTCAATAACTGTACATTAAAAAATAATGAAAAGAGTATAATTGGATTGGTTTGTAACACAAATAGATGATAAATGCTTGATGTGATGGATACACCATTTACCCTGATATGATTTTGATGCATTGCACAGCCGTATCAAAATATCTCATGCAACCCATAAATATATATATACTTAGGTACCCACAAACATTAAAAATTTAAAAAACAATCTTTACTGAGAAATAATTCATTTACCATAAAGTTCACCTTTTAATTGAAGTGTACAATCCAGAGGTTTTTAGTGTATTCACAGAGTTGCACAATCAATACTACTAATTTCAGACCATTTTCAACGTCCCCAGAAGAAACCTTGTACCCATTAGCAGTCATTCCCCATTTTTCCCTCCCTCCAGCTCCTGGAAACTATTAATTTACTTTGTCTCCTGGATTTGTTTATTCTGGATTTTTCATATACATGGAATCATATCTGTAGTCTTTTGTGTCTGGTTCCTTTCACTTACGATGTTTTCAAGGCTCATTTACGTTGCAGCACGTATCAGTACTTCATTCCTTTTTATGCTTGAATAATATTCCATTGTATAGATAAGCCATATTTTGTTTATCCACTTATCAGTTGATGCACATTTGTATTGTTCCCACTTTTTGGCTATTGTGAATAGTACTGCTATGAGCTTCACATATAATTGTGCATGTATATATATTTCAACTTACAAAAAGCTTACTTTAAAAAATGTACTTCATTACTTATGTCATGTTGCAGAGGTCCTGTTGAGCATCTGTAGTGTGGGCTCTGGAAATCTGAAAGTATACAAATGAGTGTATGGCCAAGTGGTCAGGGTTCTAATGATGGAAATAGTAAAATGTCCACACAGTTGTGGTCTTTCCTTTTGAATAAGATAATGGTGGGTTTGAATTTGTTTGAGGAAAAAATCCTCTTTCATTTTCCTATTTGACTTTAGCAGGCATATTACCCTGAGGGACAGGTATTCAGAGTCCATGCGCTTTTTGAGGTGGCAACATATTTCAAAAGTTGGAACGGAAGCCCTACTATTGTTCAATAAATTCTTGTCTGTGTGTGAAGGAGCTCACCGAAGTGAAGATGACATTGCTGAAAGATTTCTATTATGGTGTGCACTCTTCACTGGAAGACAGCGATTGGCTTAAACATTAAGCCCTTCAACCACAGCATGCCCAAATTCCTGACATTCACACTGGTCTGTGAGCTACCAAGTAGATCCCAATGAATAAATTGATTTCTCTACATGAATGAACCATAAGGGCAGCAAAGTGTGACAGTGCCTCATTTTCTCTTAGGTGACTTTTATTAAAGGTGTCCTAGTGGCTCCCGGAAGACAAGCTAGTGCGCAGGTACTCGTTTGCTGTTTTTGCTGATTCCAGGTGTTAAAGGTGAGAAACTAACATTCTGAAGGGGTCAGGTCAATGCTGTTCCTTCTTAGGTAGTCTTGCTGATTAGTGTTGTACCCTTCATAATTACCTGACTTAAAGTGGTTTTATATCTTTTGTTTTTTTTTTTTTTTTGAGTCAGGGTCTCACTCTGTTCCCGGGCTGGAGTACAGTGGCGCTATCTTCGCTCACTGCAACCTCCGCCTCCCGGATTCAAGCAATTCTCCTGCCTCAGCCTCTCAAGTAACTCGGATTACAGGAACTCACCACCATGCCCGGCTAATTTTTGTATTTTTAGTACAGATGGGGTTTCACCATGTTGGTCAGGCTGGTCTCAAACTCCTGACCTTGTGATCCACCCACCTCAGCCTCCCAAAGTGCTGGGATTACAGGTGTGAGCCACCACGCCTGGCCATCTTTTCGAGACATGAACTCGTTTTGTCGCTGAGGCTCGAGTGGAGTGATGTGATCATGGTTCACTGCAGCTTCTACCTCCTGAGCTCAAGCTATTCTCCTGCCTCTCTCTTAAGTAGTTAGGACCTCAGGTGTATATGCCACCACACTCAGCTTTTTTTTTTTTTTTTTTCGTAGGGACAGGGTCTCATAATGTTGCCCAGGTTGGTCTTGAACTCCTGGGCTCCAGTCATCCTCCTGCCTCGGCCTGCTGAAGTGCTGGGATTACAGGCAGTTTTATGCCTTTTCAAAGTTGCTTTCTTGCCAAAAAAAAAAAAAAAAAAAAAAGTGGCAGAAAGAGGTTAACTATATTTAAATTTTTAGAAACTCAGGAGACCAAAAGAACTAGGATCAAGATAAGTGTTTTGATCTTAAAAAGGAGTGTTTTCCCAAATTCATAAAATGTTCAATCATGCTCCTACCATGTGCGGGTGCTGTTCTAGTGTGGGAAGTGTAAAGAAAACTAAACAAAAAGCATTTTAACCTTATGGATCTTATGTTCTTATGACAGTAATATCATAGTAAGATCTGTTATGCAGTTTAGGACTCTATCTCAAAGCAGGCTTATTCACTATTTAAAACCCCAGGACTGAGCACAATATCTAGCCACATACATAGGTCAACAAATATCTACTTGAGTTGTGTATGTTGTTGGCATACAGTAACCCTGGCCTAGCTATTTTCAGAAAAATGCTTAAATTCACTCGGGATTGACCAGAATGATGGTCTAGCCTCTGTTGCTTGTCCGTAAGGCTTCTGCGGGTATTCAGATGCAAACCCCTCCTTTATTCTCCTTGCTCAGGATCCTTGTTTCAGGAAGGCAATTGTTAAACAAGACACTCCATCACTCTTACCATTTCTAATGGGCACGTTGGGTGGCAAGTAGCACATAAACAGCAACCTTGACTCCAGTGGACCAAAAAAGGCTGTAGGCAAAACCTCTACTATGCACTTAAATTGAGATTTAGTTTCCTTATGTATCAAACTGTCCTAGAATGTTACCTCAATCCTCACAATAACCCAGGAGATGGACTTTATAATCTTCATTTTACTGATGAGGAAATTGAAGATCTGAGAGGTAAAGTAACTTGCCCTACAGCTAATCAAGTGTCAGCTAGCATATGCATCCAGGACTGTTCAATTCTATGCCCTTTCTCCTCTTAGCATCTGTCTCTCAGATGGGGTAATGAAATGACTTAAAACCAATATAATCCCCAAATGGATGCAAGGAAAAGACCTTTAACTCATTCTAGAGGATTCTAATCTTCTACTTCAGAAATTTAAGTTCTTAATATCTCAGAAGCAGTTTGTGTTCCCAACTCACTCGAATACACTTTAAGACATCATGGCATGAGACCACCCACAGATCTTGTCTAGTTGCTTAATTATACTCAGTGCAAGAGGCTTTGAGGGTGGGTGAGTGGGGATGTAGTTTAGTCATTAGAACATACTTAGAATATAGGCTAGCCTGTTTACAAAATTAGGACAAATTCTTCCATACAGTTTTTTTTTTAAATTCAGATTACTTTTACTTACAAAAACTAGTATCTCGATAACTGTGATTAAAAAAAATTATGTATGTACAGAATGTTTTGAGATTTAACAAAGTACACCTAGAGAACATAAAAATTCTTTATTTAACCTAATCCAGCCAGTATTGAGATAGTTTGCTATATTAAAAACAAGACGTTTAAAAAAATTACAGCAAAGTTAGCAAGGCAGTGACTAATTAAGTCACTAAGTTTAATTTTATATTCTTCACAGTCATTTCATAATCATGTAATGGTAAACAATATTTTCAGCCACTTTGGAGATAAGTTAACTTTTGAAAAGAATTCTAGTAGTCGTCATTGAATTTTATAAAAGAGGTTTAAAACATTAAAGTTTCCAGAAATAACACAGTAAAGAAATATGAAAATAAACTGGAAAATAAAATATACCCACCCATCCGAAAAATCTACATCATCTCTTTCATTTGTCCCCAATGCCTTTCTTTTACCTCTCCATTTACTTTTCCTAGAGTGCAAACAGATTACTTAGCAATTAAGAAACAACTACTGCTTTGTAGGGGCGATTTTGAGCCTAAGTGCTGCTGTTCCTTTAATCTCTCAGTTAATCCTAGAAATAGTCTTCTGAGATAAACATTATTTGCATTTCAAAGATTAAGAAAACTGCAGTTGAGAGAAAGTCAAATCCTTTAGCCAAAATCATACATACAGTTATTGAAAGCTGAACTATGATTTGAACCCAGGTCTATCCAACTTTAAGTCTGCCTATGCTCTTTTGTTGCTTCATGGTCAGGCAGGTCACCTTCCTGGGAAGACTGGCATGTGGTATTTCTCGAGCTAATAATAATAAGGCTCTTTAGGTTTAAAAGTGTTCAATTCGGGGCTAGAGGCCACTCTGGTCCTCAGGCACTTGCAGTTCCCTCCCCGCAACCCTAAAAAAACCCTCCCTCCTGCCCCAAAAGGATTAGAGTTGTTCCCCGGCCTTCATGAGCCCTAATACCTATAAAACCAAGCAGCTACTCCCTGTCAAGGGCATTAATGTAGTAAATGGGGAACTGTGTGTTTGCATAACTTTAGTAAAGGCTGCCTAAAAACTGTTCTATACAACAAAATTTTGCAAGATATGTGTCCATTTAATGTATCTTTCACATTGAAAACAAAAGCCAATATATTTTATAATTACAGCCTATAATCTAAGTTTTTAAAATATATAACCATAGATGTTATATTTCCCCTTCAGAACTGTAGTAGTGTTCTTAATAAGGCTCACTGTTAGTCAAATCTTCATCTCCAAATAATACAAATTTGAATGTTCAACAGTCATTCAAATAAACATCATATAACTCAAAATTAAGACATTCATACTATAGAAACCAGTCTTTAATTACTAAAGTTAACATATATTATTGCAAACTAACATAGCTCAATCTATATTTGCTACACTCCTAAAGTGGCCGCTTATCAGTAAGGGGAAACATTTATTATTGACATGCATTACTGTGAACAAGAAAATAAATAGGGTTTTGAAAATATCTCTTAAAAATTTAATTTTAATTAACAAAAATAACCATTCAGGTTGCTGAACATTAAAATGGCCAATCTATTGAAAATGGCTTCAATAATTGCTTTTAAAAATGAATACAAAACTAAACAGTGATTAAGGTGCTAGCCTCATCAATAGGACAATTAAAATCTAAAAACATTAGTGTTGATTTTCTATAATAAACTTAAGCCAAAAACAATGACCTCAATATTTACTTAAGACTTCTTGTTTTCATACTTTTCTCCTCATTAATATAAAAACAAAGAGCTCAAGGCCTCACCTTGGTTTATTCACTGCTGGTTTTCTATGTGCTGAAACTAGACTGTCAACTCTGTAAGAGCTTGGACCAAGTCTGTCTTGTTCACCACTATGTCCTACAGCACTCTGCACAGTGCCTGGGAAATAGGAGGTGATCAACGAATATCTCAATAACTGAATCAATGCAAGAGGAGAGTAAAATAACTTTATTTTTATTTTTGCAAATCATCCTCTGCTCAAACTACTATAAACTGGCAGCTGTAATTTCTAGAAATATGGGTTGAAAAAACTCCCAGAGATGGAAGGACCTGATGAAACACTGAAACACACAAATACACACACACACACACACACACACACACACACACACACGACTGCATGAGTCAAAATTACTTCATGAAGTATGAGATGTCAACATTATGTAAATAAAATTTAATATTGAAAAAGTGATCTGGAAGCCCTGTGAATTTTTACCCTACACATTTTGGAGGACATCACATGGGTTAAAGAAAACACCACAAAATCTCATTTGTTCAGATAATCATTTGAATGTTTACATACATTTTTGGTTATTTATTTATAACTAATTTAATTTACATTTCCTCATATTAACATATCCTCTTATTTAGTATGTAATCAAATTATGTCAGTGAGAAAAATCCTCATAGTACCTTGAGTTGCTGATTCTGAGAAAACACTAAACATGAACATGTACAAAAGAGGCATTTGAATAAAACAGCATGTGCATTTTTTTAATATTTGCACAGTTTGATCTTTGCATTTCTGTCTGGAGAAAATATGAACAAAACCCAGGTTTACCATGCTAAGATAATGGTTCATATGACTGCCATAAAAGTAGTACATACAAACAATGAAAACAAATCACATCCTTAGGTTCCATGATTACCGAGATGATTTCCCCTGCCCTAAGTGCTTTATTATATTTCTTAAAAAATATAGGAGCAGCAGCTTATCACAAGTCTCCACAAGTGCATTAATGATGGAATCAAAACAACACAACAGATTCATAAGGATGAGAGAACTGCAGAACAACCAGAAGTCAGTTTTATGCTTCTTCTTGTTCTGGATAATTCAGAATTTTGCGGTGTGCCTGTCGTAAATATTGCTGCTGTTTGAAGTAAACTTTAAATGCTCCTTTTATGGCAACAAACGCAATTCCACCCTAAAATAAAAAGGAAAATTAGCTTTTTATAATGCAGATTTAGAGAAACAGAGTAATAAAAATAATTTTATTTAGATCACAAAAGACGTAGGCTTTGATGCTAAACTAATTCAGATGACTGCAAATGAAACAGTTTTCTTTTTCTACTAGGAGATGAGATAGGGAGAGAGACAGACTATACGCTGTTACTACAGGTAACAGGGGACACAGATGCCTTCTCCATTATCCTTTCTGACTAGTCTTTCTTCCATGTAGTTCTACATATACTCTGATATACAAAGAAGAATGCTAGGGCACTATGTGCAGACTGCCACTGTTGGGAGCAAGAAAGGCCAAAGGGATCGTGACCAACTCAGCATTCCACTGGAGGCTATATGACCAAACAGCAAACTGTTTATCATGAATGCAGGATGTGAGTAAACTCACACTGAGCCTGCCACCAAAGGGTTTGCTGGGGGCCATCACTCCCTGGTGCAGGGCTCCTTGAACTTATCTACTGGGAAATCTAGCGCCTACTGTTCAAATGATGCAGTCTCGCAAGCCTGCTGTGAACCAAACTGCCAAATGGACTGACAATTACCCGACAATCACCCCTGCTTCTCACTATCTCTTTTGCCTAATAAATACAGAGGGCTGTGTAAAGCTCAGGGCCCTTGTCCACTAGAGGCAAGGTGCCCCCTGACCCCTTCTTCCAAATATACTCTCTTGTCTTTGTCTTTTATTCCCACGTTTGCCCCCTTTGTTCAGTCCTCCAAGGTCCGTGCAGGTTACATGCCACCAGAGGGGAGAAGTGGGAGTAACAATAATAGCAAACAACATGAGTGCTTACTATGTGCTAGTACTTATACAATCCTCACAATAATCCTGATTATTACCATCACCATACTACAGGAACAAAAAGTCCAGACATTTGATTTAGATTTCACAGCAAGACAATTTCTGTGATGGGATTTGAACCAGGTGGTCTGATCGTAAAGTACTGTAATCCCACTGGCAAGAGGGACAGGTGTGATGATTCATGCATATGCCAGGAGAGAAAGCACCTACAACATAGTTCCAAAAGGCCAGAACTGCTGCAGTGGTTTCTCCTCTTTTTATTTCCACTCAAGCTATTGAATGATAGTGAGGCTCAAATAGAGGCTTAATGCATAGGAGCCACAGACCGAATATTTATACAGTTCCCCACCTTTTAAAAACAAATACACTTCATTCTCTTTTGCAAGGTAATATAAGTAATGTTAAAGCCGTCTTACCAAGATTGTCCTTTGTAAATTAGAGTTAACACTACTGAACATCAATTTACCAACTATTGTAGCAATAGTAGGAAAGACAAGGGCTCCACACAAGATTCGAGTAGCAGAGACATGATCTGCTAAAGGATTGGCCTCAGCTGGAATTCGAGGAACAGGACAACCTATCCCTAGAGGAAAAAAATGCAGTGCGTTAGTGCTAATAAATCAGAAGAGTTAGACTACCTTCAAACATGGCTAAAAAAGCATGTTATTGTTCTTCAAGATCAATTTGGTATGCACTTTACAACCACAGTTCAGTGCCTTACCTGGAAATATACTATTTAAAATTTGTAGTTTATTCGAGTATTTGCGCCACAGTCTAAGCACATAGTCCTCCCAGCGAATCATCTTGCCTAATATCAGCATGACAGGAATAGTAGGAAGTCCAATTAAAAGGAATAAAGGATCAGCTCTCTCCATAACATCCAGACCTTCTTTATGACCTACAACCTGTGAAACAGATAGCATATATTAGAATTACTTCTTTTTCAAATGAGGTGTTGCATGTTAAGCTCTATTTTTTTAATAGAAAATGCTTAATTTCAAAAGAATACACAGAAATAAAAAGTTTAAAAAATAAGCTGGAAAGCTATCAGTCCTGATTTATTTATAAGAAATGTCTCATTCAAGGGAAAAACAAAGTTCCCAAGCCATTTCATACCACACAGGAATAAAAATTAAAATGGCTGACCCAGACTGATTACATTACAATAGAGGGGCGGGGACCTCTGATTGTTGCTTCTATTCCTTTATTTGATTTGGTTAGACTGGGCTACGGAACTGGGATATAATTCTAAGTCCTATTTGTCTTCCAGCAAAACAACTGTTTTCCTGATCTTCCTTCTAGGAGATTAAGCATAGCCAGCCAAGAGGTAGGACCGGCCTTCAAGAGATGGCCTGAAAGCTCATTTCTCTTTGGCTCTTTCTCCTTACTTAGTGGTGTGTAAGATAGGGTGTGATGTCTCTGGCTGGCTAAGTGTCTACCCTACAGACCTAACCCTCCTTAAGTGCACTTCCAAGGTCTAGAATTGAGGGACTGTAGTAGGAGGTCCAGTTTTGGTTACAGATCCCAGGCATTTTTCCCAATTCAGGAACTCTAGGGTACCCTATCTATGGGGGTAATGAAGCTAATACAATCTTTTCCTTACCCTATCCTAGTCTTGGGGCTATTTCTAAATTGGTGTAGATCCCAGAAGGCGAGAAATACAAAATTGGCATTTGTGAACTTCTACCTTTTCCCTCTCTCCAAAATCCTTTTCACTTCCACATCAATCTTGGCCTTAAATTTACCTCTTTTTGTTGTTGTTTTTGAGATGGAGTCTCGCTGTGTTGCCCAGGCTGGAGTGCAGTGGTGTGATCTTGGCTCACTGCAACCTCCGGCTCCTGGATTCAAGCGATTCTTCTGCCTTAGCCTCCCGAGTAGCTGGGATTACAGGGGCATGCCACCATGCCCAGCTAATTTGTGTATTTTTAGTAGAGACGAGGTTTCATCATGTTGGCCAGGTTGGTCTCGAACTCCTGACCTCAGGTGATCAGCCTGCCTCGGCCTCTCAAAGTGCTGGGATTACAGGCGCGAGCCACCGTGCCTGGCCAAAAATTTTTTTTTTTTTTTTGAGACGGAATTTTTTGCTCTTGTTGCCCAGGCTGGAGTGCAATGGCACGATCTTGGCTCACTGCAACCTCTGCCTCCCAGGTTCAAGCAATTCTCCTGCCTCAGCCTTTCGAGTAGCTGGGATTACAGGTGTGCACCTCCACGCCCAGCTAATTTTTGTATTTTTAGTAGAGACGGGGTTTCTCCACATTGGTCAGGCTGATCTCGAACTCCTGACCTCAGGTGATCCACCCGCCTCGGCCTCCGACAGTGCTGGGATTACAGGCGTGAGCCACTGCGCCCGGCCCCAGAAATGTTTTATGAAAGTGTGTGGAGAGGACCAAATTTGAGCTATGGATATAGTCCAGATTTCCACTTGGTTAATTTATCTAATTAAGATGTAATATTAAAGGGCAGGAGGCTAGCCTCTTCCTAATGGTCAATAATGTCATCGAATTTGATATTCTTCTGTGTCTCCAGGTAGAACTTAACAACTTCCTATCTTGCATGTGGAAGGTGATCCTTTTGAGTTGCCCTAAAGTGAAATGGTCTGGTTTATGATATTTCATAAACCCCAATTCCATAATGGTAGCAAAAGTTAGCTGGCCATGACTGTTTTACCTATAATGATTTCCCAGGAAATTTCTTTATCTATCTATCTATCTATCTATCTATATATCTATCATCTATCTATCTATCTATCTATCTATCTATCTATCTATCTATCTATCTATCTATCTATCTGAGACGGAGTTTCAGTCTTGGCATGATCTTGGCTCACTGCAACCTCCACCTCCTGAGTTCAAGCTATTCTTCTGCCTCAACCTCCTGAGTAGATGGGATTACAGGCACATGGCACAACACCTGGCTACTTTTTTGTATTTTTAGTAGAAATGGGGTTTCACCACGTTAGCCAGGTTGGTCTCGAATTCCTGACCTCAGGTGATCCGCCTGCCTTGGCCCCCCAAAGTGCTGGGATTATAGGCGTGACCCACCACGCCCGGCCAGGAAATTCCTTTAAAGAAAAAAAAAGACAGGGTCTTGCTACGTTTCCCAGGTTGGCTTTGTACTCCTGGGCTCAAGCAATCTTCCCACCTCACCCTCCTGAGTAGCTGGAACTACAGATGAGTGCCACCACGTCTGGCTAAGAAATTCTATTTTTATATCATTAAAAATTTCAATATAATGATCACTCTAACATTATAACTAAATATGATTAAATATTCTCAAAGTGTTAGCAAATAAATTCAGAATATTTGAAAAAATCCTTTGTCGGGTTATGTGTCCTTTTTTTGGGTTTAGAAATATAAAGAAGAGTGAATATTCAGGTATAGACTAGAGCGAACAAGAGGAAGTTTGTTTCTCATGGGTAGCAGTAAAAACCTTATAAGGTGTTTAAGAATAAGGAAACAAAAAGGAAGTAGGGGTTGGGCACTGTGACTCACAATTGTAATCCTAGCACTTTGGGAGGCTGAGGCAGGCGGATCACCTGAGGTCAGGAGTTTGAGACCAGCCTGACCAACATGGTGGAACCCCGTTTCTATTAAAAATACAAGCCAGGCGTGGTGGTGGTCATCTGTAATCCCAACTACTCGGGAGGCTGAAGCAGGAGAATCGCTTGAACCCAAGAGGTGGAGGTTGCAGTGAGCCGAGATTGCACCAGCCTGAGCAACAAGAGTGAAACTCCATCTCAAAAAAAAAAAAAAAAAAAAAAAGAAGGAAATAGGGCAAAGAATGAGCAAAGGCCCAGTATTTCACTTGTTACAACTAAAGTGAAGAGAGATGCCCCATGCTCAAGCAAGTTAGAAGTGGGATGAGGCTCATCATTCACACATGCATTCATTCATTCACTGAATAATGATTTTGTGCTGGGGCTAAAATGGCAGGTTAAACAGATGTCTTTTGAAAGTGAGAGAAAATCAAACCAAACAAGTGTGCAAATATATACACTGTGAAGAAATAAGGTAGTATAACACCTGCAGTACACCACTTGCTAAAACAGTCATACTCAGGGGCAATAAATGAAAGGTGATTAAGCAATAGGCCTGATTTAATTTTGGCCAATACAAAGTCAGTGAACCTGTGTGTAATCACATACATTCTGCTTTCTTGTCCCAAGATTTAAAAACATTATTTTTAAGACTTCGATTTTGGGGTAAGCTCCAGGAATTATATAGAATGTCTAAGAATTTGTTATCTATGTATAAAATAAAGGCCTGGCTGGGCACAGTGGCTCACGCCTGTAATCCAAGCACTTTGGGAGGCTGAGGTAGGTGGGTAACTTGAGTCTAGGAGTTTGAGACTGGGCAACATGGTGAAACCCTGTCTCTACAAAAAATACAAAAATTAGCAGGGCGTGGTGGCATGTGTATGTAGTCCCAGCTGTGCAGGAGGCTGAGGTGGGAGGATCACCTGAGCCCAGGGAGTTCGAGGATGCAGTGAGCCGTGACTGCGCCACTGCATTCCAGCCTGGGTAACAGAATGAGACTCTGTCTCAAAAAAAAAAAAAAGAAAAAAAAAAAAGAGAAAAACAAAAGACCTATAGAATTGCAGGTTTAGAGAAAAATAATTTTTTGTTTTTCCTGCAGAAGGGCTAAAAGCTAGATTTTCATATCTAGGTAGGCCTGCAGTTCATTGCTGCTGAAAGGCTAACAGTTTTAATTAAGGTCTGAGCTTTTAAATTATTATTAGAATTCTACATTAATTAATTAGAGACAGAGTCTTGCTCTGTCGCCCAGGCTGGAGTGCAATCTTGGCTCACTACAACCTCTGCCTCCCAGGTTCAAGCGATTCTCACGCCTCAGCATCCGGAGTAGCTGGGAATACAGCCACTATGCCTAATTTTTTCTTTGTATTTTTGGTAGAGATGGGGTTTCATCATGTTGACCAGGCTGGTCTCCAACTCCTGGCCTCAAGGGTTCTGCCTGCCTCAGCTTCCCAACGTGCTGGGATTACAGGCATGAGCTACAGCACCTGGCCAGAATCCTAACAAGAGGATGAAACAGTGATGAAATAACAGGGTTTTTTTTTTTTTAACTCAGAATCAAGGATAAGTAAGTACTGTAATTAAGAATGGGCAATGCTAATGGGGGCTGTCTTTGCACTAGAGGCAAAAATGGGAACTAGGCTAAACATATTAAGGTTCCACTGTTCCAGGATAAAATGTTCCAGCTGCCTCTGGGACCAGGCTTCACTTAAGGAGCCAAGGGACAGGAGTCCTAATGCTTCTCTGCTGTGTGGCACTGGACCTGTAAACTCTCTAAACCAGTAAACTAGGAATAATTTATAACAATAATCTATGTCATAAAATTGTTGCAAGGGTTAAATGCATCAGTGCTAGGTGTTCAATACAGTGCCGAGAAAAAAAAATTATTGTGTTGTCTTTTCAATAAAAATGCAAGAGGAAGGTCCTATTCAAGTTCCCCACAACTAAAAAGTATTGATTCTATGACAGGTCCATGGAGAAGGAAAGAAAATAAATGGGAAAATAACAGTGATCTGATTCCTTGATTTGGTTTACTTGTACTGCAGGGTTGTTAAGGAATCAGAGAAAAACAATCAAGTGTTAGAAGGCAAACCCTAAATACTACTGATGGTGTAGAGGGGCACATTCTCTATCATATGTGCTCAGGAAGGTAAAAGTCATCTTCCCAATACTCTTAAATCACACAACACTATCCACCTACTGTCATAGCTAGTCTCATTTCTGGGCTAAAAAAAAAAAATCTTTTCAAGTGAGACATTACATGTGAAGGTTATTTCTAAATGGTAACACATATGTGTACTATAGTTTTTGCTTCCTTGCTTATTTCATTCTACCAATTCAAATTATTTCCTTTAAGGGTTAGCTCAAGACTTTTCTCATAATTTCAAATCAAATTATCTTTCACTTTTACTGAATTAAAATATTGTTTATATAGTCTTCTGCCCTCTTATCACATTTATCTATCTAACCTGTAACTGTTCTCCAGTGGTTTCATTTATGAACGTCTTGTCTTGGACTATATCCCTTGATGCTGGGGATCAGAGTTTTCAATTTATTTGTGTTTTAACAAGTGCCCCATTAATTATCAAAATTCTTTTAACATTGTGCCAGCCTAAAAATCTTTCTTAAAAAAGAGCCATCTCACTTCTTATGGTCAATAAAGTCTTAAGAAAATAACTCAATCTCATTTGCAAAATATATATATCTATATAATGTATTTGTACATTAAATAATGTATAATCTGCTCTAAGTTTCTATGTCTTTCTCAGTCTTAGTAAATCATCCTGATCCTCCCTCCTCAGGTGATGTACTAATACTCATTATTTGAAGTGGTCACATAAAAAACATAAAGACTGCCGGGTGCAGTGGCTCACACCTGTAATCCCAGCACTTTGGGAAGCAGAGGCAGGCAGATCATCTAAGGTCAGGAGTTCCAGACCAGCCTGACCAACATGGTGAAACCCCATCTCTACTAAAAAGACAAAATTAGCTGGGCGTGGTGGCACATGCCTGTAATCCCAGCTACTCGGGAGGCTGAGGCAGGAGAATCGCTTGAACCCGGAAAGCGGAGGTTGCGGTGAGCTGAGATCACGCCACCGTACTCCAGCCTGGACAACAAGAGCGAAACTCTGTCTCAAACAAAAAAACAAAAAACAAAACCACAAAGATTTATGAAACCCTTTAATGTGTTAGTTTCTATGTAGATGCTGTAACAGGGAATACAGAAGCATAAAATGGACTCTGCTTTCAAGGAAATTACCTCCTAACAGGAAAAATAAGGCCTAAAAACAAGAAAAGTTAAACAGATAATCTATATAAGAAATGTCACTTCATCAGGGCAGGACTAGCTGCCATTTGAGGAATAAAAATGTCATGAATGTGGGGGAAGAAGGAATCACAGCAGGCAGGAGTTGCCTGTAAGTTCTATGGAGGAAAGCTAGCTAAGCCTGGAAGGAGGGTTTAGATTTGGATAAGTACACAGAAGACTAGAAGGGCAGGTATTAGGTTGGGAAGGTGACGTAAGCCAAAGGACAGAGGTGAAAAACTACACAACATAAGGATGGGTTGGAGGAGACAGCCCAACAGCCTTAAAGCAGAACGAAGTACGATTACAGAGGACCCTGTGTATCAAATCATGCTAAAGTTCAAGTCAGTGGTTCTCAAACTTTATTCACTACACTCATGTCAGATATGTTTCACTGTTTGTGATTCATTTAACTGTATCCATATTTTTGGGATGTCATCATCATTTTATAAGGAAGTCTCATAATACTCTGTCTCACCATGACCATTAATGGAGCAAGCCATAAAGGTTTGACCCTGGCATAGATACATATGCAGTTCCTGGAATATTAGGTAAAATTCCAAGCATTCCTTTTTTGTTCATGTAAATTCTAATTTATATTAAAGAAAAGCAAATTATATCATCTACAAACCTAAGTGTGTTCACTACTACAGAGTTACTTAGGAAACACTTAACCAATCTAGATGCTGCTCTTGAAGACTACTACTTAAGGCAATGGAGATGTTAAGCTGGGGAGTAAGATTTTGAAGGTACTATTTTAAGAGGATTCATTTGGAAGGATGGATTGACAGAAGAACATGAAGTCAGATAAACCAAGAAGGTCCTTTAGCCATCCAGGTATGATGAAGTGACAAGAAGTCAGGTGGTAAAGACTGTGGAAAGGAAGCCACAGACACAAGACACATCAAAGTGGAAAAACTGCTTGTATTTGGTCAGTGGACTGAATAGAAGGCTATAAAATAGAAAGACTAGGCCAGATGGGCTCACTAGGCTTGTGATCCCAGCACTTTGGGAAGCTGAGGTGGGAGGATCACTTGAGGCCAGGAGGTTGAGACCAGTCTGTACAACACAGCAAGACCCCATCTCTACAAAAAATAAAAAATTAGCTGGGCATAGTGGTGTGTGCCTGTAGTCCCAGCTACTTGGGAGGTTGAGGCAGGAGGATCGTTTGAGCCCAGGAGTAAGGCTGCAGTGACCCTTGATTGCGCCACTGTACTCCAGCCTTGGTGACAGAGTAAGACTTTGTTTTGTCGGGGGGCGGTTTGTGGGGAGTATTGAGGGGGGTGAAGAGTCAAACGTAATTCTAAAAATATAGGATGGGCTGGGTGCAGTGGCTTACACCCGTACCTCCAGCACTTTGGGACACTTTGGGAGGCTGAAGTGGGAGGATCACTTGAGCCCAGGAGTTTGAGATCAGCCTTGGTAACATAGTGAGACCCCTCCCACCATCCTTAGAAAAAAGTAGCTAGGCATGGAGGCACACACCCATAGTTCCAGCTACTATGGAGGCTAAGGTGGACAGATGACTGAGCCCAGGAAGTTGAGGCTGCAGTGAGCCATGACTGTGCCACCACATGCCCAATCTGGGCTATGCAGAGCAAGACCTTGTCTCAAAAAAAAAAAAAAAAAAAAAAAAAGGATGTAAACTATAGATGGGAAAATAGAAACAGAAACAAAGGAACGATGACGGAGAATAAATTTAGGTTTCAAATGGAAGAAGTGACAAGTTTGATTTCAATAATTTTGAGTATGAAGTCACAAGAGATCATTGCAGCACTGGATTTGAGAAAAGAACAGGACAAAAGACCTGAACACACAAAAAAACTAAGTTGATAGCTGGAAATCTTTAAGAAGAAGGTATAAAAAGAAGAGTCAACGGCTTGGGACTAAATTTTGAAATTTATGTCTCTCTAATATTCAGCAGCAGTTACTGATTGTAGCACTGTTTTTCTTTCCTTTTTTTTAATTTTTATTTTTGACCACTTATCCAAGTTCTATGTAGCACTGTTTTTTTTGAGATGGAGTCTCGCTCTGTCGCCTGTGCTGGAGTGCAGTGGTGTGATCTTGGCTCACTGCAACCTCCGGCTCCTGGGTTCAAGCAATTCTCCTGCCTCAGCCTCCTGAGTAGCTGGGATTACAGGAACCTGCCACCACTCCCAGCTAATTTTTGTATTTTTAGTAGAGATGGGGTTTCACCATGTTTGCCAGGCTGGTCTCGAACTCCTGACCTCAGGTGATCCACCTGCCTCGGCCTCCTGAAGTGCTGGGATTGCAAGCTATGCAGCACTGTTTTTATAGCAAAACATTGGACTAACTAAACGTCTATCCACAAGAGACAAGTTGGTTAGTAAATGGCTGTAATTCTATAGATAGAACGTTATGCAGATTTCTGCATACTTATATGAAATGATCTCTAAGATTCACTATGAAAAAAGGGAGATACAGCTATAATATGCTCCTTTTTGGGTAAAGAAAAAGTAGGGGAAATAACATTTAGAAAGAACATGAGAATGTTATTTCTTATTCAAAATAATACACTTTTAAATGTCTAACAAAAAATGTTTTAATAGATCTTCACACCAAGTAATATCACTATATAGGTAAAATAGTGAACCTGCATCACTGTCACTGCTCCATAAGTCACAGCTGTCCAATAGATAGAGCCGACCATTATTCCTGCTGCAGCAAATGGACAGGCTTTTGAGATCAGTCTATCTGCAAGATCCAAGACGTAAACCACTGGACCTATAACACACAGAAAAGAAGTAAAGGTTCAACACAGGGTGAACTTTTAAAATGACTTGTTTGATATTTTCTATAGATCTAAAATACCTTCCCCCCAACAAGACACAGGGTCTCACTTTGTCATCCAGATTATAGTGCAGTGGCATGATCATAGCTCACTACAGCCTCAAACTTCTGGGTTCAAGTGATCCTCTTGCCTTGGTCTCCCAAAATGTTGGGATTACAGGCATGAGCTACTACACTCAGCCTAAAATACTTTCATGAAGTTGGATGTTTTGATGCTTTAGAAATAACTGTTATAAATTTGATGGGAACCTAGACTAGAATAGTTGAGAATTTCTCAGTCATTTGCACGAATAGCTAAATATTACTTCATAAATTCTCGTAAACAGCCTCCTCAAATTATCTTTATTATTGAACCTAAAATTAGAGTCTCAAATATAGTTACTTCTTATAAAGGAAATAGTCCTCTCACTTTCATCTCTTAATCATACTGGCCACGGTAGAGTGAAATGGTCATTTCAGCTTGCTTTTTCCATCAAATTCCTGGCAACAATTAGATTCTCGTATTTAGTAAGAATATCATTTCTCTGACTTCACTCACTGTATACCTTGATACAGTACATAAAGGTAACCAGGGCCATTTTCTTGTATTTACATAATGTCAATTTATCTCTCTTTGATTTTCAATATGCTGTATTTAATTGAATATTATTCTCTAACAAATTTCTTTTTATGATTATGAAGCCAGTTTTTATAGCATTCCAACAGCTCTATGTACCAATTATGTTCTATTATTATATGCTTACTCTGAAATCTGACTACTACTTCCTTCTGAAAGTTATTTGGAAAAGCAGCATTTGGAGGTATTCTGACTGCCACTAAGCCCAGTATAATTTAGCTCCAGAATTTTCCAGAAGAATGGAAGGGTCTCAGCCCTGATTTAAAGGCCAAATATAACTGAATATCTAAGTTTATTTATTTATTATTTTTATTTTTTTTTGAGATGGAGTCTCGCTCTGTCGCCCAGGTTGGAGTGCAATGGTGCGATCATGGCTCACTGCAACCTCCGCCTCTTGGGTTCAAGCAATTTTCCTGCCTCAGCGTCCTGAGTAGCTAGGATTACAGGCGTCTGCCACCATGCCCAGCTAATTTTTGTATTTTTAGTAGAGACGGGGTTTCACCATGTTAGTCAGGTTGGTCTCGAACTCTTGACCTCAGGTGATCCACCCGCCTCAGCCTCCCAAAGTGCTGGGATTACAGGTGTGAGCCACCGCACCCAGCCAGCTATTTATTTATTTTTGAGACAGAGTCTCACTGTGTCACCCAGTCTGGGGTGCAATGGTGGGATCTTGGTTCACTGCACCCTCCGCCTCCTGGGCTCAAGTGATCCTCCTGCTTCAGCCTCCCAGGTAGCTGGGATTACAGGCATGTGCCACCACGCCCAACTAATTTTTGTATTTTTAGTAGAGATGGGGTTTCACCCTGTTGGCCAGGTTGGTCTTGAGCTCCCGACCTCAGGTGATCCACCCACCTCGGCCTCCAAAAGTGCTGGGATTACAGGCATGAGCCACTGCATCTGGCCCTAAGTTTATTTTTTTAATTTAATTTTTAATTTTTTTTTTTTTGAGACAGAGTTTTGCTTTGTTGCCCAGGCTGGAGTGCAGTGGCACAATCTCGGCTCACTACAACCTCCGCCTCCTGGGTTCAAGTGATTCTCCTGCCTCAGCCTCCCGAGTAACTGAGATTACAGGTGTGTGTGAGCTACCAAAAAAATATGAAAACTTCTTAGAAATGTGTAAGAATTATTACCTACCTTCTGGGAGCTTATAATCTAAAGGCAGATGCTATACACAAAAACTGTTTATTTTCCCTATACAAATAAATTAACATAGGATTCTGATGATAAAATAATGAAACATGTAAGAACAAAGCATCCATCTATGGAGCCTCTGATCAAGACTCCCTGCTGATCACTGGAGCCAATAATATCGCTATGTCACTGTATGAAGACAGACTATACATTGTAAAGTAGAGAGAACATTAGAAGAGATGTCAAAGGACTGTCATTTATAATATGTATAGCATATTTACTTATTACTGTCAAGCTCTAACTTACATAACATTTAAAACAATGATAAGGTATCTTCTGGGACCAGAGAGATGAAATAAGTCTAATTTAGTGCACACCAACTCTATATCCTCTAATAAATAGTTAGCATTTCTTGAGGGTCTATAAGAGACTGTGTGCTGTGCCAAAGGCATTATTACATGCATCATTATTTAATCTCAGAATATAGTGCTGAATTCTCAAGACATACAAATTTGCTGGGTTAAGTTTATAACTCCTTCAGAAAGCACAATAAAAGTCATCTTAGTCACCAAAGATCCCTCAAATGCTAGTAGTAGAAGTTAAAGACCGTAAGTATATATAAAACCTCAGCACTTCAACCTTCGTATGGTTGATAATTCGATTTTTTTTTTGAGACAGGGTCTTGCTCTGTCACCCACACTAGAGTACAGTGGCATGATTATGGCTCACTGCAGCCTTGACCTCCCCAGCTCAAGCGAGCCTCCCACCTCAGCCCCCAAGTAGCTGGGACCACAGATGTGCGCCACCATGCTTGGCTAATTTTCTTTATTTAAATTTTTTTTTTTTTTTGTAGAGATGGGGTCTCCCTGTGTTGCCCAGGCTGGTCTGGAACTCCTAGGCTCAAGCAATCCTCCCACTTCAGTTTCCCAAAGTGCTAGGATTACAGGCATGTACCACCATGCCTGGCCTGGTAATTTTTTAATCAGAAAACTGAAGCCATAAGAGAACATTTATCGACGCTCTCCAGCACATGTACTCATCAACCAATATTCCACCCATCTGAAGTCAATCCCCTCACTTATGCACTAGATGATCCTATCCCCTCACCAACTCAAGGCCACAGCTCCAGCAATTATCTCCCACTATCCTACATAATTTCTCCCTACTCTTTACTGGATCCTCATCAAACAAACATGCTATTATTTCTTCAGTGTTAAAAAAAAAAATTAAAACCAAATTATTTTCTTGAGCCTTTTTGCCCCACTGCTTCATTTCATTGCTCCCTTTGCAACAAAATTCCCCAGAAGAACTGTATATGTTTTATTTATTTTTATTTTTTTTGAGACGGAGTTTTGCTCTTGTTGCCCAGGGTGGAATGCAATGGCACGATCTCGGCTCACTGCTGCAACCTCTTGCCTCCTGGGTTCAAGCGATTCTCCTGCCTCAGCCTCCTGAGTGGCTGGGATTACAGTTATGTGCCACCACGCCCGGCTAATTTTGTAGTTTTAGTAGAGACAGGGTTTCTCCATGTTTGTCAGATTGGTCTTGAACTCCGACTTCAGGTGATCCGCCCACCTCAGCCTCCCGAAGTGTTGGGATTACAGGTGTGAGCCACTGCGCCCGGCCCTCTATCTCTCTCCTTAGTTTTGAACCCACTCCACCAAAACTGCTTATCAAGGTCACTAGCAACCTCCATTTAGCCAAATCTAATCTCAGTTTTCCTCTTTTTTTTTTTTTTGAGACAGAGTCTCACTCTGTCACCCAGGCGGAAGTGCAATGGCGTCATCTTGGCTCACTGTAATTTCCGCCTCCTGGGCTCAAGCAGTCCTCTGCTTCAGCCTCCCAAGTAGCTGGGACTACAGGTGTGCACCACCACGCCTGGCTAACCTTTGTATTTTTTGCAGAGATGAGGTTTTGCCACGTTGCCTAGGCTGGTCTCAAATTCTTAGGCTCAAGCGATCTGCCCACCTTGGCCTTCCAAAGTGCTGGGATTACAGCAGTGAGCCACTGGGCCAATCCCAGAACATCTCTCGTTTTTCTTTCTATTTCACTACTCAATTTTCAGTCTCCTTTGCTGGTTCTTTCTCTTTTTAGACATGGAGTCTCACTATTATATTGCCCAGGCTGGCTTAACCCCTGGCTGAAGTGATCCTCCCATCTAAGCCTCTTGAGTAGCTGAGACTACAGGTGTGTGCCACCATGCCCCTTCCTCTTCTTCTTGACCTCAATGAAGCCCACCCTACGAACCCCTACTTCATCACACTCCCCATTTGATTACCTTGCTCTATTTTTCTTTTTCCTAAAGCACTTATCACATAACATACCCTAATTTACATATTAATTATGTTTCCACTTACTGTAACAGAGGTTGGGAAACTAGGGCCTGTATGCTAAATTCAGACATCTGCCTGTTTTTGTAAATTAAGTTTTATTGGAACATGGGCACATGCAAAGTCTAAAATATTTACTATCTGGTTCTTTACAGAAAGGTTTGCTGATTTTTGCATCGGAAAATAAGCTCCAGGCCGGGCATGGTGGCTCCCACCTGTAATCCCAGCACTTTGGGAGGCCAAGGTGGGCGGATCACCTGAGGTCAGGAGTTTGAGACCAGCATGGCTAACATGGTGAAACCCCGTTTCTACTAAAAATACAAACAATTAGCCGGGCGTGGTGGTGTGTGCTTGTAATCCCAGCTACTCAGGAGGCTGAGGCAGAAGAATCGCTCGAACCTGGGAGGCAGAGGTTGCAGTGAGCTGAGATGGCACCATTGCATTCCAGCCTGGGCAACAAGAGCGAAACTCCGTCTCAGAAAAAACCAAAAAAACAAAAACAAACCTCCAAAGGGAAAATGATCTTTGTTTTCATCATTGATTTACCCCAAGTTCCTACTACTCTCAATCATTTGTTGAACTGAATTGTCTTGTACTTGGAACTACCTACTGATGGAGTAAAGCAATATAATTCCTTAAAACAAAATTCAAATATTTGAATGAAAGCATAATTCCTAAAATATAACCCATCACTATTACTTTTATCTATCATGAACAGTGACAGCCTACAGATGTTTGAATTGTTTTTCTTGTTTTTCCTTGGAAGATCTCAGAAGCTTCTAACAAGCTCAATTTTCTTCCTGAATCATTGGGTGTGAATTCTTTTGAATAAGAAAAAAAAGTCTTCATATTTCCTCTTTGGAAATTTTCTACTCATCTCTTGTGTTATAGGCAAAAGATGTACCAGATAAAATGGAGGCAAAGGTTGCATTTTATAGCACCTAATTCTAGTTTTTCTGACAAAATTCTGTCTTGGCTTTTCTCTTAAGTTTACTTTGTCTAAATCTCTTAAGGCTTTTCCAGACACTAGTCTAAGATTAGCTTAATACTTAAAAGAAAAGATAAATGCCTAGTGCTAAGCATACCATTAGAATAATAAACTGCCACCCAGGGGAGGTATTTCTGAGAGCTAAAGATTATCTGGCAAGCTATTTGGTGAGTAAGAACAATCACTGAAATCTTTTGGAGGACAGTCTCTAATTCATACTCTTCCTATGAAGTTTATGTGCTACTATCTCATGATTTGGGGCCAGGGGTTGTAAACTTAGGAAAAAAGCAACATTTATTAGATTCTTATTGCTGTCAGATTACACCACAAAAAGTTATGGGAAGTAGAAAAAGGCAAGACAGCAGCCTTTGAAAACCTTAATTCTGGTGGAGAGGAAGAACTATAATAAATGTACCTTACAAGTTAAATATATAGGGGCTTGAGAAAGTTTCAATATTTTCAAAAGGTATTATTGAATTTTTAATGCCTTAGTGGGCCTCAACACTTATGTTTCTAATAGCACTGTATTTACATAACGAATGGCAACTGAAGCTTTGTATAAATATTAAGTTTTGAAAATCTATTAATTTAAAGGGCACCAGAGAAGCTTGGAATTAGCAGGGAAACTATTACTTCTTTTGTATAATAAAGAAGCTTTTGTAAAGAGAACAACTACACCCTAATATTCTGGGTAAATTCAAGTTTTCACGTTTCAGACATGAATGACATAAAAAAGTGAGCTGAGAACTACTGGGGCTTGTAAGTCAATGTCTACTAAAAAAGAAGTAATCAGTTTTGTCTGGCAGACATAGCAAACAAAAGTAGATTTTTGCTGCCACTGTAATATAAATTAAAATTTATATTTTGGCTGCTAAAGGTACACCTTGGAAGTTCAGAAGTCAATGACTGAAGGGCAGGTAGGTAATACTTAATGTTCAGCATTTGCTGGCATTGCTTATAATAACACCCAGAACTCCTAGAGGCTAGTCAAGTGAAGCTGTTGGAGTGGAGAAGAAACAAAGAAATATGTAACTGGTTGTGATCAATTAGTTGTAAATACCAATGCACTTGGACTGGCAGAGAAACATAATTCTATACTTTGTTGTGCGAAAGTTTCTAACACAGAACATGATTTAATGAGCATAAACAGGTACTTTACAAGACAACCTGGTATAAGTTTCTGAGACGATAAGTTCCTTCTGTTAAGTGGCCAATAATTTATAAAAGAGATTCAACAAGCAAGACAGACTGCTCACAGAAGCCACTCAAGTTCCCATGTTTTTTCTGTTTGCTTTTTGCTTTGCATTGAACTGATTTCGACCTAGACCAAACTCAAATGCCAACTTTCTTCCGAGACAGAGTCTCGCTCTATAGCCCAGGCTGGAGTGCACTGGCGCAATGTCAGCTCACAGCAACCTCTGCCTCCCGGGTTCAAGCGATTCTCCCACCTCAGCCTCCCAAGTAGCTAAGATTACAGGTACATGCCACCACACCTAGCTAATTTTTTTATTTTTAGCGGAGATGGGGTTTTGCCATGTCACCCAGGCTGGTCTAGAACTTCTGGTCTCAAATGATCCACCCGCCTCGGCCTCCCAAAGTGATGGGATTACAGGCGTGAGGCACTGCACCCGGCCCTCAAATGGCAACTTTCTAAAGCTAAGACACCAACCCCATTTTCAGAGCCACCCAGAAGTACAGATTTTTGAGGCCACTGACAGTTTAACAATATAAACTTTCATCCTTGCTCCAAGTCTTTTTGCTACATGTCTGGAATGTCCTGTCCTTACTTTGATTAAATCTGTATAAAAATCCAACTTCTCAGCAAAGACTAACTTAACTTGATAGAGGCTGACTACCCCACCCTGTCCATGTCCCATGAGGCTTCCTTTACATACTACCCCACAAAATACACTTACCCCTTTGCTTGTGCATAATGTTAGTACTTTATGTTCTTGTTCAATGTTTGTTCAGTTGTCTCAATATCCTTTATGTCTGTCCATGTCAGCATCATCTTAGACTGAAAACTCCCAGGGGGCAAGGGCCATGTCTGTTTAACTCGTTTTGTACAGTGCCTAGGACAGAACCATGTACAGATCGGTGCTTAAAAAATGCTTTTTAATGATGATTGGCATCACTCTCAAGGACCCTCTGGGCCACAGCTATCTCAGCACATGGTACTTGGCAGTATGGGGCACTTTGGCCTTTTCTACAAGGCACTGGAATATAATGGCACAGGACCTAGCCACAGTACTCTGTGGCCAGTACTTGACTCAATCTGTTGTTAAATGGACATTTTAAGGGAAAAAAAAAAAAGTATTAATTATATGGTCCCAAGCCAACAAACGTGAATTTTTTTTTTCTTTTTTTTTTTTTCTTTTGGCAAGACGGAGATTTACTCTTGTTGCCCAGGCTGGAGTGCAATGGTGCGATCTTGGCTCACCGCATCCTCCGCCTCCCAGGTTCAAGCGATTCTCCTGCCTCAGCCTCCCGAGTAGCTGGGATTACAGTCATGTGTCACCATGCCTGGCTAATTTTGTATTTTTAGTAGAGACGTGGTTTCACATGCCCAGGCTGATCTCGAACTCCTGACCTCAGGTAATCCGCCCGCCTTGCCCTCCCAAAGTGCTGGGATTACAGGCGTGAGCCACCGCACCCGGCCAACAAATGTGAATTTTATTGAAGATATCAAGTAATACAACAAACTTGATTAAAAGTATGTGGGAGGCTGGGTGCGGTGGCTCACACCTGTAATCCCAGAACTTTGGGAGGCTGAGGCAGGTGGATCTCAAAGTCAAGAGATTGAGACCATCCTGGCCAACATGGGGAAACCCTGTCTCTACTAAAAATACAAAAATTAGCTGGGCATGGTGGCGTGCGCCTGTAATCCCAGCTACTTGGGAGGCTGAGGTAGGAGAATCACTTGAACCCAGGAGGTGGAGGTTGTAGTGAGCCAAGATTGCGCCATTGCACTCTAGCCTGGGCAACAAGAGCCAAACTCCGTCTCAAAAAAAAAAAAAAAAAAAAAAGGATGGGGAATCCTAATGCGATAGTAAAGAGTTTTACCTCTTTCTCTAGCATTCCCCACTGTTTTAAACACTACACTTTGGAGGCTAGGTCCAAGAGCCCCAGAAAAGTCGCTTATGTAAGTTTCATCTCTGATTGACTGCTCTGCTGGTAGTTTGAGATTTCACCATCTTTATGTAAGAACAAACATCCTGCAAACTTACGCTGTAAGTTACTTTGCTTAATAACAAAAGGTTAATCATTAGATTGTAAAGAAGGGATATGTTCTTGGACAACTTTTTAGATAACTAAGTTAATTATATATATTTTATTGTAGAAATGGTATCTTGCTATGTTGCCCCAGCTGGTCTCAACCTCTTGGCTTCAAGTGACTGGCATCCCAAAGTGCTGGGATTATAGACATGAGACACTATGCCTGGTCCAAAATAGTATCTGACCAAAAAAAGAAAAAAAAAAGGACCCACAAACAAACCAACTAACCCAAACAACCCTGAAGAATAAAAGACTTCAGGTCAAAGCAGATGAGTGATTATATATATACATATATATATACGATTATATATATACATATATATACGATTATATATACATATATATGATTATATATACATATATATGATTATATATACATATATATGATTATATATAAAAACATATATATGATTATATATGAAAATATATATGGTACATAGTTATATATGCTATATCTATAAATTCATATATTGCATTTCCATGATTAATCACTGAAGATCACCACAGTAGTTCCTTATGATTATATAATTTATGCCAAGGGAAATTTTAAATTTATACTCATAAAATAATAGGCTACAGAATACTTGTGAGCTGTAAGGTCAACTACTAAGTACTTATTAAGCATCTATTGTAAACACATTTTACTACGTATTAAAATAAATGTAAATTATATTTAACACACTAGCTGCTGCCCCCTAGGAGTCTACAATCTAGTTAGGGACAAACAATATACATAAAACAACTGAAAACTTCCAATGCAAAATTAATAAAGATATGATAGTATGGTACAAACTATACAGATGTTAAGAAAATTTTAGGTAAAGATTATGGGGGGGGAGGAGGTAAGGATACAAACAGTTTTTAAAAATTGCTGTTTGTTTTGTTTGTTTTTTTAAATAAATGAATCTTGACCTAAACTTGAAGTCTCTGATGTGAAAAGAAGGCCAATTCCAAGTGAAGAAGAAAAAGCACAACTGAATCAAGGTAAAACCAAGCAGGGCATGCTAAGAAGAGCCTTCTAACTGGAAGTGAAAAACTTTGCTGAAAAAAGTCACCACCACCAATCATCCTTTATTAACACATAAAAACAGCTGGCAGCACTAATTATGCACATACTACATATATGCCAGTTAACTGTATAACACAGTCTTTTTTTCTTTAAACATATGTGTATATTTTTCACATTTTCCATGATGATAATATAATTGTTCTTATTAATAAGAAAAACTGTATTTTAGAAAAGAACAATGAGTTATAAACTTCAGGTAACCATTACCCTGAGGAAGGTAACCTGACATTACCACTGAATTTTCTTCTTCCCTGTATATGAGAAGGTTGTGTATTAGGCTCATTAGGCTGTAACAAAACAAGGTGGGTAAGGATTAGGTTGGGTCTGCTGTGTGAATTGGGACAAAGTGCCATCTCTGGGCCTGAATTTCTGCATCTGTACAATGAAGGTGTTATGTATATCAGAGTTTTTGTAAAAATTAAAATAATTCATATGAAGCTCTTAGTACTTAATGTTACGTAGTAACGATCTTGTGTCAGCTATTATTTCTTCCAGTTCTAAACTATATGGTCACCCCAAAAGGGCAAACGATGTTAAACATTATAGGACAGTGGAGTAGAAGGCATAATCAAAGACAGCAGGTGTCTGAGAAAAAACTTGTGGTATATAGCTCTGGAATACAAATAAGACAATTTCAGGAAATCCTCAGGTGAGAAATAAAGAATAGGTGCCCTTTTCCTTAAAGATCCAGGACAAGGAGCAAAGGAAGGAGTCAAAGGAGCCAAGAAATCTGGCAATGTAAAGGGAAAATGAAGACATCAAGAGAATTTAGATTCTCTTGATAAAGAGCAGTTATCCTCCCCTCCTTTTAAAAAAAGATTGTATAGTTATGTTTTGGACCTGTAATTCAGCTACTTTTATTCATATACAGTGTGTACCCAGAAAGTCTCACACTGTTGAAAGATACTTCTTAAAACTAATCTACTTTTAAGACTTAGGGAGCAAGACCAAACATGATCCAGCAGTAAACAAAAGGAACTCTTATTCTGAAGGTATCCTAGTCATTTGCCTCACAAGAAGGTAACCAATGAGGGCTACAAAAGACTAAATGAAGGGCCAGGCATGGTGGCTCATGCCTGTAATCCCAGCACTTTTGGAGGCCAAGGCGGGTGAATCACCTGAGGTCAGGAGTTTAAGACCAGCCTGGCCAACCTGGTGAAACCCCGTCTCTAATAAAAATACAAAAGTTAGTTGGGCGTGGTGGTAGGAGCCTGTAATTCCAGCTACTCGGGAGGCTGAGGCAGAACTGCTTGAACCCGGGAGGCGGAGGTTACAGTGAGCCAAGATTGTGCCATTGCACTCCAGCCTGGGCAACAAGAGCAAATCTCTGTCTCAAAAAAGACTAAATGAGTTCTCTAACTATAAACTTTGACAACAAAGATTATTCAAAGACTAAATCACTATGGAATAGGACTTAGGTTTTTAAATTTTTCTTTATTTTGATCATACATAGGAACTTCTATATAGCAAAGTAAAAAGAAAACATTTCTCTGAAGGCTAAGTGTAAATATTACTAGAAACTTTTATTAATATGAAGAGAGTACTTGAGTTCTTAAGTCCATATTTGTTTTTTAGGTAGTGAAATAAACCAATGATATATTTTATGAGCAGGCAGAAAAGAAATAGGTTGAGTTCATGTGAGTGACAGAAGGCCATGTGGCTAGAGGAAAAACAATGGGGAGTATTTTTATGGAGTAACTGATACCTTGGGATTTATCAGTCAAAAATATAAAACCCCCATAAAATTGAAGCCATGAAGTTTTAAGTTTGGGGAAAATATATTTCTTACTCTATAGTACCCTTTTACAATCTAAGTATTCTTACTTTAAAATGGTTTAGCCTCCTCACTGATAAAGAAATGTGTATTAAAACTACAATAAGTTATCTTTTCTTAACAGACTGGCTAAAATCTCAGTTTGCTAACACATCCTACTGGCAAAGCATGAGGAAATAGGCACACTCACATATTGCAGGTGAATACACAAAATGATTCAGCACCTGTGGCAGGAAATTTGGCAATACCCAGCAAAATTCTATGTTCAATTTACCCTCTGACTCAGCAATCTCTTCTTGATTGATAACATAAATTTTCTAAGCCAATAAATGAAGAAAGAATGAAAACATTAGAGTGACAATGTTTTGTATTACTTAATGAAACAATGGACCTAGAGGCAATGAAAAATAAATTATCAATCTCTGCTAAAACTAGGTGGAAATGAATAGGCAACTTTACTGAATGGATCAGGCTGATAACACCTATACACACTGATCGGTCTTATCATAAAAAGAACAACTACACATTATGTGCCTTGTGATGTGATGCAATAAGAAGCACACAAACTATCTATCAGATATTCCTGTAAAAAAAAAAAAAATATATATATATATATATATAATAACCTCACTGACAAGATCTAAACACCAGTTTACACAAAATGCAGAGGATAGGGCAACATATTAAACAGCCAAGTGTTCGTAGTGTATCAGCATAACAAAGCCCAGGAAATGAAAAATTCTATCATAACAAAAAAAGGAAAAATGTCTAATATAACTCTACTCAGAGTTCTACAAAATGAGAATGGAAAGAATGGGGGAAAAGCAATATCTGAAGTGATAAAAGCCAAGACTTTTCAAGAATAACCACTTAGGTAGAGAAATAAAGCATAAAACTTAAAGGAAAAAGTAGGACAAATAGAATGCACAAAATCTGATGATAAAAATCCAGCTATATCAGTATCACAATAAATGTAAAAAAGAACCCAAAAGAATTAAAAATAAAAGGATGAGAAGAGATAAACAGGGCAAAATCAACACCACCATTGAAAAAGCTGGCAAAAAAGGGCAAAAAAAAAAAAAAAAGTAACTTTACAGTGGAGAAATGTGGCAAACACTACAACAGCCAAATAATCAAGGTCATAGCCAAGAGGAGTGTAAGGAGACATGACTAAATGTAATGTGGTATCTTGGATAAGATTCTGGAACAGAATAAAGACATGTGAATTACATTTAGTCATGTCTCCTTACACTCCTCTTGGCTATGACAGTTTCTCAGACTTCTTTGCTTTTGATGACCTTGACAATCTTGAGGAGTACTGACCAGGTATTTTGTATAATATCCCTCAACTGGAATTTGTCTGGTGTTTTTCTCATTATCTCTTGGAGTTAGGAGTTTCAGGGAAGAAGACCAGAGAGGCAAAGTGCAATTCTCATTGCATCAGATCAAATGTACATAATACCTACATGAATCATTACTGGTGATAATGACCTTGATTATTTGGCTGTTGTAGTGTTTGCCACATTTCTCCACTGTAAACTTACTTTTTTTTTCCCTTTTATGCTAGCTTTTTCAAGGGTGTTGTTGACTTCGCCCTGTTTATCTCTTCTCACATGAAACTGCGATATATTCCTTTTCCACAAATGAAATATTTCATAATAAAAGAGAAAAAAAATACCTGAGTGAGCATTCTGCTGAGCTTTGGTCAATGCTAAGGCAGCAGATATAACTAGTTCTGTGTATTGATAGCAGCATGTTGGCAAAGGCAATGGGGAAGCAGGCACTCCAATACACCGTTGGGAGATTAAATGGGTGTAATCTCTACAAAAGCCAATTATAGGATATCCATTATGTTATAAATGCACATACCTTTGACCCAGTAATTCTATTTCTAGTCATTTATCTTACAGATGTATTTGCACACATGCATAAAATTACTTCCCAAAGTTGTTTATGAAAGTACTGTCTATAACAGTAAAAGATTGGAAACAAGCCTGTATGTCCATCAATGGAGGAAGACTGATTATATAAGTAATCATACATCTATGTATGAACACAGTTTTTTTTTTTAAAAAGCTCTTTATCCAGGCTACTTTTAATAGAAAAAAAAAAAAGCTCTTCATATATGAATACAAAATGGTATCTACGATATACTGCTAAGAAAAAAAAAAAGTTTAGGCAACCTTGCCCTCTAGTTTCTGATGTGTTCAAATGATAGGAGAGACCAGAACATCAGAGAGTGGTAAAAGTGTTAAAGTTTTTTTCCCTGGTTCCCTCATTGCAAGTAGCTTGCAAGTAGCTTGCTAAACCCTGGGTACTTCCCTCTCCCTTGATGTTCCTTTAACTCTTACGTTTGTAGATTCTGTGTAAGTGTAGGGAGAGAGGGAGAGGAGAAGAATGAAGGAGAGAGAAGAAAAAGAGAAACAAACTGCAATGAAATACCAGAAATTTATAACGATAGTTATAATTTATAACCAAGTAAGAAAACTTACTTGGCACCATGGCTGGCAGACATAGTAGAAAGACTTTTCATTAAATATCCTACTGTACCTCGTGTCTTTGAATTTTTGACTGTGTCAATGCATTACCTGGGGGAAAAATATAAACTTAAACATCAAATGAGTTAAAAAAAAAAAAAACTGCTTATGAGATATTGCAGTTGCTCCATCTTCTCTTTGATGTATTTGCTATTCCTTTCCATTTCTAGCAAAGCAAATATCAAGAAAGAAAAGAGAACAGGCAATTTGTTAGTGCAGGCACCTAGCTATCATTTTGTTTTTTGGCAATACACTTGTCTTTCAATTCTAGTGGTACCAACTCATAAAATTTTTGTTACTTACACATCATTTGTGTAATTTATTAACAGTCTCTCAAATTAATTCAAATTCACATTATCTCTATTAGTTCTTATGGTACTAGAAACTACTTATCCATATGTGGCCTATTAGCTGACTCACTGAGTGACAGTAACAAGAAATTTGCCAGTGTAAAATTCTGGCTCCTTGCTTTATTTGCTGGAAGCCCATGGGCTTCCATTACATAAATTTGCTGAGTCTACTTCTTATCTACAAACTGAGGACAATATCTATTATGCAGAGCTTTCGAGAGGTTTAAATAATATAGGCAAAGTGATCGACATAGTGCCTAGAATGAAACAGAGAATGGAAGAATAGGCAATAGGGGCCTATTAGCAAATGATAGCTATTGATATTTATTGTAAAATAAAATAAAATAGTTACAACTATTAATTTTATATCCTAGATTCTCTAGGAAGGTTTCTCCCAGGAATTGGTCCTATTCATCCCTAGTGAAAATCTTTCCCTTCTAAGCATTTACACTCCACTTAACATTTGACAACCACTTTTTGAGGATGGTTACTGGTAAAATTCTATATAAGAAGTTTCAATTAATGTTTAGTTATAAGAGCAACAATAAAATAAGAGTAGCTGGGCACGGTGGCTCATGCCTGTAATCCCAGAACTTTGGGAGGCCAAGGCAGGCGGATCACTGGAGATCAGGAGTTTGAGACCAGCCTGGCCAACATGGTGAAACCTCATCTCTATTCAAAATACAAAAAATTAGCCAGGTGTGGTGGTGCACACCTGTAATCCCAGCTACTCGGGAGGCTGAGGCAGGAGAATTGCTTGAACCTGGGAGGCAGAGGTTGCAGAGAGCCAAGATCGTGCAGCTGCACTCCAGCCTGTGCGACACAGCAAGACTCCATCTCAAATAAATAATACATAAATAATAAAATAAAGATGACAAAAATTTAACTTGAAAACTAAGAATTTACTCTTAATGAGATATAAGAGAGCTGAAATAGCTATACAAATATTGGTCAAGGGATTTTTATGACAAAATTGCTATTAGAAACAAAAAAGGATATTTTATAATGGTAAAGGGACAATCCATCAGGACGACGTAACAATTATAAATATGTGCACTTGACCTAACAATTATAAATATGTGCACTTAACAGAGCGCCAAAATAAATTAAGCAAAGACGTATGGAACCAGAGGAACAGGCAATTTAACAGTAATTGGAGACTTCTATGCCCCACTCTCTCTCTTTTTATTTAAGACATAAGGTTTTACTCTGTTGCCCAGGCTGGAGTGCAGCAGTGCAATAACAGCTCGTTGCAGTCTGGAACTCTTGGGCTCAGGCAATCCTCCTGCTTCAGCCTCCTGAGCTAGCAGAGACCACAGGCATGTGCCACCATGCCTGGCTAAAGTTTTTCTTTTTCTTTTTTTTTGTAGAGACAGGGTCTCACTATGTTGCTCAGGCTGGTCTTTAACTTCTAGGCGCAAATGATCCCCCCGCCTCGACCTTCCAAAGTGCTGGGATTATAGGCACAAGCCACCACTCACCACTCTATTTTAAATAATAAACAGGTAAAAGATAACAAGGAAATGGAAAACTTGAAAATACCAGAATCAACTAGACATTTATAGACTACTCCAACAGCAGCAGAATACATGTTTTTCTCAAGTGCACATGGAACATTCTCCAGGATAAACCTACGTTAGGCCATTAAAAAAAGTTTTAATATAGTTAAAAAATCAGACAGAGTATGCTCTCTGATCACAATGAAATAAAAAAAAAATCAGTAACAGAAGGACATCTGGGAAATTTACAAATATGTGAAAATTAAACACTACATTCCTAAATAATCAGTGAGTCAAAGAAGAAATCACAAGAAAAATTAGAAAATATTTTGAGATAAATGAAAACCCAACAAAAATTATGATATACAGCTAAAGCAGTGCTTAGAGGAAAACTTCTAGTTGTAAATGACATTAGAAAATGAGAGGCCGGGTGCGGCATGAGGTCAGGAGATCAAGACCATCCTAGCTAACACAGTGAAACCCTGTCTCTACTAAAAATACAAAAAAATTAGCCGGGCGTGGTAGCAGGCGCCTGTAGTCCCAGCTATTCGGGGGGCTGAGGCAGGAGAATGGCATGAACCCAGGAGGCAGAGCTTGCAGTGAGCCAAGACTGTGCCACTGCACTCTAGCCTGGGCAACAGAGTGAGACTCCGTCTCATAAATAGATAAATAAATAGAAAGAAAGAAAGAAAGAAAAGGAGAAAGATTAAGAGAATGAGAAGACAACCAAGGAGAAAAGATCTGCCCAAGACATCTGACAAAGAACTTTTATCCAAAATATCCAAAGAACTCTTAAAGGTCAACAATGAGAAAACTATCACTCTGATTTTAAAGTGTACACCTCATCAAAGAAGATATACAGATGGCATATAAACAAATGCAAAGATGTTTCACATCATATGTCATTAGAAAATTTCAAATTAAAATGAGATACCTCTATACATCTATCAGAATGACCCAAATCAAAAACACTGGCAAGGATGTGGAGCAACAGGAACTCCCATCCATTGCTGGTGAAAATGCAAAATGGTACATGGTACAGCCACTTTGGAGGATAGTTTCAAGGCTTCTTACAAAACTAAACATACTTGTATCATACAATCCAGCAATCATGCTCCTTGGTATTTACCCCAATGAGTTGAAAATTTATGTCCACACAAAATTCTGTACATGGATGTGTACAGCTTTATTCATAATAGCCAAAACTTGAAAGCAACCAAGATGTCTTTCAGTACATGAATGGATAAACTGTGGGACATCCAGACAATGTAAGAGTATTCAGTACTAAAATGAAATGATCTACCAAGCTACAAAAAGACACAGAGGAAATTAAATGCATGTTACTAAATGAAAGACAATCTGAAAAGGCTACATACTGTACGAGTCCAACTATATGACCTTGTGGAAAAGGGAAAACCATGGAGAAAAAAAAAGATGTATGGTGGCCAGGAGCTCGGGGAGGGATGAACAGATGGAGCATAGAGGATTTTTAGGTCAGTGAAACTATTCTGTATAATACTATAATGGTGGATACATGTTATTATACAGTTGTCAAAACCCTGAATCAACCCTTTATACATTATAAATTATACAGTTGTCAAAACCAAGAGTGAACCCTAATGTAAACTATGGACACTCTGGGTGGTAATGATGTGTCAACTTAAGTTCGCTGACTGTAAAAAATGTAACACTCTGGTACAAGATGTTGATAGTGGGGAAAGTAGTCAGCACTCTGTGTGTGTGTGGTCAGGGGTGGAGGCTGGCATATGGTTTACTGTGAACCTAAAAAGGCTCTAAAATCTATTTAAAAATAACAGAAACAGAAAGAGGGGCTGGGTGCAGTGGCATACACCTGTACTCCCAGCTAACCAGGATACTGACGCAGGAAGATCACTTGAGCCCATGAGTTCAAGGCTGCAGTGTACTATGACTGCACCTGTTAACAGCTACTGCACTCCAGCCTGAGCAACATGGCAAGACTGAAAAAGAATAAAGAAGGTGGCTGGGGACCGGTGGCTCACGCCTGTAATCCCAGCACTTTGGGAGGCCAAGGTGGGTGGATCACGAGGTCAAGAGATCAAGACCATCCTGGCCAACATGGTGAAACCCCGTCTCTACTAAAAATATAAAAATTAGCTGGGCGTGGTGGTGCACGCCTATAGTCCCAGCTACTCAGGAGGCTGAGGCAGGAGAATTGCTTGAACCCAGGAGGCGGAGGTTGCAGTGAGCTGAGATCATGCCACTGCACTCCAGCCTGGCGACAGGGCGACACTCCATCTCAAAAACAAAGAAAGAAAAAAAAAAGGGCTAGATGTGATGGTGCACTTTGGGAGGCCTAGCTGGGCTGATTACTTGAGCTCAGGAGTATGAGACCAGCCTGGACAACATGGCAAAACCCTGTCACTATAAAAAAAAAAAAAAATACAAAAACTAGCTGGGTATGGTGATGAGCACCTGCAGTCCCAGCTACTTGGGAGGCTGAGGTGGGAGGATCACTTGAGCCCAGGAAGTCAAGGTTACAGCAAGCTGAGATTGTGCCACTGCATCCCAGCATGTTTGACAGAGTGAGGCCCTGTCTCAAAAAAAAAAAAAAAAAAGGACAAAAAGAAAGATCCCAAGTCAACTAATCTTCTACCTTAAGAAACTAAAAGGAGAAAAGCAAACTAAACCCAAATCAAGCAGAAGGAAGAAAGGACATAAATATTAGGGTGGATAAAAATGAAACAGAGAATGCAAGAATAGAAAGAAAAAACTCTGACAAATCTTTTTTTTTTTTTTTTTTTTTTTTTTTTGAGACGGAGTTTCGCTCTTGTTGCCCAGGCTGGAGTGCAGTGGTGTGATCTCGGCTCACTGAAACCTTCGCCTCCTGGGTTCAAGTGATTCTGCTGCTTCAGCCTCCCAAGTAGCTGGGATTATAGGTGCCCGCCACCATGCCCGGCTAATTTTATATTTTTAGTAGAGACGGGGTTTTTCCATGTTGGTCAGGCTGGTCTTGAACTCCCGACCTCAGGTGATCCGCCCGCCTCGGCCTCCCAAAGTGCTGGGATTACAGGCATGAGCCACCACGCCTGGCCAACCCTGACAAATCTTTAGCTAGACTGACCAGAAAAAAAGAGAAGATTCAAATGACTAAAATCATGAATTAAGGAAGGGGCATTACTACCAATCTTACAGAAATGAAAAGGATTATTAAAAAATACTATAAATAACTATATGCCAACAAATTAGATAATATACATGAAATGGACAAATTTGTATGATACAAACTATCAAAACTAATTCAAGAAGAAATAGAAAATCTGAATAGACCTGTAAGTAATGAGATTGAATTAGTAATTAAAACATTTTCCATGAAGAAAAGCCCAGGACCAAATGGCTTCACTGCTCCCAAACATTTAAAACACCAATCCTTCACAAACTCTTTTAAAAAACATAAAGGAGGGATCACTTCCCAACTTATCCTATGAGCCAGTATGATTCCAGCACCAAAACCAAAGATGTCACAAAAGAACTACAGACCAATACCCATTATGAGTACAGACACAAAAGTTCCCAACAAAGTACTAGCAAACATGACCAAGTAGAACTTATCCCAGGAACCCCAGGCGAGTCTAATATGAAAATCAACCAATATGCCATATTATTAGAATACAGAACAATACTCACATGATTATCAATAGACAGAGAAACAGCATTTGACAAAACCCAACACTTTTTCATGACAAAAGCCCTCAACAAACTACAAATAGATGGGACATCCTCAACCTGATAAAGGCCATCTCTGAAAAACCCAGTTAACATACACTCACGTGTTACTCAATGATGGGTATCCACACACAGGGATAAATGTGTCCTTAGGCCATTTTGTAGTTTTGTGCACATCACAGAGTCGGTATGGTGTAGCCTATTTACACACCTAGGCTATATGGTATAGCCTACTGCTCTTAGCCTACAAACCTGCACAGCATGTTACTGTATTGAATACTGTAGGCAAATACAATGGTATTTGCGTTCCTAAACATAGGAAAGGTACAGTAAAAATATGGTATAAAAGATAAAAGATGGTATACCTGTATAGAACACTTAATCATGAATGGAGCTTCCAAGGCTGGAAGTCTGGAAGTTGCTCTGGGTGATTCAGTGAATGGGTGATGAGTGAATGTGAAGGCCTAAGACATTACTATACACTATTATAGACTTTATACACATTGTACACTTATTACACTGAATTTATAATTTTTAATAATAAATTAACCTTAGCTTACTGTAACTTTTAAACTCTATACACTTTTAACTTTAACTTTGACTCTTTTGTATTAACAGCTTAAAACACATATTGTACAGTTGTGCGAAAAATTTTTTATCCTTATTTTATAAGCTTTTTTCTATTTTTAAAATTTATTATTCTTACTTTTTAAACTTTTTTGTTAAAAACTAAGACACAAATACACACATTAGCCTAGGCCTACACAGGGTCAGGATCATCAATTAATATCATTGTCTTCCATCTCTACATCTTGTCCCACTAGAAGGTCTTCAGGGGCAAAAACAAACATGAAGCTACTATCTCCTATGAGAATAATGCCTTCTTCTGAAACACCTCCTGAAGGATATGCCTGAGGCTGTTTTACAGTTACTTTTTAAGTAAAAGAAGTATACTCTAAAATAATGATAACAAGTGGTTGGGTATGGTGGATCATGCCTGTAATCACAGTGCTTTGGGAGGCCAAGGAAGGAAGGCCCCTGTAAGTCAGAAGAGAGAAATCAGCCTGGGCAACAAAGCACGACCTTGTCTCTACAAAAAATAAAAAAAAAATTAGCCAGGTTTGGTGGCATGCACCTGTAGTCCCAGCTATTTGGGAGGCTGAAGCAGGAGGATCCCTTGAGCCCAGGAGTTCAAGATTACAATGAGCTATGATCATGACACTGCACTCCAGCCTGGGTGACACAGTAAGACCCTGTCTCTATATTAAAAAAATTTTTTTTGCAGTAAGCTGAGATTGCACCACTGCACTCCAGCCTGGGCAACAGAGTGAGACTCTGTCTCAAAAAAAAAAAAAAGAAAAGAAATTTTTTTTTTTTTTTGGCCAGGTGCAGTGGCTCACGCCTGTAATCCCAGCACTTTGGGAGGCCAAGACGGGCAGATCATGAGGTCAGAAGCTCGAGACCAGCCTGATCAACATGGTGAAACCCTGTCTATACTGAAATACAAAAATTAGCTGGGCACGGTGGCAGGTGCCTGTAATCCCAGCTACTCAGGAGGCTGAGGCAGGAGAATTGCTTCAACCTGGGAGGCGGAGGTTGCAGTGAGCCGAGATTGCGCCACTGCACTCCAACCTGGGCAACAGAGTAAGACTCCCTCTCAGAAAAAAAAACAAAAAACAAAAAAACAAAAAACAAACACACAAAATTTTTTAAAAGTAATGATAAAAAGTAAAGTAGAGGCCGGGCGCGGTGGCTCACGCCTGTAATCCCAGCACTTTGGGAGGCCGAGACAGGCAGATCACGAGGTCAGGAGATCGAGACCATCCTGGCTAACACGGTGAAACCCCGTCTCTACTAAAAATACAAAAATTAGCCGGGCATGGTGGCGTGCGCCTGTAGTCCCAGCTACACGGGAGGCTGAGGCAGGAGAATGGCGTGAACCCGGGAGGCGGAGCTTGCAGTGAGTCGAGATCGCGCCACTGCACTCCAGCCTGGGCGACAAGAGCGAAACTCCGTCTCAAAAAAAAAAAAAAAGTAAAGTAGATACATAAACCAGTAACACAGTCATTTATTACCAAGCATTATGTACTGTATAAAACTGTTACATGTTATATTTTTATATGACTGCTAGTACAGGTTTGTTTATACCTTCATCACCACAATCAGGTGAATGATGCATTGCACTACTATGTTACCACAGCTACAATGCCACAAGGTGATGGGAATTTTTCGACTCAATTATAATCTTAGGGGACCACCACTGTGGTTGTTATTGACCTAAACATTAAGTACAGTGTAGTACGGCTATAGTTAACGGTGAAAAGTCGTCAGGCACAGCGGCTCACGCCTGTAATCCCAGCACTTTAGGAGGCCGAGGCGGGTGGATCACCTGAGGTCAGGAGTTTGAGACCAGCCTGGCCAACATGGTGAAACCCCAACTCTACTAAAAATACAAAAATTAGCCAGGCTTGGTGGTGGGTGCCTGTAATTCCAGCTACTTGGGAGGCCGAGGCAGGAGAATCACGTGTACCAACCTCTGCAGTAGGCAGAGGTTGCAGTGAGCCGAGATTGTGCCACTGCACTCCAGCCTGGGAGACAAGAGTGAGATTCCATCTTAGAAAAAAAAGAAAAGATTGGATGATTTCCCCCTAAGAACAAGAACAAGATAAGGATGTCTGTTTTTTTTTTTTCCGTTCTTTCTCTCTCCCTTTATTGTTTGTAGCTGCGACCCCAGGTGCACACCACCATACCTGGCTAATTTTCTGTATTTTTTTGTGGAGACTGGGTTTTGCCATGTTCCCCAGGCTGGTCTCGAACTCCTGGGCTCAAGCAATCTGCCTGCCTTGTCCTCCCAAAATGCTGGGATTACAGTTGTGGGCCCCTAGCCATTTTTTTTTTTTTTTTTGAGACAGGGTCTCACTCCAGTTGCCCAGGCTGGAGTCCAGTGGCATTCTCTTGATACACTGAAACCTCCGCCTCTCGGGTTCAAGTGATTCTAGCGCCTCAGCCTCCTGAGTAGCTGGGACTATAGGTGTGCTCTTAGACCTGGCTAATTTTTTGTATTTTTAGTAGAGATGGAGTTTTGCTATGTTGCCGAGGCTGGTTTCAAACTCCTGCACTCAAGCAATCTGCCTGCCTCAGCCTCCCAAAGTGCTGGGATTACAGGTATGAGCCACGGCTCCCAGCCAAGGATATCTGCTTTCATCACTTCTATTTAATACTGCACTAAAGGTTATAACCAGGGCAATTAGCCAAGAAAATGAAATAAATGATTCACATTGGGCCAGGCATGGTGGCTCACACCTGTAATCCCAGCACTTTGGGAGGCTTAGGCGGGTGGATCACCTGAGGTCAGGAGTTCTAGACCAGCCTGGCCAACATGGTGAAACACTGTCTCTACTAAAACTACAAAACTTAGCTGGGCATGGTGGCGTGTGCCTGTAATCCCAGCTACTGGAGAGGGTGAGACAGGAGAACTGACAGAACCCAGGAGGCAGAGGTTGCAGTGAGCTGAGATCATGGCGCTGTACTCCAGCCTGGGCAACAGAGCGAGACTGTGCCTCAAAAAAAAAAAAAAAAGCATTCAGATTGGGAAACAAAAAGTAAAACTATTTCTGTTCAACAATGACATGATCTTATATTAGAAAATCCTAAGGAATCCATCAAGAAGTATCCAAATTATTAAGCAAGTTCAGCAAGGTCACAGGATACAAGGTCAATTTACAAAAATCAATTGTTGCTGATTGTGTTCCAAGACAGAAAACAAAAATTGTATTCTACATACTTAAACAATCTAAAAACAAAGTTAAGAAAACAATTCCATTTACACAATGTATCAAAAAGAACAAAATATTTAGAAACAAATTTAAAAACTAAAAAAAAAATCTAAAAACTATAAAACAATGTTGAGAGAAGTTAAAGAAAATAAATCTTGCCTGGGCGTGGTGGCTCACACCTGCAATCCCAGGATTTTGGGAGGCCAAGGTGGGTGGATCACCTGAGGTCAGGAATTTGAGACCAGCCTGGGCAACGTGGTGAAACCCTGTCTCTACAAAAAATACAAAAATTAGTCAGGCGTGCTGGCGCATGTCTGTAATCCCAGGGAGGCCGAGGCAGGAGAAACTGCTTGAACCCAGGAGGCAGAGGTTGCAGTGAGCCAACTTCGCACCACTGCACTCTAGCCTAGATGACAGTGCGAGATCCGTCTCAAAAAATAATAATAATAAAAGAAAATAAATCTAGTGTGAATCAGTCCCTTGGGAGTCAAGATCTCTCTACCTTTGAGATGCTCTCCTCTGAATTCTTCTGCCTGAACAAGGTTATTACCAGGTCTCAAAGTTTATGGACAGGTTTTATTTATAAAACAAACTTTTTTCAGTTGGTATTCCTTTCATGTTTTAAAGCAATGGTTTTTAAATTTAATGTGCATAGAAATCACTCAATTATCTCATTAAAATGCACATTTCAGCTGGGTGTGGTGGTTCTTGCCTACATTCTCAGTACTTTGGAAGGCCAACGGGGTTTGGGAGGGGGATCCCTTGAGGCCAGGAAGTTTGAGACTGGGCAACATAGTGATCCCCCTCTCTAAAAAGAAAAAAAAAATTAGCTGGGTGTGGTGGCACGTGCCTGTAACCCCATCTACTTGGAAGGCTGAGGCAAGAAGACTGCTTGAGCCCAGGAGTCTGAGGCTGCAGTGAGCTATGATCATGCTGCTGTACTCCAGCGTAGGCAACAAAGCAAAACACTGTCTTTAAAAAATAAAAATTAAAAAAAGCAGACTTCTATTCAGTAAAAGTGGGGTGGAGGAAGGGGGTGGTGTTCTGCATTCCTAATAACTGCCAGACAATGCTAATGTTGCTGGTCCTCAGATCATACTTTGAGTAGCAAGGTTTTAAGTAGGTACATACATACAACTGGCTTGGCTCACCAGAAAAAAAGAAAAAAGCAAACTGTAACATGGGTGGCAAACAGTGAGAAGGATAAAACTCTGACGAATCCTCTTAAGTTTTTCACAACTGAGTACAATAAGTAACTCCCTATTAACAATGAAGAACATACACTTATATTACCTCTTCATTCCTGCCATGACTAAGTACCAGAAAAGATGCAGAATTGGCCAGCTAGCATCATCCAGACTGGGGCTAAATTCATTTGAAAAGTTAAAAAAAAAACACAAAATCTGCTGCATAGAGATCATCCCATAGAATATTAACCATCATCACCTTTCCCTCTCTGTATCTTCTTTTATTCCTTCTTCTAGTCAGTGTTTATCAAGTGTCTTTGGGGACCAATGGCAGTCCCTGGCAATCTATTTGGTCTACAGACAGTTTGAGAAAAAAGTGATAAAAGTTTTGATCACAAATATTTCACAAATTTGAGGAGATTATGACTTTCACAGAAATCCTTTTAGGTTCTTTATTGCTGTTACATTCTAAGGATCACCCAAGCTCTACTAGGGTAAGTTAAGAAAACACTATCATAATAAGGAAAATGAAAAGGAAAGGGCTAACATACTTCCACATCATGTGAGTTGTTTACATTGGTTAAATATGTATTTTATTGTTACTATCATATTGTGTTAAATCCCAAATTTAGGGAAATGAATCAATGGTTCAAAAGAGTAAAAGTGAAAAATACATTTAACTCAGAATGCCATAAATGATAATAGTATGATTTTATAGTGAAGACTGATCTTAGAATGAGCTGTGACCAGTGAACTAGGAGTGATAACACTGTACTAGGAGACATCCTTGTTCCCACCGTATTGTGATACATTATTAAATAGGGACAAGAAGCCACTGAAGTGTTCATATCATTTTCAACAACTCCAGTAAACCAACCAAAGCCTCCACTATGAATTCTGTCATTAAAAGATCAAAATAATAGTCAAAGGTACTTCTTTTAACAAAACAGATTCAACTACTGTCAGCTGCAAAATTAATGACAAATGTGCTCAGACAGAAACAAAACAATCTACTGGCAAAATTCTATCATCAGATGACACTATCGGACATTACGTGCTACGTGTGTTATACAGAGAGGAAGAACAATTATTATCACAGATGCAGGCTCTTAAGTATTTTGTTTAATGGCTGCATGAAGCCACTAGCGTACAGAGTACGAATCAACTCTTAGTATATACGAATGTAACATGTTAATCAAGAAATACAAGCAACTTTTTAAAAGTTTTAGAAGAAGATATTTTCTTTTAACCAACAATTATTTTTGAAACTTGAATTGAAAAGTTGTGCTGGAATCAGCATAGCTAGAGCACTAGCTTTGTGTGCAGCAATGAAGAGCCCACCACCTGAAAGCCAATTCACACATGGCTTCATTTACAGACAACAGCTGGCTTGAGTCATTGTTAATAACTGCATGGAAAATTGTGAATATAATTAAAATTGCAGCCCTTGAATAGGTATCTTCAGCATGTTAAGAATGCAGCGGCAGGCTGGGCACACAGTGGCTCATGCCTGTGATCCTAGCACTTTGGGAGGCCAAGGTAGGTGGATTGCTTGAGCCCAGGAGTTTGAGACAAGCCTGGACAACATAGCAAGACCCAACCTCTATTGGCGGGGGGGGGCGGGGGGAAGCAGCAGCAGCAAATACTCTGTTTTTCTGTTTTGTCAAGAGGAAATATGCTAACAATACCTACTCAAATGAAGGATATACTTTTTTTTTTCTTTTTTTGAGACAGAGTCTTGCTCTGTCGCCCAGGCTGGAGTGCAATGGTGTGAGCTTGGCTCACAGCAACCTCTGCCTCCCAGGTTCACGTGATTGTCCTACCTCAGCCTCCCAAGTAGCTGGGATTACAGGCGCCTGCCACCACGCCTGGCTAATTTTTGTATTTTTAGTAGACACAAGGTTTCACCATGTTGGCCAAGCTGGTCTTGAACTCCTGATATCAGGTGATCCGCCTGCCTTGGCCTCCCAGTGTTGGGATTACAGGCGTGAGCCACCGTGCCCAGCGGATATTCATTTTTTTTTATAACACTGATGTCATTAAAACATATCTATGATTTTAAGCGGCTAACTCAAGTGCCATACCTCTATGACAGACAGTATAGTGACCAGCTTGAACATATCATTTGAGAGTAAAATTATAATTCTCTCTTTTATTTAAGATTGGTTTCACTCTGTCACCCAGGCTAGAGGGTAGTGGCGCAATCATAGCTCAATGCAGCCCCAAACTCCTGGGCTCAAGTGATCCTCCCAGCTGAGCCTCCCGAGTAGCTAGGACTTACAACAGGTGTGCTCCATCACACTTGGCTAATTTTTTTTCTTTTTCTTTTTCTTTTTTGTAGAGAGACAAGGTTTTGCTATGTTGCCTAGGCTGATCCTGACCTCGTAACCACAAGCAATCCACCCACCTGAGCCTCAAAAGTGCTGGGATTACAGATGTGAGCTACCATGACTGGCCACAATTCTTTTTTGTTGTTCAGACAGGGTCTCACTCTGTCTCCCAAGCTGGAGTACAGTGGCGCAATCACAGCTCACTGTGGCCTCCACCTCACAGGCTAAGGCAATCCTCCCACCTCAGCCTCCTGAGTAGCTGGGACTACAGGTGTGTGCCACCATGCCCAGCTAATTTTTTTTTGTTATTTTTGGTAGAGATGGAGTTTCACCCTGTTGCCCAGGCTGGTCTCAAGCAATCTACTCGCCCCAGCTTCCCAAAGTGTTGGGATTACAGGTGTGAGCCACTGTGACCCGCCACAATTTTTTTTTTTAGCACGGCGTCTCGCTCTATCTCCCAGGCTGGAGTGCTGTGGCGCTATCTTGGCTCACTGCAAGCTCTGCCTCCCGGGTTTACGCCATTCTCCTGCCTCAGCCTCCCGAGTAGCTGGAACTAGAGGCACCTGCCACCAAGGCTGGCTAATTTTTTTGTATTTTTAGTAGAGATGGGGTTTCACTGTGTTAGCCAGGATGGTCTCGATCTCCTGACCTCGTGATCTGCCAGCCTTGGCCTCCCAAAGTGCTGGGATTACAGGTGTGAGCCACCGCGCCCGGCCCGGCCACAATTCTTAGTAACAAAATATGCAGACTAAATAATGATACAAATGGCTTAACCAAAGAGTTTTACTCTTTTCTTTTTTCTTTGAGATGGAGTCTCGGCTCTGTCGCCCAGGCTTGTGTGCAGTGGCACGATCTTGGCTCACTGCAACCTTTGCCTCCTGGGTTCAAGCAACTCTTCTGCCTCAGCCTCCTGAGTAGCTGGGACTACAGGCACACGCCACCATGTCCAGCTAACTTTTGTATTTTTAGTAAAGACATAGTTTCACCATATTGGCCGGGTTGGTCTCGAACTCCTGACCTCGTGATCTGCCCGCCTCTGCCTCCCAAAGTGCTGGGATTACAGGCGTGAGCCGCCACGCCCAGCCAAGATTTACTCTTTTCTAACAACTAGGTAGACTTAAAACCATATTCAATTACTGCACTAAACCTGAAAACATATTTCCTAGAACTGAATTCAACCAAAAGGACAGATCTACACATTGCCATCTCCAAAATTAAAATACTCAACTTTGCTTTCGAGTGCCATACACTTGTCAACTTGATGTAGTTTTCAGTGAGAATTCTTGTAATAATTTTTGTGTCCATTTGAATATCTAAAACATCTAATAGAAATATTTAATTGTTGCTCTTCCCAACTCTATAATTCAAAGGTGGGGCTATCTAATTTAGTACAACTAAGAGCAAGAAAAGAAATCAGTTAAATATGAAACCTTAACTTGGACTTTAGTGAGTCTTTCACCATTCATGTGGTGGTACAATAATGTGAACAATCATTGCTTTTCCTGATACTGATTTAAAAATACTTCTTTGATCTTACAATAAAAACATTTTGAATTATTCTTTTGTGTTTATCTAAAATCAGTGGTATGCACTGAAGACCCATCACATGGTCCACAAATTCCAAATGTTTGAAAACACTACTTTCTCTACTACACTACTTCCCCTTCAAAGGAAGCTATCATTTCTTCCTGTGCATGTTAGAGAAAAACAGAGAACCAAGGACATTTTGTTTGCCCTTATTATTAATCTTCTCATATTAGAAAAGCACTTCATTATCTGCATTTATGTTGCCACATTTTCAAAAACATTGGTCTGATTTCAGTATGAATAGCACTTATAAAAAACAATATATATAATAATTATTTCCAATTTTTCCTGAATTCCCTCTGCCCCCAAAGACATTCTTTCCTTATGACCTTCCCAGAACCCAAGCTGCCTTCCTATACCTCTTGGTTACAGTCAAGGGTTATAAAAAAATGTTTAACAACTGGCATGGTATAAACACCAAACCAAGAGATTGACACCAATTTATAACTGTATGGCTGTAATGGAACAGGCTCACTAAATATCAGCCTTAGTTATACTGCTGCTAAAGAAGCAGCCTTAGAATGCTTCTTGTAAGCAGTCTGCTATACTTTTTTTCCATGCTAGGCCTGTTCTCAAAGATCTTTGGTTATTTCTTACCTGCCACTTCACAGAAAAGGGATAGCAGGGTTCATGAAAGAAACCACATAAATTGGATTCCAAAGATGAGTTTAACGTCACATCTTATTAAATATTTAATTTCTCTACTTTTATTCCTTAAAAGGAAGAATTAAGGAGAAGTATTAGAACATACTACTGCTTTCTTTCTCTTACACCGTCTCCAGATAATTAAGCTAAGTTAGTTTTTTTTTTAAAAGTCAGCTTTTTATTAGAGCTTTGTTATTCAATTATATCCACACAGGTATGCAAGTTCTTTCTCCTTTCTATCAAACAGACAGTTAATACACAGGCAAATGGATAAATTTGGGGATATATTAAGGATACTGTAAACTGTTAGCAAAAGAAATAAATGTCTGACATTCAGAGAGGAAACAAGAGAAAGGGAATATAGAAATTCACACCCTAAAAAAAAGAGGTGGTTCATTTTAAAATGAACTTATAAAGTTATATATAATAACATCAACTATATCTGTGTTGTTTTTAAAGATATTCTTACCCAATTTTGGAAAAACTATTAGGTATTCAGCATTGCACTGAGGACATGCCACTCTGGCTGTACTGTTTCCTCTTTGCTTTTCATCCACCCAGCGTTGTAGACAGGCCTGGTGAACCCATTTTGTAGATCCTCTGCACCTGCATGGTCTCACCCATTCAGCTGTTCTATCATCTTCATCAGTAGCAAAACAAACCCAGCAACTTCTGTAAATTAAAAGAGAAAAGGATGACATTTATATCTTTAGGACTCCAGCCTCCTCTATACTGCAGCTCTTACTTAATGGGATGAGCCTGCTATGTTATATTACAGAATCTCTGTCCTATATTAAAAGACTAAGGAGACAAAACAACCAATACATTCCCACTAGAGCAGTTTCTACTTTTTCTGTTTTTCCTTGTCTTCCTCTACAGAACTTATGTTTTCTGAACTTTGTTTTTATGTAATCTCCTCTATCTTTTCAGTAATTCTTCACCTTCTCTAATGAACCAGAGTGCAAGGAGACAAACCTCAAGTTGTTTTTGTTATAAGACCTAATAATTCTTTGAGGAATAGTAAGCACAGTAATATATTAAATTCAGTGTTCTCCCCAGTTCACCACCACCAATCCCTTGAACTTGGAAAAACAAAGTATTACACGAGTGATTTCACATACAGTCTCATTCCATTTTTCAGCTGAGGAAAAAAAAACCCATTTTTCTTTCCGGTAAAGTATAAACATGAGAGAAAACAATATTACATTTTCAAAAAAGCACAAAGGAGATAAATATATCAAGATTTTTTTTTTTAGAATAGCAATATGATAAATTTGGGCGTGTATGCTTGAAATCTGAAATCTAGAAGTATCAAGTCTGGGGTGCTTATATTAATAAAAATAAAATTCTATTGAGATCGGTAATTTTAAAACATTTTCCCACTTTGCTTTTAAGGGTACTTCATGAATTGTAATTTTTTCTTGTGGAATTAGGTTGTAATTCCTCAGTTTTTCTCCCAATTAACACAAGTTTTGACATCGATTTCCATCAGGGCAAATACAGTTCAATTCAATGAGACCCTTCGCTCCTCCCCTCCATTAGAACTTGTACAAGTGGAAACAACTGCTAATTAAAGCATGTTACCTACTGTGCACTTTTTAATTAATTGGATAAGTGGCTTCTGTCAGAACAACTAGCTTAACTATGCTCAGTGGGAAAGACTATATACTCAGGTATTATAGATGGGTGAGGTTCTCCAGTCCTTGTGGAACAACATGAATTTCAATTGTGTGCTCCAATTACAATTTTTCAATTAGAACAGAAAAAAAGTTGAACTGAATCCAGGGCATCAATATCCAAAATAGTTGTTTTATTCAGCTTTCAAATTCAGTCAGGTTTCATAAGATCTAAGTAAAATTAGAACGTAGGTAGCATTTGTTTAGCATTCTGACCCTTTTGACCCACTTTAGCTAAGCTGTCTGGGCCTTCACATTGTCTTATGGTTGTCCAAAAATACTTTGTTCTTTTTTAAAAAATTTTATCGTCAAATAGACATAGCATAAAATCTACCATTTTAGCCATTTTTTAGGTGTATAATTCAGTGGCAGTAAGTATATTCATACTGTTGTGCAACCACCAAGACTACCCATAGTAGGACTGGGTTCTAACCTATGATTTTTGCATAAAATTTCAATTGGTAAGTATACTAGCACACAGGCTGGTTAAGATGTTGTTAGTATATATTTTTCCCCACAACTGAGGTAATTTTGTGGACATATTTGTATACATCTAGGAAATGGAATGTATCATTTTAGCAACAAAATACTGGCAGAATATTTAGAGACTCTTTAGTCTCATACTTTCTTAACACAAACGTAAATAAGAATAGCTACATCAGCATAATTAATCAGTATTATGGTGAATCACATTTTAAATTAATCCAATTTCAGTCATCAGAAAAATAAAATACAATGTTAGGACTAGGTTGAACCAACTGAAATAGTCTACATTAATCTGTTTCTGACTTACAGAAAAGATAGGTCAAATTTCATATTTTGATCTAATGAGAATACTTGTGTAGCTATTATATTCCTTATAAATTCTAGATAAGGTTTATTTTTCCCAAACATTTTATTATGAAAAATTTCAAACTTTCCAAAAAAAGTTAAAAACTGTTCAGTGACTACCCATATACCCAACATTTAGATTCTATAATTCTTATTCTGCTATATTTGCTTTCTCACACATCCATTCATTATTCTTATTTTTTGCTGCATTTCAAAGTTGCAGGCATCAGTATATTTCAGTCCTAAATACTTGTACAGATTTACTTTTTAGAACTGACATTTAAAGCATGCACTTGGCCGGGTGCCGTGGCTTAAGCCTGTAATCCCAGCACTTTGGGAGGCTGAAGCGGGCGGATCACAAGGTCAGGAGATTGAGACCATCCTGGCTAACACGGTGAAACCCTGTCTCTACTAAAAATACAAAAAAATTAGTTGGGCATGGTGGCGGGTGTCTGCAGTCCCAGCTACTCAGGAGGCTGAGACAGGAGAATGGCGTGAACCCGGGAGGCGGAGCTTGCAGTGAGCCAAGATCGCGCCACTGCACTCCAGCCTGGGCAACAGAGCAAGACTCCGTCTCAAAAAAAAAAAAAAACAAAAAACAAACAACGCACGCACTTATGCACTTTCAGTTTTTTTTCTAATTAATTTCACAACTATGGTAAATAAGATAGCTGAATGATGATTCAGAGTGCGTACTTATCAGGAGTTAGGCTTTCAGTTGAAATAGCAGTATTAGAGGCATGTGAACCAGAGCAACTCCGTCTTGATTGAATAGGAGCTGGGTAAAATGAGGCTGAAACCTACTGGGCTGCATTCCCAGATGGTTAAGGCATTCTAAGTCACAAGATGATATATGAGGTCAGCACAAAATACAGGTCATAAAGATACTGCTGATAAAACAGGTTGCAGTAAAGCCAGCTAAAACCCACCATAACCAAGATGCTCACGAGTGACCCCTGGTCGTCCTCACTGCTACACTCCCACCAGCACCATGACAGTTTACAAATGCCACGGCAACGTCACGAAGTTACCCTATATGATCTAGAAAGGGGAAGCATAGGCTGGGCGCGGTGGCTCATGCCTATAATCCCAGCACTTTGGGAGGCTGAGGAGGGCGGATTATGAGGTCAGGAGATCGAGACCATCCTGGCTAATATGGTGAAACTCCGTCTCTACTAAAAATACAAAAAAATTAGCCAGGCGTGGTGGCAGGTGCCTGTAGTCCCAGCTACTCGGGAGGCTGAGGCAGGAGAATGGTGTGAACCCAGGAGGCAGAGCTTGCAGTAAGCTGAGATCGTGCCACTGCACTCCAGCCTGGGTGACAGAGTGAGACTCCATCTCAAAAAAAAAAAAAAGGGGGGAAGCATAAATAATCCTCTCCTTGTTTAGCATATCATCAAGAAATAACCATAAAAATGGGCAACCAGCAGCCCAAAGTCTTGCTCTGTTGCCCAGGCTGGAGTGCAGTGGTGGTCTCGGCTCACTGCAACCTCCGCCTCCCGGTTCAAGCGATTCTCATGCCTCCGCCTCCCAAGTAGTAGGATTACAGGGTGCCCGCCACCATGCCCAGCTAGTTTTTGTATTTTTAGTAGAGATAGGGTTTCACCATGCTGGCTAGGCTGGTCTTGAACTCCTTACCTCAAGTGATCTGCCCACCTCAGGCTCCCAAATGCTGGGATTACAGGCATGACCCACTGCGCCTGGCCACACACAGCTAATTAAAAAAAAATTTTTTTTTTAGAGACAGGATCTCCTTATGTTGCCTAGACCAGTCTCAAACTCCTGGGCTCAAGCAATTCTCCTGCCTTGGATTCCCAAAGTTTTGGGCGTGAGCCACTGTGCCTGGCCAAATATGTTAAGTTCTAAAGAATTTATTAACTGATTTGCTATCTTACTAGTTGTTTAAATTTAATCTACCTAGTATGGAAAGAATAGCAGTCTATGAAATGAGGACTGGGCAAAGGGGAAATTAAAGCATGTAAAAATGGTCACACAAATGTCTTTAGGCCGATATCAGCATATAAGAGTGTGACTAGTCTTAAGGGCTAAAAAAAAGGAGGGGAGGGCACGTGCGTGCATGCACGCGCACACACACACACACACACACACACACACACACACACAGATGTTTTCTTTCCTTATTTTATGAGATGGGTCTGGCTCTGTTGTCCAGGCTAGACTCCAACTGAAATCCTGGGCTCAGGTGATCCTCCTGCCTCAGTGTCCTGATTACCTAGGACTGCAGGCATATAGTCTAGCTTCCTGCCCCCTCCCCTGCCCTTTTTTGAGACTGAGTCTCACTCTGCCACCTAGGCTGGAGTGCAGTGGTGCAATCTTGACTCACTGCAACCTCTGCCTCCTGGGTTCAAGTGATTCTCCTGCCTCAGCCTCCCTAGTAACTGGGACTACAGGCATCCACCACCACGCCTGGCTCATTTTTGTATTTTTAGTAGAGATGGGGTTTCACCACCTTGGCCAGGCTCGTCTTAAACTCCTGACCTCAAGTAATCCACCTGCCTCGGCCTCCCAAAGTGCTGAGATTACAGTCATGAGCCACTGCGCCTGCCCATCCGACTGACCAGGAACATCACCTGGGAAGGTCTTATAATTATGCTTTCCCTTTTTGCTTCTCCATACCCTACCCCTCCCACTCTATGTAATTAATCTACTTCAACGATTTATTCCCCAATTCTCTACCCCCTTCCTTTTAAGATGGAGAAGAGCTATTTGAAAATGATTCATTTATAATTTCTCAACATCTTGGAATGGAGGGGACAGTAGAAATTTGATGTTTAATGTACATACAACACAAGTCCTTCTACCTTCTAGGAGTAAATAGTATCCCATGCTTTCTATGGAAAATCGCTCTTCCCTCCAACATTAGCCGTGTGTGTGGTTTAGGCAGTGAATACCATAACCAACCCCAGAAACACTCAGATTGGCCGCTGTAGCCTATCTTCCAGACTACATCATTGGGAGGCTGGGTCCATAAAGCTGGTCTTAGTGAACCTCAGAACTTTTGCTGGGAAAAGTGGTATACAGACTTTCTCTCTTCTTCTGGGCTTAGAAGCAGAGAATGTGAGGCTATTGCTGACAGGAGAGCCACCAACTAAGTGGAGCCTTAAGAATCCAGAAGAAGTGAAGGTGGAAACTGACGGCATTGAGACATGGATCAAGATGTGCTGTGCCTAAAGCTAAATATATTCTTGTACTGTTAACTCACATAAAGCAGTAGATTTTTGGGTTTTTGACTTAACCAATTCGCATTGCATCATGTGCAACCAAAATGATCTTGTTACTGTGTTGGGTACTAAGAGATGGCCTCAGTACAATCATAGAATGTAAACTCTAAAGAGTTTTTATTATTTTTGAGACAGGGTCTCACTCTGTTGCTCAGGTGAGACTGCAGTGGCACAATCACGGCTCACTGCAGCCTGGACCTCCTGGGCTCCAGTGATCCTCCCACCTCCGCCTCCTGAGTAGATGGGACTAGTTTTTGGTTTTGTCTTTTGAAATGGAAAATAGCCAATTAATTATTAGTCAAAACCAAAACACTCAAAGTCCATACCCAAGGAAAAAGGAAGTTGTAATTTCTGACCAAACTAAGAGTTTCTCCTTACATCTATTTTTCCTCTTGTTTTCTCCAATCCTCTGACTCTCTCAGAACTCAGTCCTCAGTGTGATGCATAAGCATCACCTGGGGACTCATTAGAAATGCAAATCTTTAGGCCTTGCCCCAGACCTACAGAATCAGAAACTCTGGGGGTACCCAGCACTTTGTTTCAATAAGCCCATCAGGTGATCATGATCCCGAAAGTTTGAAAACTTCTGCTCTAGCCATTCTTCCTTCCTTTTTTCTGATTTTTCCTTTGTAAATATTCTTTTTTTTTTTGGAGACGGAGTCTCGCTCTGTTGTCCAGGCTGGAGTACAGTGGTGCGATCTCAGCTCACTGCAACCTCTGCCTTCCAGGTTCAAGCAAATCTCCTGTCTCACCCTCCCGAGTAGCTGGGACTACAGGCACGTGCCACCACGTCTGGCTAATTTTTTGTATTTTCAGAAGAGACGGGGTTTCACTTGTTAGCCAGGATGGTCTCCATCTCCTGACCTTGTGATCTGCCTGCTTAGGCCTCCCAAAGTGCTGGGATTACCGGTGTGAGCCATCGTGCCTGGCCCTGTAAATATTCTTAACTCACCGTAACATAGAAATCAAATTGTTTTATGCTCACTGTAAACATTTTTAAATTATTTGGTTTTTAATTTTAAACAATAAGTAAAATGCTTAAGGTATTTTTTCCTAAGGAAACAAGGTTAAATTAATTTGGGGAAAAAGATAATGCGAATTCAGGATATTCTAGCTGGTTAAAGAACCTGGACTTTGGAGCCAGATTGTCTGGGTTCAAACCCCTGCTAACTACATAGGTTTAATGATAGAATCTCTTTCACAGAGTTGTTGCAAAGCAGGGGTTCTTAATCTGGGGTCCATGAAAAACTTAGGGGGTGGGGATCGGTAAATCTGAATGAGGGGAGAAAAACCATCACGTTTATTTTTGCTAAGCTCTAAATAAAATGTAGCTTTTCTTCAATAATGAGTGCAAGCAAACCACAGTAATATTAGCAGCACAGCAATTAGAAATGAGTATAGCAACCAGAAATTTTCATATTACTTTACAGCTGTAGAGATCCCGAAATAACTAATTTCAAATTACAATGAGCTAAATGTTATCAGGCCAACTGATAAATCTTGTATTTTAATGTGTTAAAGTTCATATTACTATTTTAGGCTTTTAATATTTTGATAGCTGTACTTCAATATAATTGGTTTCATTTCTAATCCTATATATTTTGTTTTATTCTTTCAAAAACATTCTGAGAAGGAACCCATAGGCTTAACCAGACCACCAAAGGAGTTTTAGCATAAAAAATGTTTTATGTTAAGGTCCCCTATTGTAAAAGATTAAACATGTGATTAAGAAACTGCTTAAAAATTGCCTAGCACATATATAACCTCCATATGACCACTAGCAATAACAACATTGACAATGATGACAGTGATGGTGTCAGCTTTCCATTCAAGTTCCTAAAATTTATGGATGCAGTTTTCTTACCATTAGCACATAAAGCAATTCTACTTGGCACCCTGGCATTCAGTGGAAAATGTTCTGGATTCCTAGTCATTTCCCCAATTTTTCAACAGGCCACGCCACTACTTAAGATCTTAAGATTCATTTAAACCCTTTCAATTCATTTTCTTTCACCCTTATTACCCTTCTGGTAGCTTTTCTAAATGCCACCTACTTGCTGATGTTACTCCTACACCATCCTATTCACCAAGTTGGGGCATATTCATTTACAAAGCAAAAGGAGATCTGGGAAGTATCATGATTGGTTCAGGGAACAAAGAACAAATCACTGTCATTATATGAAGACAACAGAAGAGAACTAAACTAGACAAATCTAAGGACTATTACTTATTCCTAAGAACAGATGTATAGTCTTACTGGTATGGGTAATATAATTCCATGTGATTTTAAAATTATGATGGTTTTTGCCAGTTATATAGTAAACTAATAAAGAGTAAACAGTAAAATTTATAAACAGTTTAAGGAATATACATGACAAAATTGCCCTAAATCTAACATTATTCAAGATCTCCTCCTAAATCCACTTGAGTACCTAATAAGTACATTCATTATTTGATGCCACAAGGAACTACATGTAAGGAACTTCCAGTCTAGTTAACGAACAAACATGCATACGAGGATCACAAAAAAACCACTATACCAAGCATTAAGTGCCAAGAAAAGTTGTTAGAAACCTTAATACAGAAATGTGATGAGAGACCAAGAAACAGGATGAAACAGCTGAGGTTTCAAGAAAAGGAAATAACTACAGATGAGAATTCAAGTTAGAGTGGAAAGAAAAGGTATTTGAAGAAAAACAGAGTAAGCAAGCTTAGAGATGGAAATGAACATATATTCATAGACCAATGTGGTTGGAGCAGAAAGATTTTAAGATGAAGCTAGATATTACAAACCAGTTGGGAAAGGATGAATAACAAAGACAATCTCACTTCACAGGGTTCATTTGTGACTAATTTACAGTCTATCTGATCAAACAGGTTAATTATTTTTAAAGTATGTAGAAAAAAGTGAGGGGGGCTTTATTTATCAAAAAGATAGTTTCTCACTGGCACTAAATTAAGCAAGATAGGTACAGTAACTTAAAAAACAGCTGGTAGTAAAGCCTTTGCAGACTCAAACTGCAGGTGTTTCTTTTGGATTCTTAGGAAATTCTGGGAAATCAGACTCCTGCCTGAGAAATCACTGTGATGAAAATTGGAATGTAGCAGAATAGAAGAGTGAGAATATAGAAAGCAAGCGTGGAATAAGCTTTAAATTGCTGCTGTTGTATTATATATGGTGCCATAATAGTGTATTTACATGACTGCTCTAAGGAAAGAGAACAAGCACTCCTCAATTTAGAACAAGTTTGGAGATTCATACTGTGGTTAATGTAAGGAGGGCTCTATTTGACAAAGAAAAAGACTACATGTTAGGCCGGGCACGGTGGCTCACGCCTATAATCCCAGCACTTTGGGAGGCCGAGGTGGGTGGATCACCTGAGGTCAGGAGTTGGACACCAGCCTGACCAACATAGAGAAACCCCGTCTCTACTAAAAATACAAAATTAGCCGGGTGTGGTGGTGCATGCCTGTAATCCCAGCTACTCAGGAGGCTGAGGCAGGAAAATCGCTTGAACTCGGGAGGCGGAGGTTGCAGTGAGCCGAGATCGTGCCATTGCACTCCAGCCTGGGCAACAAGAGCAAAACTCCGTCTCAAAAAAAAAAAAAGAAAAAAAAAGAAAAAAGAAAACTACGTGTTGCTTATTTTGTCTCAGGATTAAAAGTGTCACACCCAAGAATTGTGAAACAGAAAGCACACTATTAGGGAGACTAATATGTCCGTTCATCCTAGTGGAATGGAAGTTAAAGTACCTGGATCTATCAAAGACATATAACCACAATCATGACACATTACCAAAAAGAAAAGGTGAGAATACAGTCAGCCCTCCAACTGAGGGTTCTGCATCTGTTCATTCAACTAATCTCAGGTAAAATACATTTGGAAAAAAAAGAGTCTGTACTGAACATGGAGGGACTTTTCCTTGTTATTATTTCATAACAATACAGTATAACAACTATTTGCATAGCATTTACACTGCATTAGGTATTTTTTTTTTGAGACAGAGTCTTGCTTGTCACCCAGGCTGGAGTGCAATGGCGTGGTCTCAGCTCACCGCAATCTCTGCCTCCCGGGTTCAAGCGATCCTCCTGCCTCAGCCTCCCAAGTAGCTGGGATTGCAGGTGTGTGCCACCATGCCCAGCTAATTTTTTTGTATTTTTAGTAGAGATGGGGTTTCACCATGTTGGCCAGGCTGGTCTCAAACTCCTGACCTCAGATGATCCGCCTGCCTCAGGCTCCCAAAGTGCTGGGATTACAGGCGTGAGCCCCTGCACCCGGCCTGTATTAGGTATTATATGTAATCTAGAGAGAACGTAAAGTGTACAGGAGGATGTGCATAGGTTATATGCAAATACTACACCATTTTATATCAGGGACTTGAGCATCTACAGAGTTTGGCATCCTTGGGAGGTCCCAGAACCAATTCCCCACGAATACTGAGCAATCATTTATTGAGTATAGTATATTCATGCCGTGCCTTTTGTCTTTGATGTTCATAAACTCTGAAAGCACAATTAATCCCATCTTAAACAAGAACCAAAAGCCCAGAAAGGTTAAGTGATCTGGCCAAGGCCACACAGTAAGCAGAGAGGCATGGATGCAACCTGGGCCATGACTCCAAATCATCAGCTTTTTTCACTGCACCATGCTGCCCTATGTATAGTGTATTCAGAGAAAAATTCACATTTACATTTCCCATTTCTTAGAAAATTACAGCAGTACAAAAAATACGTGTTTCATTTTACTAAGGTACTTTAAAGCAGCCATAATGTGCTTCCTCCAGAGAGGCAAATCCCTTTCAGTTTACTCCAATGGGCCATATAAATATTGTCATCTATGTGAACTACGGCATGTAAAGAATTAGGAGGCAGGTCAGGCGTGGTGGCTCATGCCTGTAATCCCAGCACTTTGGGAGGCTGAGTGGGGAGGACTGCTTGAGACCAGGAGTTCAAGGCCAGCCTGGCCAAAACAGTGAAACCCTGTTTCTACTAAAAATACAAAAAATTAGCTGAGCATGATGGCACACACCTGTAATCCCAGCTACTTGGGAGGCTGAAGCATGAGAATCGCTTGAACCCGGAGGCTGCAGTGAGCCAAGGTTGCACTACTGCATTCCAGCTTGGGCAACAGAGTGAAGGCTCTGCCTCAAAAAAAAAAAAAAAAAAGAATTAGGAGGCACTGAAGATGAACTGCTACATGAGTCTGGAGAAGAAGAGAAAAATATTTCTGCAGACATGGTCAGAAGAGCATTATAAACAAGGCAGAACCTAACTAGGTCTTGAAAAATGGGTAGAGCTTTGAAAGAAAAGATGCCAAACAAAACCCAAAAACAAAAACCACCTTATGTTTGGAAGAAAGTGCGCAAGCCAGTTTGGCTTGGGCAAAAGACTTGGGTACTTATACACTTATTCATAAAGAGAAGAAAGGCTTTAAAAAGGCAGTTGGTGCCAGCTATGTACGGCATATCTTAAACATAATAGGGAGCATAATAAATGGTCTGTGAATAATGGTGAGTGTCCTGAAGGACAGGCTAAAGAATATGATCTCTTTTTTTTTTTTGAGACAGGGTCTTGCTCTGTGGCCCAGGCTGGAGTGCAGTGGCATGGTGCAATCTCAGCTCACTGCAACCTCCATAACCTGGGCTCAGGTGATCCTCCCATCTCAGCCTCCCCAGCAGCTGCAATTACAGGTGTGGGCCACCACACCCAGCTATTTTTTCTTTCTTTCTTTTTTTTTTTAAGTAGACACAGGGTTTCTCCATGTTGCCCACGCTGGTCTCAAACTCTTGGGCTCAAGCAATCTGCTCCTCTCGGCCTCCCAAAGTGCTGGGATTACAGGCATGAGCCACTGAGCCCGGCCAGATCTTTTTTTCTTTTCTTTTCTTTTTTTTTTTTGAGACAAGGTCTTGCTTTGTTATACCCAGGCTGGAGTGCAGTGATGTGATAATGGCTTGCTGCAGCCTCAATCTCCCAGGCTCAAGTGAACCTCCCGCTTCAGCCTCCTGAGTAGCTGGGAGTATAGGCATGCACCACTACACTGGTTACTTTTTTATTTTTTGTAGAGACGGGGGTCTTAGTATTTTGCTCAGGTGGGTCTCAAACTCCTGAGATCAGGCGATCCTCCTGCCTCAGCCTCCCAAAGTGCCCAGCCCTGAACTTAATCTCAATAAGCAGTAAGAAAATACAAGTTTTGAGCAAATGAGGCAATTTAAAAAAATGGTGCTTCTGCATGATTATTCTAAGCACTGATATGTCACAAAGAATGAAAAGAAAGACATCATGATACAAAAGAGGGTCTCCTATGCACTAAGGCCCTTGTGGGAAAATAGGATAGGGAATACAGGCAGTTTCTGTTCTCAGTGAACTTCCAGATGAATATGTGTGTGTGTGGGAAGCTCTGAGACATGGGACAAGTATATTAAAAAATTTACAGTACAATGTGATACACTATAATAAATGCAACAAGGTTCTATTGAAACACAGAAAGGAGTTATTAACTCTGTTTGGGGGAGCTGTGCAAGGTGTCACTGTGGTATTTCAGCTGAATTCAATATGGGTAAGACTTCACCAGGTGTTAGGAGGGAGGAAGGCACCTAAAGCAAAAATAAAGAAATGAAAGAGCAGGATATGTTCAGGGGTCAATGAAGGGGAGTGCAGGAAAGGATGGTTAAGGTAGGTTGGGGCTGGATTATAGTAACAGATCAAAGCACGTTACCCCGTTGAAAGTTTACGTTTTATCCTTTTACGTGACACAGAGACTGGCAGATTTTTAAGTATAGAAATCGCATGATTATAATTGTGCCTTCGCTAATTCTAGTGCCACTCTGTAGGCCAAACTGGACCAAGTGAAAAATTGAAGCTAGAAAAAGGAAAATCAACAATATGTGATGAACAAGTGGATCTGGAAGGAAAGAAGGCAGCAAAAAAATGTAAATAGGCCGGGCAAGGTAGCTCATACCTGTAGTCCTAACACTTTGGGAGGCCAAGGTAGGATTGGTGGAGAACAGGAGTTTGAGACAGCCTGGGCAACATAGTGAGACCCGTCTCTATCCCCCTCCCCACCAAAAAAAAAAAAGTTTAAAAAAAATTAGCTGGGCATGCTGGCTTGCCCTGTGCTCCTAGCTACTTGGGAGGCTTGAGCCTGGGAGTGCAAGACCCTGTTTCTTTAACAAAAACAAAGAAAACAAGAAAAACTTATGTTTTGGCTAGCTTCATGCCTGTAATCCCAGCACTATGGGAGGCTGAGGCAGGAGGGTCACTTAAGCTCAGGAGTTTGAGACCAGCCTGGGCAACACGGCGAAAGCCCGTCTCTACTAAAAATACAAAAATTAGCTGGACATGCAGTCCCAGCTAGTCAGGAGGGTGAGGTGGGAGGATATTTTGAGCCGGAGGGTGGGGGATGGAGGTTGCAGTAAGCCGAGATGGGCCACTGCACTCCAGCCTGGGCGACAGAGCCAGACCCTGTCTCAAAAACAAACAAACAAATAAAATTTATGTTTTATAGCTGGTGGACAAGAAGACTGGTAATATCAAAGACCAAAAATTGAGAAGTCAAGATAAGTAGCTTAGTTTTAGATTGATTGGCAATACTGTATACACACAAATGGAAATGTCCACTGGGCAGGTAGAAATTAGGTGCTAAAGGAAATGAGGAAAAGAGGTCAGGAATAAAGACACAGATCTGGGAGTTGTTTGAATAAACAGGAAAGAGAGTGAGTAAGTGTACTTTCTCAAAATAGTAAATGCTGAGAATTGAACCATACATAGAAATTGAAGGAAGAAAAAGGTAACGTGATTCTGAAGGATAAAAAGTCCTGAAGAAAATGTCATTATATTTACTAAGAAATTATTGGTGACCTTTAGTATACATATACATATATAGAGAGAGAGATCGTGCAGTGGCACGATCTCAGCTCACTGCAACCTTTGCCTCCCAGGTTCAAGCGATTCTTGTGCCTCAGCCTCCCGAGTAGCTGAGATTACAGGTATGTGCCACTATGCCCTACTAATGTTTGTATTTTTTGTAGAGATGGGGATTCGCCATGTTGGCCAGGCTGGTCTTGAACTCCTGAGCTCAAGTGATTGGCCTGCCTCGGTCTTCCAAAGTGCTGGGATTACAGGTGTGAGCCACTGCACCCAGCCCTTCAGTACACTTTCAGTAGAGCTAATGACAAGAAAGGGGAATGAAAGTCAAATTATCAGGAAAAATAATAAAGAGAAAATAAGAATCTAAATGTCATAAACGAGACTGGATTAAAAAAGAAAAAAGGCCAGGTGTGGCGGCTCATGCCTGAAATCCCAGCACTTTGGGAGGCCGAGGCAGGTGGATCACGAGGTCGGGAGTTTGAACCAGTCTGGCCAACACAGTGAAACCCTGTCTCTACTAAAAATACAAAAAATTAGCTGGGTGTGGTGGCACGTGCTTGTAGTCCCAGCCACTTGGGAGGTTGAGGTGGGAGAATCAATTGAACTCAGGAGGTGGAGGTTGCAACAGTGAGCCGAGACCACGCCATTGCACTCCAGCTTGGGTGGCAGGGTGAGACTCTGTCTCAAAAAAAAAAAAAAAAAAAAAAAGTTGAAAGCTGGATGTGGTGGAACACACCTGTAGTCCCCCACTTTGGGAGCTTTGGGAGGCCGAGGCGAGCGGATCACTTGAGCCCAGGAGTTTGAGACCAGCCTGGGCAACGTGGTGAAACTCCATCTCCACAAAAAAAATACAAAAAATCAGCTAGGTGTGGTGGTGCACACCAGTAGTCCCAGCTACTCTGGAAGCTGAGGTGGGAGGATCACTTGAGCCTGGGAGGTTGAGGCTGTAGTGAGCCGTGACTGTGACCCTCCACTCCAGCCTGAGCAATGGAGTAAGACCCTGACTCAAAAAAAAAAAAAAAAAAGTAGTCTATTAATATACTTTTCTATATAAAAGCATTAAACCAAGAAGGATGGAAGAATATAAACCCATTTTATGATAGTGGAGTGGGGATGAGAAGATATGCCATTGGGGATGGTGGTCAAAGGGGATTTAATTTTATCTATGATGTTTCCATTTTTTACATATATCTGGAAATAAATATAATTGATGATGATTTTTAATTCTGGGCATTGGTCTGTAATTGTCAACATGGTGATGTGATTGAGAAAAAGAGGTCAACTGACAAAGAAAATGTGAAATTGTTTATACAGCATGCTCCTATCAGAGTATAGCTTCCTTGGTCTTCAAAGGGGTATACATCTGTGGATAACACTCTCACAGAGGCAGAATTCTAATTCACTATACCATTGTGGGAGGGGGCTGGAAGAATAGACCACTCTCTCTGCTCTTTCTGCCATCTGACCATTCTGGGGACATTCTGGCTACACTCCTTGCCTATTTACTAGATGCAAGTAAGTGATGCAAAACAACCTCAACAAATTAATGCGTGTTTATTTTAAGACGGGGGAAGCAGAAGTAGTTTCCAAAAGCATTTCTCAGTAGGTCCAGGCTTCAAATCAGAGGTCCATTCCTGCAGTTTGTTATAATATTCTTTGCATTGTTCTCTGTAAATTCACTCCTAACTTTGAGAAGTTTTAGAGAAAAATGAGAATGTCGGTGGTCAAAGAGAAAGTAATATATAACAACTTCTTATTAAAGAATTGAAGCAATGAAAGACAGAAGAGCTAACTAAGGTTCAAAAGGCCTGACATAAAGGGTTTGGGCTTATGAATGGTTATCATTTCAGGGAAATGATATTTGTGACACTGAAACATTCACGACACTAGAAAAATCACCCCCCTTTCCACCATTCTTGTTTCCCCACAACAACTTAAAAGGTTCAAATAATAAATTTACATAAAACACTTATAGTTTATAAAAACGAAAGGCAATCCAAAGAATATATATCCATATGGTCAGGAGTGGTGGCTCACCCCTGTAATCCCAGCACTTTGGGAAGCAGAGGTAGGTGGATCACCTGAGGTCAGGAGCTCGAGACCAGCCTGACCAACATAGAGATACCCAGTCTCTACTAAAAATACAAAATTAGCCAGGCGTGGTGGCACATGCCTGTAATCCCAGCTACTCCGGAAGCTAAGGCAGGAGAATCACGCGAACCCGAGAGGCGGAGGTTGTGGTGAACCGAGATCGCGCCACTGCCCTCCAGCAGCCTGGGCAACAAGAGCGAAATTCCATGAAAAAAAAAAAAATTCCATATATATATGTATGTATGTATATATATACGTATGTATATGTATTCTTTCCACCTACAAATATTACAGTAATCAAAGTTACCAATATAAACAAATAATAGCTAAACTAAAGTGAGTTATTTGCAAAGGACAAGGGAATTCAACTTCAGCTATTAAGAAGTTGCCACAGGCCAGGCACGGTGGCTCACGCCTGTAATCCCAGCACTGTGGGAGGTCAATTCCGGCAGATTACGACGTCAGGAGATCGAGACCATCCTGGCTAACACGGTGAAACCCCGTCTCTACTAAAAATACAAAAAAATTAGCTGGCCTTAGTGGCGGGTGCCTGTAGTCCCAGCCACTCGGGAGGCTGAGGCAGGAGAATGGCGTGAACCCAAGAGGCACAGTTTGCAGCGAGCCAAGATTGCGCCACTGCACTCCAGCCTGGGCGACTGAGCGAGACTCTGTCTCAAAAAAAAAAATAAAAAATAAATAAATAAATAAATAAAAGAAGTTGTCACCAGTTGGCCCAAGTGACAGAGTGAGACTTCGCCTCAAAAAAAAAAAAAAAAAAAAAAAAAGAAAAGTTGCCTCTAGTTTAAAAACCCTGAAAGATTAAATGGTATAAATTGAACATACCATTCATATTACAATTAAAATAGTCTTCACTTTGACAGTTTAGACAACACAAACACCCCTGGAATTGAAGCTCCATAAGGGCATTTTTGTTATGTTCAATTCACCACTATATACCAAGGGCCTAGAATAGTACTGGGCATATGAAGACACTCAGTATTTGTTAAATAAATTCAATAAGTGTAAATGTTTAATAATTGATTTACTGAAAAATAACATTTTTTTTTAAGACAGGGTCTTGCTCTGTTACCTGGGCTGTAGTACCCAGGGGCACAAACACAGCTCACTACAGCCACGACCCCCAAGGAATCCTTCCACCTCAGCTTCCTGAATATTTGGGACCACAGGCATGTGCCACCAGGCCTGGCCTAATTTTTAACATTTTTGTAAAGACTGAGTCTTGCCATGTTGCCCACACTGGTGTCTAACTCCTGGGCTCAAGCAATCCTCTCATCTCGGCCTCCCAAAGTGCTGGGATTACAGGCATGAGCTACTGTGCCTGGCCTAAATAAAATACGTAACTTAACCTAAAAGCAACAGAACAATATGTAACACACAGTTCCTTAGTCTTCACGAAGATAAAACCTGCATTAAAGAAATAAACAAATGAACAGTTATCTGAGCTAAATTCTGTCCCTCAAAAATTGCCACCAAAAACCAGGTTGGGGAGAAGCCAAATTCATGAAAAGAATTCTGGGTCCTAATAGGCTGACATATTTTAGTCTCTTGGCCCTGTTGGTATTCCTCAAGTGAACCATGTTGAGTATCTTTGTGTTCAACTTGCAGTAGGGCCAGCCCAGGTGAAGAAAGCTGTAAACATAAAGTAGATGGGGGAAAAATGGCCAAACTGGTTTACATTAGTCTTAAGTGCCTTCTATTTGGCTAACATAGAGTGTTTTGCTGTTTTATAGAGATGTATGTTTCATTTGCTGTAGCCCTGTGAAGTAGGGTTCTCATTTTATAAATGATAATATACATAGTGTCAGAATCTAAGTTCAAAGTCACATAGCTAGTAAGTGGCAAAATTCGAATTTCATACTTTCTATCTCTGAGCCCAAGCTTTACTCACTATACCCTACTATCTCTTATCATGAAAGATATCACTGACTTAGGACTTAGGGCAGTAGGTTTCTGCCATATCTAAAACATTTAAAAAGCTTTAAAATATAGATGCCCAGGCTCTACCCTACAGAAATTTTTGATCTTATTGGTCTTACAGTCCAGCATCCATGCATATTCTGAAATGCTCCCCAGGTAATTCTAACATGGAAGTAGGTTGCCAACTACTAATCTAGACAATAACGGTCTTTGAAAGTCATGTTAAAAATCTACCTTAAGGTATGTCAAAAGAGTACAAAGATGAGAGTAGTACAAAGATGAGAGTAAGCCAGTGTCATAGTCACCTACTTCAGTAAATGGCAGCCAGAATCTTCGCATTTCTGTTAATAAGTTTTAAATGCCTCACTAGCTTTTTTTTTTGAGATGGAGTTCCACTCTGTCACTCAGGCTGGAGTACAATGGTGCGATCTCAGCTCACTGCAACCTCCGTCTCCCAGGTTCAAGCAATTCTCATGCCTCAGCCTCCCGAGAGTTGGAACTACAGGCCCACGCCACTACGCCTGCCTAATTTTTGTATTTTTTTTTTTTTTTTTAGTAGAGACAGGGTTTCACCATGTTGGCTAGGCTGGTCTCAAAGGCCTGAGCTCTAGTGATCTGCCTGCCTTGGCCTCCCAAAGTGCTGGGATTACAAGGGTGAGCCACCGTGCCCAGGCTCACTCTTTGGCTTCTTACTTTTATGGAAATATCCAAAGAGCATATGAAAAGTTAGGTCAGCTTTTGGACATAAGAACTTTTCTAGGCTGGGCACGATGGCTCATGCCTGACAATCCAGCACTTTGGGAGGCTAGGCGGGAGGATCACTTGAGCCCAGGAGTTTGAGACCAGCACAGGCAACATGGCAAAACTCTGGCTCTATAAAAATACAAAAAATTAGCTGGGCATGGTGGTATGTGTTGTGGTCCCAGCTACTAGGGAGGCTGAGGTAGGAGGATCACCTGAGCCTGGGAGGCGGGGGTTGCAGTGAGTTGAGATCATGCCAATGCCACTGCCACTGCCACTGCATTCCAGTCTGGGCAACAGAGACCCTGTCTCAAAAAAAGAAGAAAAAAAGTCACTATGTAAAAATGAAAAGCAGGAGGCCCTCAAAGGAAAAAAATTAACTACAAAATACCCCACATCAGAACAGGGTCTCAACAGAATAGAACTGGCAGTGGCAGGTGGTTTCCTCTGGGCATATTTTAATTTGCCACAATTTGCCAATTTACAATGAAAGGAAAACCTGGTAAATTATCAGACCCCCTAGACAACTGGGGAAACTGACAAATAAGTTTGTGCATTAGTTCATACAACAAATACTTACTGATTACCTACTGAGTACCAGGCTCTGTTCTGGGATTCAAGATAAACAATAGTAAGTTTCTGCTTCCAAGAGCTTATAAACCACACACATATCACACACATATATATATAAAGCAGTCAATACAATTGTCAGGATGTTGACCTGAAACAAGGGCTGGATGAATCACCAGTTATCTCAACTGAAAAAAATCAGTGACATAATTCCTATTAACTGAGATGGCTCAAAATTCTAAGCTCCAAAAAAATGTCTGTCACTCTGGAAGGATGTGTACCCTTGGGTCATTTGTGTTCTGGGTGTGGCAGGCCCAAAAGCATTTAACTGGGTATAAACTCAATTAAGGGAGGGCCTTCATTTAACACCTTACAGTTGGAATTTTACTGAGTACAAAGAGTTGGTACCACCTGCTGAAATGGGTGGCAAGTGGTGTCTATTGAGAATTGTAAGCAACCACAAACATCATGAATTAGCTTGTACAACTTGCTATGCCAGGAAGTAAGACTTGGCTCGGGGGAAATGTGGATCTAGAGTCTCCAAAAACTCATGGTAGGACCCACGGACCAGAATTTCAACAGCAGAGGGCGGTGCACCCGACTTCACAAAGAGTTTTACCGACTGGGGCCCCCCAAGAATGGGCAACTGGACTCCTGTACGAGCTGAAACGTCTTCAATGAACTCAACGATCGTCAAGTACACTAAATGTTCAGCGTTGGACTCATTTGGCTGTTTTCCATAACCTCTACTCTGGTCTGACCGTTAAATCTCCCTTGCGGATACTCTGACCTTACAGTTCGGAGGTGGGGACGGGATGGGGCGGGGGGGACGGGGGGTGCGGGTTCAGGGAAAGTGGGAGAATGAAATCAGCCTATCAGGCTTTCCAAAAGAATGCTTATCATTGGTTCTCAGACAGAGACTTAAAATTATAAGGGGGTCATTCCCCTGAAAGATAACCCGGTTCTTGCCAGTGACATCGCTGACAAACACTTCACAAGTTGGGGAGGGGGAAGGGGGAGGGGAAGAGGGTAAGGAAAACTAATTTTGTGGATTAACAGGAGTCCCTCTCAGGTCAAAACGGGGTTCCAAGGAAACCAGACGCCACTCCTTAGCTAAGTTTCACCCAAAGTCTACGACCCAGGCCGCTCGCTCTGTCCTCCCCCAGGTCTAGACTCCAAACTTTTTGCCCCTCTCACGGCCCCCTGGCCGTGGAACTCCTCCCGGCACGCCGGGTTCTGCTCACCAAGAGCCTCGAGGGCGGGCGCGGGCAGGGCCAGAGCGAGGGTCGGCGGCTCCCGGTCCCCCCCACAGCTGCCCGTACCTGTCCAGCATCTGCTGTAGGGCTTGGTCCGGCATCTTCCGCGGAGCCGGCGCACACGGCCTTCCCCAGTGGACCCGCTCAAGGCCAGGCCCAGGGACAATAGCACTGAGAGGCGGCGGAGTAGGCCGCAGTCCGGCGGCAGCCGCGAACCCGTCACCCAGCTTCCCGGGGCAGCTCCGCTAGCCTGGCGGCGGCGGTGCAGGGCCTGCGGGAGTCCGGCGGAGGCGGCGGAGAGCGAGGAGGAGGAGCCTGAGGCGGGGAGGCGGCGATCGCGGCCCGGGTTCCCGTCCGTCGGCCCGAGGTTCCGGTCCATGGACCGCGGGCGCCGAGTTGCTGCCGGCGGAGGAGCTACCTTTGTGAGGTAAGAGTCGCCGCCTCCGTGCGCGCCAGGGTTACGACGCAGGGCGGCCCAGAGCAGCCTGGGAGATGTAGTCTTCGGACCGTCTCCACTAGAGGCTGCACAGCCCGCCCGGACCAACGCCTCCGCGCCTGCCGCCGTCTGGCCGGCGCCCTCCCGTTTCCTTCCTCCAGGGGGAAAAAATGTCTTTCGGGCCGCTTTCCAGGAAGCAGCAGGATGCGCCGCTCCACTGTCGGTAGCAACAAGGTCAGCCCTCCCTGCCTGTTTGTTTTTGCCTCCGCTCTTGCCCTCAGGTGGGACCGAGCCAGGTGAGGGGAGGGGGCTGAAGGGCCATTTCTTATCAGGGTCCCCGGCCCCGGCCGTGGCGTCGGGGCGGTCAGTGGCGGCAGTGGGGGTGGCAGAAACTCCTTCCGAAGCCCCCGGCGCTGGAGCCAGCCTCTCCTGCGGCAGAGCCCATTTTGGGGGAATTACACCACCTCCGCGAGGGGTCGGTTGGTTTGGTGCGTGAGGTTCTTCTTGAGGGGGCGGGCAAATAGGGACTGCCTGGACCAGACAGCTTCCACCCGAGTCTCTCTGTGTGTTTGGGGCTGGGGAGTTGGGGGAAGGAAAGATGATTCTCTCCCTCTCCAGGAACCTTCTCAAATGTGCCTGGGCTTTCCAGGGCTCGCCGACAGTCTCCAAATGGAACACGTTGGTGAATAAACAGCTCTTGCTTACTCAGCTGTGGGTTGTCAGGGATGTTTGTTTCTCTCTCTGCTGCTGGTCACTGTTAACCGTTTCTAGTCGCGTTGACACCTTCAAGCAGGTGGATTGGGAGTGGCGGGGGTGGGGAATCAAAAAGGAGAAATCATCAGTCACTCCTTGGGTCAGCTTCTGACGTTCGAGGGATAGCTTTGGCGGGAGGAAAGAGCTGTCGGCTCAAACGAATGCGTTTTTTGGACGACCTGTGGCGTTTTCTCTAGGGCTGTGATTGGTAGGACGCTGGTAGTTTTCCCTTGATTATGTCTAATATCTGCTACAAGGTGTTTGATTTTTTAAAAAATGAAAATGTGTTTTTAAAGCTCTTTTTATATGTAGAATTTTACAATCAACTTTTCATTATCTGTTCAAAATTTGCGAAGTATATTTGAACTAGAGTGTTCATTGCTGGGAAAAAACAACAAACCCAAAAAATGTGACCAGAAGCTTACTTGGCCTCCAATTTTTGAAATATGTTTTTGAGAAACAGCACCCACCCCCCCCCACCACACACATACACACACACTCCTCCTAGGGAAAGAAAATGAGTATTTAGTTTAATCGGGGTGTCTAATATTTTATATATATTTGTATTATATATAATATATATGTATTATATAATATATAATACATTTATAATATATAATACATATATACATTTATAATATATAATACATATATATATATATATATATATATATTTTTTTTTTTTTTTGGTAGAGACGCGGTCTCGCCATGTTGCCCAGGCTGGTCTTGCAACTCCTGGGCTCAAGCGAGCCACCCGCATTGGTCTCCCAAAGTGTTGGGATTACAGATGTGAGTCACCGCATGTGACCAGTGTCTAATATTTTATTTAATTAATTCATTTATTTAATTAATTCATTGATTTTGAGAGATGGAGTCTTGCTCTGTTGCCCAGGCTGGAGTGCAGTGGCGCTGTCTTGACTCACTGCAAGCTCCACTTCCTGACTTCAAGTGATCCTTCTAGCCTCAGCTTCCCAAGTAGCTGGGACTACAGGTGTGTGCCACCACACCCAGCTAATTTTTGTGTTTTTTAGTAGAGATGGGGTTTCACTATATGTTGACCAGGCTGGTCTCGAACTTCTGACCTCAGGCGATCAGCCCGTCTCGGCCTCCCAAAGTGCTGGGATTACAGGGGCGAGCCACCGCGCCTGGTCTATTTTATTTTTTTGAGACGGAGTCTCGCTGTGTTGCTCAGGATGGAGTGCAGTGGCACTATCTTGGCTCACTGCAGTCTCCTCCTCCGGGTTCAGGTGATTATCGTGCCTCAGCCTCCGGAGTAGCTGGGATTACAGGCTCGCACCACCATGCCTGGCTAACTTTTGTATTTTTGGCAGAGGCAGGGTCTCACCATGTTGACCAGGCTGATCTTGAACTGATCTCAGGTGATCTGCCTGCCTCGGCCTCCCATAGGGCTGGGATCATAGATGTGAGCCACCGTGCACAGCCCGGTGTCTTAACATTTTAAATTATTATTTTTTGCTCCTTGTGCTGTGTCAGTCTAACCTTATTGTGTACTTATTTCTTAAGCAGTTGTCAGCCATGGGAGTTGGATATATACTTCCTGCTTAAAAACAGAATTTTATCCCAGCATATGGATTAAGTACACTAGTACAAACTCCAAGATTCTAAGATCTTAACCAATGTTAGAATGTCTGTTTCAACTGAAATTGGAAAATATGATACCTTTTGTTGATAGCAAAGACTTGTGCACCTTGACCTTATTATACCAACAAATGGATTTTATGTTTGCATTTTTATGAAAAATCAGCTTTCTGGCTGTGTCAAAAACCTTTTAAAGTAGAAAAAAATCCTGTTACTGGTCTAAAGAGTGATTAGCATGTGACCCAGTAATTCCACTTCTAGGTATTTTCAAGAGAAATGAAAACATGTCTACACAAAATCTTGTTTGTGAATGTTCATAGCAGCATTATTCTGGGTTTTTTTTTTTTTTTTTTGAGACAGAGTCTCGCTTTGTCATCCAGGCTGGAGTGCAGTGGCGCCAGCTCACTGCATCCTCAGCCTCAGGGGCTCAAGCACTCCCCCTGCCTCAGCCCCCCAAGTAGCTAGGACTACAGGGGCGCACCACCATGTCTGGCTTAAAAAAATTTTTTTTGTAGAGATGGTGTTTTGCCATGTTGCCCAGGCTGGTTTCGAACTCATGAGCACAAATGATCCTCCCACCTCGGCCTCCCAAAATGCTAGGATTACAGGCATGAGCCACAGCACCTGGCCTACAGCATTATTCTTGATAGCCAAAAAGTGGAAACCCAAATATCCACCAGTTGATGAATGGATAAACCACATGTGGTGTATCATACAATAGAATATTATTAGGAGAAAACAAGGAATAAAGTTATGATACATGCTATAACATGAAAGAACCTTGAAAACATTATACCAAGTGAGAGGAGCCAGTCACAAAGACCACATATTGTATGATTCTGTTTGCATGAAAAGTCAAGAATAGGCAACTCCATAGAGACGGAAAGTAGACTAGTGATTGCATAGGGCTGAAGGAGTTGGGGAGAAATGGGGAGTGACTGCTAATGAGTATGAGGTTCCTTATTAGAGGGATGAAAGTATTCTAGAATTAGATAATGGTTCTGGTTATATAATTTTGTGAATTATATCACAAATAAGATAAAATTAGATTATGGTAATAGTGGCAAAACTGTAAATATACTCAAAAACCCATTGTACACTTAAAAGGGGTGAATTTTAATGTTACATAAATTACATCTCAATAAAGCTTTTAAAAGAGTAATTAGCTCCACAGAAAATGTTCATAAGGGTATCTGAAAAGAAGCATATAAACAGATAACTGATAATTCTTTATTATCAACTTTGTTTCTTATTAGTATGGGCAAAAATAGTGATTGATAAAACTCAGAAAATAAATTAATCCTAACATTTGAAATGGGTGACACATATTGTGTGAATTTCAATATTGTTTGTCAGCTTTGTTTTTTGTGGTCTTACATTTTCCAATAAGACTCAGAATAATTGGAATTACAATATATTCTCTGATTTTGAAGGAAAAAAGTCTAGATTATTAAGACCTTAATCTGACCAAAACCACATTGAAATGCACTCCTGCATTTATATGTAGGGTTGAAAATCTATGATAGTGGCGCATACCTGTAGTCCCAGCTACTCAGGAGGCTGAGATAGGAGAATCGCTTGAACCTGGGAGGCGGAGGTTGCAATGAGCTGAGATCGCACCACTGCACTCCAGCCTGGCAACAGAGTGAGACTCCGTCTCAAAAAAAAAAAAAAGTCTATGATAAATGATATTCAGCCAAGAGAGTAACCAGCATGACTATAGACAAAAACAACTTTTTCCTCAGAGATATATTTTGAAATAGAAATTAACCTACAGAAAATATTTAAAGATTCTCCCAAGTTCAGAGGACAAGAACAAAGCTTGATGATGTAGAGTTCTAAAGAGTTGGGATTATAGGCGCACACCACTATTTTAATAATTCTGTAATGGATTTAGAGATAACTGAGTATGAGCTGCTCTAAATATGTCAGAAAATTTAAAATAATATACCACTCTAATGTTCTTCCATCATACTTGTTTTGAACTGTCTACCATAAAGGGGCCTGGAGTATTCGTTACAGAAATGGTATAATATTTTTAGGTGCCTTCTAAGGAGAACTGTCAATTGCCAAATTTGGTGATAAACTGCAGGCTGAGTCCTCATTCCAAGCTACAGAAAGTTTTTTTTTCATTAATTCCTTCAGCAGGTGTTTCCAGAAAATATATGCATAGGTATGCTAGTAGCAAATTATAACTATACCTATGTTTTTTTTTTTTTTTTTTAGATAGAGTCTTGCTCTGCTGCCCAGGCTGGAGTGCAGTGGTGCCATCTCAGCTCACTGCAACCTCCCACTCCCAGGTTCAAGAGATTCTCATGCCTCAGCCACCTGAGTAGGTGGGATCACAGGCATGCATCACCACGCCCAGCTAATTTTTGTATTTTTAGTAGAGATGAGGTTTCTCCATGTTGCCCAGGCTGGTCTTGAACTCCTGACCTCAAGTGATCCACTTGCCTTGGCCTCCCAAAGTGCTGAGATTGCAGGCATGAGCCACTGTGCCTGGCCTATAGCTACCCTTCAGAGGCATACAATCTACATACCTAAATATGTTTATATTTAGAAAAATAAAAGCAGGCTGGGTGTGGTAGCTCACGCCTGTAATCCCAGCACTTTGGGAGGCCGAGGTGGGCAGATCACAAGGTCAGGAGATCGAAACCATCCTGGCTAACACAGTGAAACCCTGTCTCTACTAAAAATACAAAAAATTAGCCGGGCATGGTGGCGGGCGCCTGTAGTCCCAGCTACTCGGGAGGCCAAGGCTGGAGAATGGCGTGAATCCATGAGGCGGAGCTTGCAGTGAGCCGAGATTGTACCACTGCACTCCAGCCTGGGGACAGACTCCCTCTCAAAAAAAAAAAAAGAAAAAAGCAAATAAAACAGAGTATAATAATGAAATATTGTATAATGATAACATGATAGCATTTGAGGAAGTGTCAAATAAACAGCATAGAAATTTAGAGTGATGTAGAAGTTCCACTGGAAACTGTTGTGGACTGGTGTGTTAAAGAGAGCTTTGTAAAACCAATTTAGGCTCTACTTTGTAGCAAGAGGAGTAATTAATGTAGGTGAAGAGGTAAAGAAGGATCTTGGGTCTGGGTAAGAATGAAAGGATGTAAAGAAAGAAGTTATCCTTTATAACTTGAACTATAGATCTGTTATGTAAGCGGAAAATATGAAGGGCTGGTGCTGTGGTTTGAATGTGTCCCCCAATGTTCATATGTTAGAAACTTAAATTCTGGCTGAGCACGGTGGCTCATGCCTGTAATCCCAGCACTTTGGGATGCCGAGGCGGGCAAATCACTTGAGGTCAGGAGTTCGAGACCAGCCTGGCCAACATGGTGAAACTCCATCTCTACTAAAAATACAAACATTAACCAGGCATGGTGGTGTGTGCCTATAATCCCAGCTACTCGGGAGGCTGAGGCAGGAGAATCACTTGAACCCAGGAGGCGGAGGTTGCAGTGAGCTGAGATTGTGCCGCTACACTCCAGCCTGGGCAACCGAGTGACACTGTGTCTCAAAAAATAAAAATAAGAAAGAAAGAAAGAAAGAAACTTTAATGCAGCAGTCTTGAGAGATGGGATTATTAAGAGGTGATGAGGTTGTGAGGGCTCTGCCCTCATGAATGGATTAATATAGTTATCAAGGGAATGAGTTCATTATCTTGAGAGCAGGTTTGTTATAAAAGTGAGTTTGGTCTTCTCTTGCTCTCTGTCTTGCACTTTCACCATGTGATTCCTTCTGCCATATTATGGTGCAGCAGGAAGGCTCTTACCAGTTTATGCCCCTTGATCTTGGACTTCCCAGCCTCCAGAACTGTGAACCAAGTAAATTTCTTTTCTTTATAAATTACCTATTCTCAGGTGTTCTGTTATAGAAGCATAAAATGGACGAAGACAACTGGTTAAATCGGGAGAATAGTTAAAAAACCTTGAATCTATTAATTCATTTAAAAAATATTGATTGTATGTGACAGGCGCTAAGCTAGGGACTGAAGATACAATGATGAGCAAAAACAAGCACAGTTTTTACCTTGTTTGTGGGGTTTATAGTTTATTATGAGAAGGATTATCACATAAATAAATGTATCAAATTGCAAATGTGGTACATAGTGTTGTGAGAGATTATAACTAGGATTTGACTTAGACCAGGAGGTCATGGAAAGTTTCTCTGAGGTAGTGTCTGTTATACCGAGGCCCCAAGAAAAGCAGGCATTAACTAGATAAAGGGAAGAGGGAAGAACATTCCAGGCCAAAGAACAGCGTGTACAAATGCCTTGTGAAGGAAATGATGAATAGAAGAAACTGAAACAGAAAGGAGATCTTGAGGCAAGAGAAAACCAAAAATATCAGTGAGTGAAAGGCTGTGAAACAAAGAGCTTTGTAGGCCAGTTTAAGGAATTTTGCCCTACCCTAGGAGAGGAGGAAGCTGCTTGTGGGAGGGTTTAGGCGTAAGAAATAGACCCCATTCTGGCCGGGCGTGGTGGCTCATGCATGTAATCCCAGCACTTTGGGAGGCTGAGGCGGGCGGATGACGAGGTCAAGAGATGGAGACCATCCTGGCCAAAATGGTGAAACTCCGTCTCTACTAAAAATACAAAAATTAGCTGGGTGTGGTGGTGTGTGCCTGTAGTCCCAGCTAGTCAAGAGGCTAAGGCAGGAGAATTGCTTGAACCCTGGAGGCGGAGGTTGCAGTGAGCCGAGATTGCACCACTGCACTCCAGCCTGGTGACAGAGTGAGACTCTGTCTCAGGAAAAAAAAAAAAAAGAGACCCCATTCTGGGCCGGGCACAGTGGCTCACACCTGTAATCCCAGCACTTGGGAGGCTGAGGCAGGTGGATCACCTGAGGTCAGGAGTTCGCGACCACCCTGGACAACATGGTGAAACCCCGTCTCTACTAAAAATACAAAAAAATAGCCAGGTGTGGTGGCGAGGACCTGTAATCCCAGCTACTCGGGAGGCTGAGGCAGGAGAATTGCTTGAACTGGGGAGGCAGAGGTTGCAGTGAGCCGAGATTGCACCACTGCACTCCAGCCTGGGCCACAGAGTGAGACCTTGTCTCAAAAAAAAAAAAAAAAAAAAAAGAAAGAAAAAGAAAAAAGAAATAGACCCCATTCTGTAGGAACTGGGAAGTTAACTTGTAGTGGTTCCTAAACCTGCTATGAGTCAGAGAACTGCCCTGGAAATTTTGATCTGTGTGCCCTGCAGTGGTGCCTAATTAGCTGTCTTTTTAACAAGTTCTCTAAGTGATTATTAATGTTAGAGAATCTCTGCAAAGATAACATAGGTTTGAGTCTTAACATTGATACTCAGAAGCTTGGTGATTTGATTTGGGCAGGTTACAGAATCTCTTTTAGTCAGATTCTTCATCTCCAGCGGAAGTGGGGAGAATTATAGATCCTCCCTTTTTGAATTCCTGGGAGGAATAAATGAGAAAATTCATTTAAATTGTTCAGTACAAGGCCAGACATGTGGTTAAGGGCTCTTAATAATTATTACTGAAAGTTCTTCAGTAAAGGTGAGGGTGATTTAGGGGATTTTTATTTTTATTTTTATTTTTGAGAGAGTCTCACTGTCACCCAGGCTGGAGTGCAGTGGTGAAATCATGGCTCACTGTGGCCTTGCCTACCGGGCTCAGGTGATCCTCCCACCTCAGCCTCCTGAGTAGCTAGGACTACAGGCACACGCCACCATGCCCAGATAATATTTTGTATTTTTTGTAGAGACAGGGTTTCGCCATGTTGCCCAAACTGTCCTCAAATTCCTCAGCTGAAGTGATCCACCTGCCTTGGCCTCCCAAAGTTCTGGGATTACAGGCATGAACCACTGTGCCTGGCTGATTTAGGGGATTAATCTTGGAGTGGTATGTATGGTGGGTTGGAAACAGAAATAAGTTAAGCCTCGGCTAGGTCTCAGTAACTTGACCATGGTCTGTAAGCATTTTCAGAAGTTTGCTTTAACATGGCTATTAGTTTTTGATGATCCTTATATAGGTTAAGTAGTTGAAGTAGATAATGTCCCTGTTGCTCTCTAAAGGACATTAAGAGGAGACTTTGGTCCCCAGAATATGTTTTACTGGTTTAACATCTACGGTATTATGTTTTTTTCTTTCTTTTTTTTTTGAGATGGGATCTTGCTCTGTCACCCAGGCTGGAGTACAGTGGTGCAGTCTTGGCTCACTGCAATGTCCATCTCCCTGTTCAAGCAATTCTCCTGCTTCAGCCTCCTGAGTTTGGGATTACAGGCACGCGCCACCACACCTGGCTAATTTTTGTATTTTTAGTAGAGATGGGGTTTTACCATGTTGGTCAGGCTGGTCTCAAACTCCTGACCTAGTGATCCACCTGCCTTGGCCTCCCAAAGTGCTGGGATTACAGGCGTGAGCCACTGCACCTGGCCTACAGTGTTACTTTGATTTGACTTTAGTTTCTTAGTTCTAGAGAGAGGCTTCACTTGCTACTTATAGAGGACTGTTTGAAACCTATCTTCATTTGCTACCCAGAGAATAGAATCTTATCTGCATATATTCACTGTAATGGGGTAGATATTTACAAAATTTCATAAATCAATATCATCTGTCAATTTTGCTTTCTCCTTATAAATATGGTGGGAGACCCATTACTTTTCATTATCCTTGCTTACATTCCTCTCTTTGGCTTATGTATCCCTGGGCCATGCAATGGTCGAGGGCAGAGAAACTTTCTGTAGCTTGTTCCTGAAGTATCAATTTTATAAGAAAATGTATATGTAAAGAATTATTTTGCTTTTTAAACAAGCATGGATTTCATAGAGCAGCAGTTCTCAAAGTATGGCCTTGCAGACCCCAGGGTTCTCTGAGACCCTTTCCACGGAACATGTGAAGTCAAGACTATTTCATAATAGTAGTAAAACATTATTTGCATTTTTCACTGCGTTAGCATTTACACTGATGGCACCGGCAACAGTAGATAAAACTCTGCACCTTAGCACCATTCAAGACATTGGAACCAATAGTAGTAATGATCATAGTTTTCATTACCATGTGCATGCAAAAAGAAAACAAAACAAAACTAGTTTCACTTAATGTCCATGATTAAACAGTAGAAGATACTCATTTTATTAACCTTGACTTTTAGATACACATATTTTTAACAATCTATATGATAAAGTGGGCAGTATGCATACTTCTGTATCCAAAGTATGATAATAGATACAATTAAGATGCAAACTGAACTGGTTGCTTTTTTGTGGCACACTATTTTTACCTGAAAGAGAGACTGACAATCAAAATTCAAAATATTTGTGCTGCGAAGGATACCATCGTAGTGAAACAGCAACCCACAGAAAGGGAGAAAATGTTTAGAAATCCTGTATCTGAAAAGGGACTTATATTTAGAATATATAAAAATTTATTACAACTGAACAATTTTAAAAAGGCCAGCGTGGTGGCTCACGCCTGTAGTCCCTGCACTTTGGGAGGCAAGATGGGAGAATCAGTTGAGGCAAGGAGTTCAAAACCAGCCTGGGCAACATAGAGAGATTGTGTCTCTACCAACCCCTCCTGCACCCCCGCCCAAAAACCAAACCCAAAAAAAGCCCAATTTAAAAACAGACAAAGGACCTAAAAAGACATTTCTTCCCCAAAAAATTATTTGAAGAAATGTCTTTTAAGGTCCTTTGTCCGTCTTTAAATTGGGGAAAAAGAAATTGGAAAAGACATTTCTCCAAAGATAAGCAAATAGTAAGCACATGAAAAGATGCTCACCATCGCCGGGCGTGGTGGTTCATGCCTGTAATCCCAGCACTTTGGGAGGCTGAGGCAGGTGGATCACCTGAGATCAGGAGTTCGAGACCAGTCTGACCAACATGGTGAAACCCTGTCTCTACTAATAATGCAAAAATTAGCCGGGCGTGGTGGCACACACCTGTAATCCCAGCTACTCAGGAGGCTGAGGCAGGAGAATTGCTTGAACCCAGGAGGCGGGGGTTACAGTGAGCTGAAATCCCGCCACTGTACTCCAGCCTGGGCGACGAGAGCAAAACTCCGTCTCCAAAAAAAAAAAAAAAAAAAAAAGAATAGATGCTCACCGTCTATTAGCCTGTATGTATATAGATCAGGGATTTATTTATTTATATTTGTGTTTTTGTTTGTTTGGTTTTTTTTTTTTTTTTTCACTCTCGGCCCACTGAAACCACCGCATCCTCTGCCTCCCAAGTGGCTGGGACTACGGGCATGTACCGCCATGCTTGGCTAATTTATATACTTTTTGTAGAGACGAGGGTTTTGCCACATTGCCCAGGCTGGTCTTGAACTCCTGGGCTCAAGTGTTCTACCTGCCTCAGCCTCCCAAAGTATTGGGATTATAGGCATGAGTCGCTATGCCTGGACAGGAATTTTTAAAACCTGAAATCCCTGGACCCCTTAGGGATCTAGTTTTTTTTCTTTCTCTCTCTCTCTCTTTTTTTTTTTTTTTTTTTTTTTTTGAGATGGAGTTTTGCTCTTGTTGCCCAGGCTGTAGTGCAGTGGCACAATCTCGGTTCACTGCAACCTCTGCCCTGGGTTCAAGTGATTCTCCTGCCTTACCTCCTGAGTAGCTGGGATTATAGGTGTGTGCCATCACACCCAGCTAATTTGTTTTGTATTTCTAATAGAGACCGGGTTTCATCATGTTGGCCAGGCTTGTCTCGAACTCTTGACAACAGGTGATCCACCTGCCTTGGCCTCCCAAAGTGCAGGGATTACAGGTGTGAGCCACCACGCCTGGCCTCTCTCTCTCTGTCTCTTTCTCTCTCTCTTTCTCTCTTTCTTTCTTTTTTGAGACCAGGTCTCACTCTGTCACTCAGGTTGGAGTGCAGTGGCATGATCTTAGCTCATTGCAGTCTCTGTCTCCCAGGTTCAAGTGACTTTCATGCCTCAACCTCCCCAGTTAGCTGGGATTACAGGCACGCGCCACCATGCCCAGCTAATTTTTGTATTTTTAGTAGAGACGGGGTTTCGCCATGTTGTCCAGGCTGGTCTCAAACTCCTGGGTTCAAGAGATCGAGCGATCCACCCATCTTGGCCTCCCTAGTTTTTATTTTTATTGATACCTTTGCCTGTTTTTTTGCTTTTTATTTTTTTTCACTCCTGGCAAGGTTCTTTACCCCAAACTGATTAATAGCTGTTGCTCCTAAAACTTGACTTTAAAAGTTTCCTATTATCCCAAACCTCTGTTGATCTCAAGCCTTTACAGAAATTAGTAGTGGCCCCTGCTCACAATAGCAGATCTTCTGTTGGAAGGAATAAAGATGACAATGAACGTGAAGTATGAAGTGCTATAAATAGACATATGCTGGAGTACTGTGAAGGAAAAATGAAAGTGGATTATCAAGGGGGGACGATATTGCTTTGGAAAAACACAGACTGCAGCCATTGTGAGTTACCCAGAACTCAAACAAATAGGAATATAATTTACTGAAAAATAAGAAAAATCAAGCAACATTTTGGGAACGTGTCAGAAAGCAAGTATTAAACATTTTGGGCCCTGAAGCAAAAGCCAGGGTGTTCACTGATCTGTTATTTCCAATTGCAGCTTGCTTGTAAGAGGAAGAGAAAAAGACCACTCAGGAATAGAAGGGAACTTCCTCAACTTGATAAAGTGCATCTACAAAAAAATCTGTAGCCAACATCTTGCCTGATGGTGAAAGACTGAATGCTTTCCCCCTATGATCAGGAACAAGGCAAGAATATGTCCTCTTACATCCTCTATTCAACGTTGTACTGGAGGTTCTAGCCAGGTCAATTAGTCAAGAAAAAGAAATAAAAGGCAGCCATATTGGAAAGGAAGAAATAAAACTATCTCTATTTGTAGATGAAATGATCTTGTATTTAGAAAATTCCAAGAATAAAAAAAAAAATAATAAAAACACCTGTTAGAACCAATACATGAGGCTGGGCGTGGTGGCTCATGCCTGTAATCCCAGCACTTTGGGAGGCCGAGGCAGGCAGATCACGAGGTCAGGAGATCGAGACCATCCTGGCCAACATGGTGAAATCCTGTCTCTACTAAAAATATAAAAATTAGCTGGGCGTGGTGGTGGGCGCCTGTAATCCCAGCTACTTAGGAGGCTGAGCCAGGAGAATGGCTTGAACCCGGGAGGTGGAGGTTACAGTGAGCCAAGATCATGCCACTGCACTCCAGCCTGGTAACAGAGGAAGACTCTGTCTCAAAAAAAAAAAAAAAAAAGAACCAGTCAATGAGTTCAGCAAAGTTGTAGGATATAAGCTCAATGTGCAAAAAGGTATTGTGTTTATGTAAATTAGCAATGAACAATCCAGATATGAAAGGAAAACAATTTGATTTATAAAGGCATCGCAAAGAATAAAATGTTTAGGAATAAATTTAACAAAAGAAGTATATAACATCTGAAAAGTAAAAGACATTATTGTAAGAAATTAAAGATATAATTAGAAAGAATCTCATGTTCATTAGAAGATTTAACATTTTTAAGATGGCAGTACTCCTCAAACTGATCTACAGATTCAGTGCAATCCCTATCAAAATTCCATCTGACTTCTTTATAGAAAATGACAATCTAATCCTAAAATTTGTATGGAAATTAAGGTGGCCCAGAATAGCCAAAATAATTTTTTTTTTTTTTTTGAGATGGAGCCTTGCTCTGTCGCCCAGGCTGGAGTGCAGTGGCGCAATCTCGGCTCACTGCAACCTCCTCTTCCTGGGTTCAAGCAGTTCTCTGCCTCAGCTTCCGGAGTAACTGGGATTACAGGCACCCGCCACCATGCCCAGCTAATTTTTTTTGTATTTTTAGTAGAGATGGGGTTTCACCATCTTGGCCAGGCTGGTCTTGAACTCCTGACCTCATGATCCACCCACCTTGGCCTCCCAAAGTGCTGGGATTACAGGCATGAGCCACTGCACCCGGCCTTTTTGTTTTTTAAGACAGAGTCTTGCTCTGTCCCCCAGGCTGGAGTACAGTGGCGCGATCTCAACTCACTGCAACCTCCACCTCCCGCGTTCAAGCGATTCTCCTGCCTCAGCCTCCCGAGTAGCTGGGACTACATGCACCTGCCACCATGCCCGGCTGATTTTTGTATTTTTAGTAGAGGTGGGGTTTCACCATGTTGGCCACGCTGGTCTCGAACTCCTGACCTCAAATGATCCACCAACCTTGACCTCCCAACGTGCTCGGATTACGGGCATGAGCCACTGTGCCCAGCCACCAAAAGAATCTTAGAAGAACAAAATTTGAAGACTCACACGTCCTGATTTTAAAACTTACTATTAAGCTACAATAATCAAGACAGTGTGGTGGTGGCATAAGAATAGAATTTAGATCAGTGGAACAGGATGAGGAGTCCAGAAATAAGCCCTTACTTTTATAGTCAATAGATTTTGACAAGGATGCCAAAACAATCTAATGGAGGAAAGAATAGTATTTCTAACAAATAAAGCTGGCACAGCTGGATATCCACTTGTGAAGGAATGGTGTTGCATCCCTACCCACATCAGAAACAAAAATTAATTCAAAATGGATGAAATTCCAAAATGTAAGATCTCACACTATATAACTCTTAGAAGTAAACATAGGCATAAATCTACATGACCAGGGATTAGACTGTGTTTTCTTAGATTAATAACAAAAGCATAAGCAACAAAAGAAAGAATAGATAAATTGGACTTAGTCAAAACTTTTTTTGCTGGAAAGGATAATACTAAGAAGTGGAAAGACATAGAATGGGAACAAATGTTTGGAAATCATATCTGAACGGGAATATATAAAAAAATCTCTTCAACTCAATAATATAAAGATAATTAAAGGATCTGAATGGATATATCTCCAAAGAAGGTATATAAATGGCCAATAAGCATGTGAAAAGATGCTCACCATCATTAATCAGAGAAATGTAAATCAAAACCAAAATGAGATACCACTTCACTCTCACCAGGATGACTAGCCATCATAGGATAGCTAATAACAAGAATTGGCAAGAATGTGAAGAAATTGGAACCCTCATGTACTATTAGTGGGAGGTTAAAATGGTGCAGTTGCTTTGGAAAACAGTCTGGCATTTTCTCAAAATGTTAAACATAGAGTTACCATATAGCCCAGCAATTCTATTTACAGCTATATACCCGAGAAATGAAAACATATGCCTACACAAACACTTGTACATGAATGTTTTTACTTTTTCTTGTTATTTTACAAGAAAACCAAAGAAGTCACATGAATGTTAATAGCAGCAGTATGGGCCAGGCATGGTGGCTCACGCCTGTAATTCCAGCACTTTGGGAGGCCAAGGCAGGTGGATCACTTGAGGTCAGGAGTTCAAGACCAGCCTGGCCAACATGGCGAAACCTCATCTCTACTAAAAATATAAAAATTAGCCAGGCATGGTGGCAGGTGCCTGTAATCCCAGCTACTCAGGAGGCTGAGGCAGGAGAATAGCTTGAAACTGGGAGGTGGAGGTTGCAGTGACCCGAGATCGTGCCATTGCACTCCAACCTGGGCAACAAGAGCAAAACTCCATCTCAAAAAAAAAAAAAAAAAAGAAAAGAAAAAAAAGCAGCATTATTCATAATAGCCAAAAGTGGAAACAACCCAATTGTCCATCAACTGATGAATGGATAAAATGTGGAATGTCCATACAACGGAATATTTGATAATGAAAAAGAATGAAATGCCGGGCGTGGTGGCTCACACCTGTAATCCCAGCACTTTGGGAGGTCGAGGCGGGTGGATCACGAGGTCAGGAGATTGAGACCATCCTGGCTAACACAGTGAAACCCCATCTCTACTAAAAATACAAAAAATTAGGCAGGCATGGTGGCGGGTGCCAGTAGTCCCAGCTACTTGGGAGGCTGAGGCAGGAGAATGGCGTGAACCCAGGAGGCGGAGCTTGCAGTGAGCCAAGATCGCGACACTGCACCCCAGCCTGGGTGACAGAGCAAGACTTCGTCTCAAAAAAAAAAAAAAAAAAAAAGAAAAGAATGAAGTACTGATACATGCTATAACATGGATGAACCTTGAAAACATTTTGCTATGTGACAGGAGCTGGTCACAAAATATCACATATTCTATAATTCCTAGGCATATCTACAAAGAAAGTAGATTAATGATTGCTTAGGGCTGGAGAAGTTGGAGATTTGGAGTTGACAACTAAGTTGTGTTGGGGTTTCTTTTTGGGTTGATGAAAATGGTCTAAAATTGATTATAGTGATTGTTGCACAACTCTGAATATACTAAAAGCCACTGAATTGTACACTTTAAGTGAGTGAATTATAGCTCCATAAAGCTGTTATTTAATAATAACACCAGATGCAACCTTAAAATCTGTTAGTAGACTTACTACTCAATAATTTATGACATACCCATATAACATGAGCTAGTAAACAAATGAGATATTTCTGTATAGGCCAGTAATGAAAAGTTGCCCAGAATGTAGTATCCATCATTTAGGATTTTTTGTTTCACAGAAATCAAGTCTAGCTAATTGAGTCCTGACTTGGGGTTGTTTGGTAATGTCTGGAGACATTTCGATTGTTACACTGAGGGATGTTACAGGCGTCTGATGGGTAGAGACCAAGGATACTGCTAAACATGCTATAGTGCACAGGAGAGCCACTCACAACAAAGAGTTATGTAGCCTAAAATATCAGTAATGCTGAGGTTGAGAAACCCAGAGCTAACTTAAGCAAAAAGGAAATTCATTGGAAGGACATGGGTGAGCTCACAGGATTGAAGGTAAGGCATGAGAATCAACCTGGGAACAGTCAAGTAGTGGCTGTCCCAGAGAATTGTGGTAGCAGGAACATTCCATGCTCTCATGGGTTCGGCCCTGTTTTTATTCTGCTCACAGTTCAAAATCTGAGGAGGGAACACCTCATCAATCTTGAACATCTCATCAATCTTCCTTGCCATTTAGCTAAATGAGGACAGTATACCTTAAATAAAGGCAACTCCTCAGAAGGAACTACATTTATTTTATTTTATTATTATTTTTTGAGATAGAGTCTCCCTCTGTTGCCCAGGCTGGAGAGCAGTGACGCAGCCTCGACTCACTCGATTCAAGCAATTCTCCTGCCTCAGCCTCCTGAGTAGCTGGGATTATAGGCGTGCACCACCACACCCAGCTAATTTTTGCATTTTTAGTAGAGATGGGGTTTCACCATGTTGGAGAGGCTGGTCTTGAACTCCTGACCTCAAATGATCCACCCGCCTGGGCCTCCCGAAGTCCTGGAATTACAGGCATGAGCCACCATGCCTGGCCCCAGAACGACATTTGTTATCCAGTACTTGTTGACCATATACTTATATTCCAGGTACTATTTAGGTGATGAGGATAGCATAGAGCAAAATACAAAAATACCCTTGTAGAGCTTGTATTCATATGATGCTAAATTGGGGCAAATCTTTAAGTAATAACTTAAAGTGGGCAAGATAGTAACCAAGATGAAGTATAAATAAATAAAATATCAAGAGCAGCCATGTGTGAGGCAGTTTTTGAGATGCCATAACTGGGAGGAGATTGACATTTGAGAAAAGATGACAGCTGCACTCAGGGAGCACTTGTTTGGCATCTACTTACTGAACATCTGCAATGGGCATGTGTTGGGCCCTTCACATGCATTATCTCAGATCGTGACGACAACCCTTTCAGGTTGGTGGATATGTCTTTCATTTCATAGATGAGAAAATCGAACATTGGAAAAATGAAATCATAGCAAGTAAGTGGCATGGCTGACATTTGAATCAGCTGACGTCAGAAAGTATAAGAGTATGTGAATAGTTAACAGTAAAAGTGATTTATTACAGGAGCAATCATAGGACTACCAATGATTAATTTCTGAAGAATTTTATAGATAGGTACCCTAGGAGCTCAGGGAAGGGAAAAGAAGTTGCTGCATGTTAGAGTGGTCTGGGAAGATGTCCTAGTAGAAGATGGTTTGACCTGGATCTTGAAGGAGGAGTATATGTAAAAGAGCAAGGAAAAGTGTCAGCCTTTCCTGAATGACTGCTTGGGACCAGAAACATCTCACCTAGGCATGATAGCTCCATTTAAGAGATGAGGAAACAGAGGCCTTTCCTTACCCTCACCCTCTGCTGGGAATAAGCAATTAATAGGTATTAATTTTTGTCAATCTGATAGGTGTGAAGTGAAATTTTATTGTTATAGTCAAATGTTTACCTCCATTTTATGACATCTGGGTTTTAAATCTTGGGTAGGATGAATGAATTGATAGAAGAGAAAGTATACATAATAAACTGATAGACCAAGACACACCTTTTTTAGAGAATGGGTATTCAGCATAAGTAGTCTTCCTCTACTTAAGGAGTTTTAGGCCTTTGTGAGGGTATTATATCTAATTTTGGACCTTATGATAGCTAAAATCTTATTAAGTCTGAAGACAATCGACTATTCAATTAATCATTTATTCAGCATCATTTATTGAGCTTCAACTATATACCAGATATTGTAGGAGATACTGGGGATACAAAAATGTTAACAATAATAAACTTATTATCAGTAGTTATACAGTTGTTATACAGTTTAACAGAAGAGACAAGTATGTAGTAGTCACATATTTACAATATATGGATCTAGACAAAGGGCATAGATGGGAAAAAATAAAAGAATAAAATATAATATATGAAAATCTGAGCCAATATATTTACACACTCCCAGAATCCTAGGAGTTCTCCTGGAGTCATCCTTCTCTCTTACCACATTCCCCTACCCATCAGTCAGTCACCAAGTCTGGTTCGTTTATCTCCTAAATATCTCTCAAATCCACCTATTGTTTTCTTTTCCCTTTCCTTTACCCTTGTCCAGTTGACCAGCATCTCTTACCTTGAAGTACTTACCAGTGTCATATTTGGCCTCCCCACATTGACCTTCACCTCTTTCCGACTGATTTGGCAATTGGCCTCTCCAGTCCACTCTGCTCCATTGACTACCCAATAGAATGACCTTTTAAGTAATGAACTCCTGATCACGTTACTCACCTGATTAAAATCTTTCTGTGACCTGTTTAAATCCTGGTGAGCTGGTAGAAAGCATAAATTTAACAATTTTGGAGAAAAGGAAAGTAATCCATAAATTGATCTTTGCTAGAATCTAAGCTTCATGAAGGCAAGGGTGAGACTATACCTGTTTTGTCCTCTACTGTATCCCCAGTGCCTAGTACAGAGCCTGGCCCATGGAGGGTGTTCACTAAATATTTGGTGAAATAAATAAAAGACACTTATAAGGATAGAATGAACTCTGTGATGTTGGATTAGAATTGAAGATATCAATACACACTCTTGAGTTTATAGATAGATACCCACATAGAGATGTGTGCCTATATATGGTTTCTAACTCTATCTAATGAGAGGGCATTAGGCAGTGACACCCTAGAACCAATGAATATGCCTAGTGTTATCTCCAATAAAGGGAAACAGAGATCTTTGGAGAAATTTGCGATTACAGACTGTGGCAGGAAAGGTACCTGAGCCTGGAACATCTGCAGTGCCAGAAAAGGAAGTGCTAAAAAAATGATGAGATAGAATAGAATAATGAACAAAAAATGATGAGAGTCTGTCCAAAGTTAGTGAGTTATCTGAGTTCACAATCAGTTACAGATCAATCTCATTGTTCTACTATTTCTGCCCCCTCACTATCACACTTGACTAGTCTTAAAAAAAATTATGGGGCCATGCTTAACCCAGGAGCAACTGGAAGGGACACCAATGACCAAGTCAGATATTTTGAACAACAAAATAATAATAGTAATGAATTATAACGAATAGAATAAATATGAATCCATTATGGACCCATAGAAATAAATATGAATTATTTATATCTACTGATAAAAATAAATGAATAAATTAGGGGAGGAGGAAAAACCCTTCCTTATAGTAGCATTCCAATTAAGGTAGAAGGGTTGATAAAAATACGAAATCACCATTTGCAAACACCACAAGAATAAATGATGCGGGTAAGAATCATTAATGGATGCTAAAATTAGTGGGTGAATGTTAAGAGGATATTTACATAGAAAGTGTCTCCCTAAAGATATTTAAGTAAAAGGGGTAATACAGTAGCTGTTTTACAATGGCCGAATCTGGTAGACACTATTTTAACCAAGTGATCAAAGTTAAATAGCCGCTGTGGGTTAAATCCACACCATGTTCCTTCTGATATGATGCTCTGAGAAGGACGCAACATCACTTATGTGATATTATTGAAAAATATATGTATGACCTAAGTTCGATCATGAGGAAACATCAGGTAAACCAAAATTGAGGGTCATTCTACCAAATAACTGGCCAGTGCTCTTCAAAAGTGTCAAGGTCATGAAAGAAAGACTGAGGAACTGTCCCAGATTAAAAGAGACTACAGAGACTTGACAAGTAAATGGAATGTGTGATTCTGAATTGGATTCTTGGGTGGGACATTAGTGTGTCAATTGTTAAAATAAGCTCATGATAATAATATTGAATCAATTTTAATTTCCTGATTTTGATAATTATACCATGATAATATAAGATTTGTTAACATTTGGAGAATATGGGGCAAAAAGTGTAGAGTAATATGTTTTTGAAACATTTTTGTAATTCTGAAATTATTTCAAAATGAAAAGGTGTTTGTTTGTTTGTTTTTTGAGACAGAGTCTCGCTCCATCACCCAGGCTGGAATGCGGTGGTGCGATCTCGGCTCACTGCAACCTCCGCCTCTCAGGTTCAAGCGATTCTCCTGCCTCGGCCTCCTGAGTGACTGGGGCTGGGACTACAGGTGCCTGCCACCATGCCCGGCTAATTTTTGTATTTTTAGTAGAGACGAGGTTTCACCATGTTGACTAGGCTGGTCTCAAACTCCTGACCTCAGGGGATCCACCCGCCTTGGCCTCCCCAAGTTCTGGGATTACAGGCGTGAACCATCATGCCTGGCCAAAAGTTTTTTAAAAAGTAAAATAGGGTCAGACCCGGTGGTGCACGCCTGTAATCCCAGTACCTTGGAAGGCCAAGATGGGCGAATCACTTGAGCTCAGGAGTTTGAGATGAGCCTGGGCAACCTGGCGAAACCCCATCTCTACAAAAAAAAAGCACCCCAGAAATTAGCTGGGCATGGTGGTGCGCACTTGTAGTCCCAGCTACTTGGGAGGCTGAAGTGGGAGGATTGCTTGAGCCCGGGAGGTTGAGGCTGCAGTGAGCCCAGATCACACCACTGCACTCTAGCCTGGGCAACAGAGTGAGAACCTGTGTCAAAAAAAAAAAAAAAAAAAAAGTAATATAAAACCTCACTTCTAATGGCCTTGTATTGCCCTTGCTTACCTACTAGCTTCTTTTTCTCTTCTACCCACTCCTGTTTCCCAGTTGAACTCTGAGTTCTAGCACCTGGCTACTGACTTTCTTTAGTTTCATGAATGTATCACCTCCTTCTCCTTCAGATCCTAATGGTAGGAAGAAGCATGGTATTCCCTTTGCATGGAATGTACTTCCTTTGCACTTTATCTGTTTGTTCTTTAAGGCTGACGTTACTCCAGAAAACCCTTTCTGACCCCCTAAACCAGGGGTTTCATATGTCTGCTACTTTTTCATAGCATTTTAATCACAACTGCCGTGAAGTTATTCATCATGGAATTGATTGAAGTCTCTCTTATTCACTTGAAATTAATGTCCATAAGAGATAGAGGAAATTTATCTTCTTGCTCAGTACTGTTTCCCTACTACCTTGCATAGGCTCTCAGTGACTGTTTGAGGAATTAATGCAAGGGATGCCATGAGCATCCTCTTACCTTCCCCCCCACCCCCCATAACAACTTGATAAAATTGGAGACAGGAGAATTTTAAGTTTGAGAAGATGAAGGTGGGGACCAGAATTGGTGACAGTGACAGAAAAGGATAGATGAATCCTTTTCTGTCGTATCACCGAAGGAGACCTAGGATTTGATAAGGGAGGAGGAAGAATAAAAAATAACTCAGGTTTGGCTGTGTGTGGTGGCTCATGCCTATAATCCCAGCACTTTGGGATGCTGAGGTGGGCGGATCACCTGAGGTCAGGAGTTCAAGACTAGCCTGGCCAACATGATGAAACCCCATCTCCACTAAAAATACAAAAAGTACCCGGGCACAGTGGTGCATGCCTGTAATCCCAGCTACTCGGGAGGCTGAGGCAGGAGAATCACTTGAACCTGGGAGGCAGAGGTTGTGGTGAGCCGAGATTGCGCCATTGCACTCCAGCCTGGGTGACAGAACGAGACTCCATCACAAACAAACAAACAATTCAGGTTTAATCATCAGCTGGGTCAAGATGCACAGTTGAAATGACACTTGAGTCACTTTTCCAGCAACATGTATAAAAAAGTGTTCCCAAATATTTGAACATGAAGATTGTTTATTTTTAATAAAAATACTCTATATTCATGGTGAAATGCTATATTCCATGGTAAAAATTAGTATTTTAATAAAAATACTAATTGGTATGCTAATTAGCATATTTGGTATACTAAAACTTCCTATAGTATTTTAATAAAAATACTATTTGCCCATGGTAAAACACTTTGCCATGATAGTAGATACTGTGGTGTTTCAGCCCAAATCCCGTCTTCATGGGTGATGATCCCTTAGCTGCTGGGAATTTTAGCTGTTGATATCTTGAAGCCTTTTTTTTTTTCCTGGGCATTGCCTTAGGATATGGAAAACTGTCTTGCCCAAGGTTGTGCTCCCAAGGAGCCCACAGCCAGTGATTGGCTGATGCAGGGTACAAAGATCCAGCTTCCTTACTCATTTGAGGATGTGACTGAGGGATCATTCCAGTTCCAGAGCTCATCACAGAATCAACTGAGGACTTAATTGCAGCTATAGTAGGGGTCAGTGTCTCCCTCTGACTAATCCTGACTTCCCCATTTCATTGCAAGTGTATTTGCCAATTGTGCCCTCCTGAAATTTCTTGCATGCAAATCTTGGTTTCGTAGTGTTTCCAAGGAACTCAACCTATGAAACTCCCCAGTTAATCTCCCCACCCCAATGGTTGCCATCATGGAAACCTCTTTCTGTGTCTGTAACGTTTTGTTCTGCCACCCCCTCCCAAATGTTTAATAAGTTTTAATAAATATACAAAAATGTACCCAAATTAAATGTACACTCAATGAAATTTCAAAAATGTTCAGTAGTGTTTTTATCAACAGAAGAAGAAGAAAGTGAGTTCAAGTTGTGTGAGACCAACTTATGTTTACAACCTCCTTATGGTGAAAACTTTGAGAGAGAAGGGTGTGTTGCCAAGGGAAGTTGGAAGTTTCTCAGATTTTAAAATAGCAGTTTTCTTTTGGGTGACTGCAGTACACTCTAAAATTAGAGAAACATTTTATTTTATTTATTTACTAGAGATGGAGTCTTGCTACATTGGCCAGGCTGGTCTTGAACTCTTGGACTCAAGCAATCTTCCTGCCCCGGCCTCCCAAAGTGCTGAGATTACAGGTGTGAGCCACATCACCCAGACTAGAGGAACATTTTAAGTATACTTTTTCATGCATTTAGGTGAAGAAGGGAAAGTAATGAATATCAGGAACAGGTAATATTCTCAGAAAAACTGTGAATCATTTCACTAGGAAGAGAGGAAAAAATATCTGTCAAAAGTTCAAATATCTATAAATCAAACATGTCAAAATGTTGCAGAAAATTTGATTAACCAAGATTTTTCTATCCATCAAACTTAATAAAATTTATAGGTCGGCCGGTCGCGGTGGCTGGCCTGTAATCCCAGCACTTTGGGAGGCTGAGGCAAGTGGATCACGAGGTCAAGAGATCGAGACCATCCTGGCCGACGTGGTGAAACCCGTCTCTAATAAAAATACAAAAATTAGCTGGGCATTGTGGTGCGTGCCTGTAGTCCCAGCTACTCGGGAGGAGGAGGCAGGAGAATTGCTTGAACCCGGGAGGCGGAGGCGGCAGTGAGCCGAGATCGTGCCACTGCAGTCCATCCTGGCAACAGAGCGAGACTACATCTCTAAATAAATAAATACATTTTATAGGTCAACACAAGCTCTTTTGATTTTAAACGAAAATTTCAAGAATCCTTCCATGATTTTGTTAATCAATAATAAACATGGCTTTCATTGGAGGTGTTCAGTTCACTTCCTGTTCAGTCCTTTCCATCTCTGCCACCATCATCACACTCATCCTTACCTGCCTGGATAATATAATAACCAATCTCCTAATCTGTTTCTGTTTCTACTCTTAACTCTGCCACAGTCTGTTCTTCACACACAGCCAAGGTGACCTTTTTAAAGCATGTCACAGCTCTGCTTACAACTCTCCAGGGGATTCCCATCACACTTAAAAAAATTCTTAACTTAGTCTAAAAGGTCTCCTCTATGATCTGGCTGCTGACTGCCTTTCACACCTCATCTTGTGTTGCTTTCCTTCTGGTCCACTTACCCTCTAGCTCCAATAGATTGTGTGTTCCTCTAAAGCAGGAGTCTTGGCAGAGGTCAAATTTTTCTGGAGACCTGTTTTTATACTGCCAAAACTAAGAATGGTTTTTATATTTTTAAAGGGTTGTAAAACAACAAGAACAAGAAGAGTATGTAACAAGAGACTTTCTGTGACTTAACAAAGCCTAAAATATTTACTATGTGGTGCTACAGAAAAAATTTGCCAACCCCAGCTTGAAAGCCTTACTCCTGCATTAGGATTTTCACATTAATTGTTCCCTCTGCATCCTCTACCACCAGCCATATGGATGGCTCCTTCTTTTAATTCACGTTTCATCTAGTCAAGGAGGCCTTTAATGAGCATCTTTTTTTTTTTGGAGATGAAGTCTTGCTCTTGTCCCCCAGGCTGGAGTGTGATGGCGCAATCTTGGCTCACTGCAACCTCCGCCTCCTGGGTTCAAGTGATTCTCCTGCCTTAGCCTCCCAAGTAGCTGGGATTACAGGTGCCTGCCACCACGCCCGGCTAATTTTTGTATTTTTAGTAGAGATGGGGTTTCACCATGTTGGCCAGGCTCGTCTCGAACTCCTGACCTCAGGTGATCTGCCCACCTCAGCCTCCCAAAGTGCTGGGATTACAGGCGTGAGCCACCGTGCCCAGCCATGACCATCTAAGCTAAATATTCTACCAGATCTGTCAGTCACATCACCCTTTTGTTCTTTCTAGCGCTTTTATACCCATCTGATTTTTTTTTAATTTTTGTTTTTAGTAGCCATCCTTTTCCTTCCCCCTCCCGCTTCCCATTGTAGGATAAGCTTGTCTTTTTGGTTTACTACTTTTGAGTACTCTTGATCATGCATGTAGACGGAAAGAGGAATAGTGAGTGTTGGGAGCCCACCATATAATAGGTGCTCAGTAAATGTATTGAATTAATGAATTTGAAGATGATTTCTGCATATGAAGCTTAGGGCTTGTGCTTTCTTTTTTGTTCTAAGAGGACCAACCGTGCAAACTGCAGTGACTTTAGAAAGAAGCCTCTTTAGAAAGGAGAGGCAAAACAATACCTTTCCCTTAAGAGAACAGATAAACTTCTCTTTTCCTCCTCCTGCCTCTTCTGGGAAAGGCTGGGGTTGTTTAGAGTGGGATGTTTCAAAGGAATGCTTTATGGGCTGTCTTAGTCTGTTTTCTGTCGCTTATGACAGAATATTGGAAAGTGGGTAATTTATAAAGAAAATAAATTTATTTCTTACAGTTATGTAGGCTGAGAAGTCTAAGGCTGAGGTGCTGTATCTGCCACATCTGTTGAGGCCCTTCTTGCTGGTGGAGACTGCAGAGTCCCAAGGCTGTGTAGGGCATCACATGTCGAGGGCACTAAGCTCAGGTTTCTCTTCCTCTTCTTGTAAAGCTAACAGTCCCACCTTTATCATAATCCATTAATTCATTAACCCATTAATCCATGAGTGGATTAATCCATTCATGAGGGCAGAGCCCACATAATCTAGTTACCTCCTCAAGGCTCCACCTCTCAACACTGCCACACTGGGGATTAAGTTTCAAAATGACTTTTGGAGGACACAAACATTCAAACTGTAGCAAGAGTTTCTATTTGAAAAAAAAAAAAAAGAAAACTTTTTTCATCTTTTTCTTTCTTTCTTTTTTTTTTTTGAGATGGAGTTTTGCTCTTGTTGCCCAGGCTGAGTGCAATGGCATGATCTTGGCTAACTACACCTTCTGCCTCCTGGGTTCAAGCGATTCTCCTGCCTCAGCCTCCCGAGTTGCTGGGATTACAGGTCACTATGCCTGGCTAATTTTGTTATTTTTAGTAGATGGGGTTTCACCATGTTGGCCGGGCTGGTCTCAAACTCCTGACCTCAGGTGATCCACCTGCCTCGGCCTCCCAAAGTGCTGGGATTACAGGCATGAGCCACCGTGCCCGCCCTGTCTTTTTCTTTTGGGAGAGACATTTTTCATAAGGCTAAGACTAATTGAAGTCTCTGTCACTAAGAAGCTCTGAGGCTTTTAGGTGAAGAGTTTAGGTGGAGGCTTCTGCCTGGGAGATGGGTTTAACTCTGGAACACTAAGAGGAGCTAGGCTTGGTCTCAAAAGAGAAGCTGAGAACAATCTGAATAGGGCTTGTTCTAGGTGATTAGGTCTTGGGGAGAAAGGTAAAAGGCCCAACAACCACAAGTCTTGGATTTTTCTGAAATTTATTTCAAATTCTCAGACCATATGCTTTGACTTTATTTTTTTTTTTGAGGCGGAGTCTCGCTGTGTTGCCCAGGCTGGAGTGCAGTGTCAGGATCGGCTCACTGCAACCTCCGCCTCCTGGGTTCAAGTGATTCTCCTGCCTCAGCCTCCCAAGAAGCTGGGACCACAGGCGCACACCATCACACCTAATTTTTGTATTTCTAGTGGAGATGGAGTTTCACCATGTTGGCCAGGCTGGTCTCAAACTCCTGACCTCAGGTGATCCGCCCACCTTGGCCTCCCAAAGTGCTAGGATTACAGGATTGAGCCACATGCCCGACCTTAAATTTTTTTTATAGACAAGAGTCTATGTTGTGCAACCTGGTCTCAGTGATCGTCGTCCTGCCTCGGCCTCCCATTGTGTTGGGATTACAGGTATGAAACATTGTGCCCGGCCATCCAGCTGTGTTTTTATATTCCTTCAGTCAAATGATTTTTTTTTTTTTTTTTTGAGACGGAGTCTCGCTCTGTCACCCAGGCTGGAGTGCAGTGGCGTGATCTCGGCTCACTGCAACCTCTGCCTCCCGGGTTCAAGCAATTCTTGTGCCTCAGCCTTCTGAGTAGCTGAGATTACAGGCTTGCGCCACCATGCCAGGCTAAGCCTGACTTTTGATTGAGAAAAAACATGATTACCAAAGGAAGAAACACCTGAAGGCAGAGGCCTGATTGTATGCAAAGAAAATGTAGACACTGATGTTATTCCTAGTTATGCCTGGGTGTGGCAGTTGGTGAGGGATAACAGTTAAGCCTTGGAATAAAAATAGACCTGAGCTTATTCACCTACTAGTTATGTCACCTTGGGTAAATTATTGATCATTTCTTTTCTTTTTTTTTTTTTTGAGATGGAGTCTCACTCTGTCCCCCAGGCTGGAGTGCAGTGGCATGATCTCAGCTTACTGCAACCTCCACCTCCCAGGTTCAAGTGATTCTCCCACCTCAGCCTCCCAAGTAGTTGGGATTGCAGGCATGCACCACCATGCCCAGCTAATTTTTATATTTTTGTAGAGACAGGGTTTTACCATGTTGTCCAGGCTGGTCTTGAACTCCTGACCTCAGGTGATCTGCCTGCCTCGGCATCCCAAAGTGCTGGGATTATAGGCGTGAGTCACTGCAACCAGCCATTATTGATTATTTCTAAGTTTCCTTATCTGAAAAATGAGAAGAATGATAGCTTCCATCTTTTAGGGTTATTATGAGGATTAACTGATAAGACATATAAAATTCTTATCTAGATGCCTACATAGACTAAATGATCAGGGAATGCTAGTTAGTATAAACATCATCACCAGATGATGAGGAAATTCTCTCAATACACAAATTTTTAAAACTAATTTTAAAATCTGGCTAGGTGCAGTGGCTCATGCATGTAATTCTTGTGCTTTGGGAGACCAACAGGGAGGATCCCTTAAGACCAGGAGTTTGAGACCAGCCTGGGCAACATAACAAGACCCCATCTCTACAAAATATTTTTTTAAAAATTGACATCCTGTGGCTGTGTAAGAATATGTCCCACTGTATATTTTGCTTCCATAAGCAGGAAACAGGATATAGGAAGAGGTAGGACAAGAAATACCTGCATAGCAAGATTATTGTTTTTCTAGAAGCATGGGCTTAACACAACTAATTTGACTCCTGATATTAAGTGGGAAGGAGAGAAGAAAATCTACACTTAAGTATAGATTCTAGACCATCCCATCCACTGGACGATCTCATCCACATGTCAGTATTAGCTTTGGCTTTCATACATTGACCTTTACTGCTTTACGGTTTATTAAAAATGCTTTATTGGGCTGGGCACAGTGGCTCACGAGGCCCGTAATCCCAACACTTTGGGAGGCCAAGTTGGGCGGATCACTTGAGGCCAGGAGTTCGAGACTGGCCTGGCCAACATGGCGAAACCCCATCTCTACTAAAAATACAAAAATTTGCCAGGTGTGGTGGTGCATGCCTGTAATCCCAGCTACTCCTGGGGCTGAGGCGTGAGAATTGCTTGAACCTGGGAGGCGGAGGTTGCAGTGAGCCGAGATCCAGCCATTGCATTCTAGCCTGGGCTGTGGAGTGAGAGACTGTCTCCAACAACAACAAAAAAATGCTTTCGGCCGAGTGCTATGGCTCACGCCTACAGTCCCAGCACTTTGAGAGGCTGAGGCGGGAGGACTGCTTGAGCCCAGGAATTTGAGACCAGCCTGGGCAACCTAGTGAGACCTCGTCTCTACAAACAAAAAAGAGGCAGGAGGATTTTTTTTCTTGAGCCTTGGAGTCAAGACTGCAGTGAGCCACAATCACGCTGCTGTGCTCCCCGCTGGGATACAGGAGTAAGAAGACACTGTCTCAAAAAAAAGATGCTTTAATGCACACTTTTATGATTCTAATTATTTAGGCAGCTGTTAATATTATCTCCATTTTATTCCAGAGGAAACAAAGACTGAGAAATTGAGAACATGGGGTTGTTTATTTATTTATTTATTTTTTAAAAATTTAAAAAAGAGACAAGATCTCTGTATGTTGCCCAGGCTGGTCTTGAACTCCTGGGCTCAAGCAATCCTCCCCCCTCAGCCTCCCAAAGTGCTGGGATTATAGGCGTGAGCTACCTTGCCTTGCCAAAGACATGGGTTTTAGAGCTAGATTGCCTGGGTTGGAATCCTGGCTTCTCTACTTGCCAACATTATAACCCAGGACAAGTTACTTTAGCCTCAGAGTCCTCATCTGTGAAATGGGGATAATGAAGGTACTTAACTCTTAGAGTTGTACAAAATTATTCTTCATGTAAATAAAGTACATATCATTGCAAGTAATATGAGTTCAATAAATATTTGTTGTTATTATCACCTAGGGACAGGCAGCTAGTAAGTGGTAGTGCTAGTATCTGCATTTAGATAATTAGATTTTATATCCCATGTTCTTTTTACACATCATCTCCATAATATAATGTTGATACCCTGTTACTGTGATGATATCGTGATCTGTTAGCAGCATTAGGGCAGGTGGTCTAATTTCTTTTTCAAAAGTGGTAGATTCATCTAAAGTATCTCTCTTAGGACATTTGGTGCATATATCTATTTCTCAGCTTCCTCAAGAAGAGAACAGATATGACTTCAGATTACAGCTATGCCAAAAACCTATAGATATTGCTTCAGTTGGTTAGAGCAAGGGGCTGAGGATACCAGTCTGCAACATGACAAGACAGAAATAACACATATTAAATTGAACCATTGGGAGACTTGTAGTATAGTTGAAAAGGCTTGCTTACTAATGAATTGGAAGACTTGAATTCTAATCTTGGACTCACCACTTATTAGTTGTGTCTTGTAACATATCTGAGCCTGGATTTTCACATCTTTAAGGTGGGGATCCCAACAGTCATCCTAAGTGCTGTTGCCTGCTCACATAGTCCCTTTGTAGAAATTCAGAAAAAAGAGGCTAGGTGTGGTGGCTCATGCCTGTAATCCCACCACTTTAGGAGGCCGAGGTGGGTGGATCACCTGAGGTCAGGAGTTCGAGACCAGCCTGACCAACATGGTGAAACCTTGCCTCTACTAAAAATACAAAAAATTTGCCAGACATTGTGGTGGGCGCCTGTAATCCCAGCTACTTGGGAGGCTGAGGCAGAAGAATTCCTTGAACCCAGGAGGTAGAGGTTGCAGTGAGCTGAGATCACGCCATTGCACTCCAGCCTGGGCACAAAGTGAGACTGTGTCTCAAAAAAACAAAACAAAACAAAACAAAACAGAAAAAGGGACCCCTTCCTTTGGACAGATGCAGCTTTACAGTAAGGTTTATAAGCTTGGTGAGAAGAGCATGGTCTAAATTTCAGTCTTCACTAGCCTTCTTGGCTAGCCTTCTGGCACACTGAACAGTCTGCAGAAGTGAATGAATGTGAGGATCCTGTCTATACTGTCTTTCACTGCACAGGGCTGTTAACATCAAGTGAGATAATAAAGGTGAAGGAGTTAGATAAAGTCTAATGCCTTTGTGAATGTAAGACACTGATATTACACAAATACTACTTGGTTTCAAATACTAGAATCCAAGGGCTACCTGTGTAGACATATTGACTATTGCCCTTTTTTTTTTCCCCTGATGATCCCTGTGACTCATCAGCTTGTACAGAACCTACTAGCTACTGGCTGTTAAGGCAGAGGTTGTAGCAAACAAAGGTTTTTTTCATTACTTCAGGCCTGGACCAGCCTTGCTCACTGGATCTCTGAAGACTAAAATTAGTACTTTCGATGAATAATCATCTTAAAAACAGTCAATTGGCCAGGCGCAGTGGCTCACGCCTGTAATCCCAGCACTTTGGGAGGCCGAGGCAGGTGGATCACCTGAGGTCAGGAGTTCGAGACCAGCCTGGCCAACATGGCGAAACCCCGTCTCTACTAAAAATACAAAAATTAGCTGGGTATGGTGGTGTGCGCCTGTAATCCCAGCTACTCGGGAGGCTGAAGCAGGATAATTGCTTGAGCCCAGGAGGTGGAATAGGTGGAATGAGCTGAGATGGTGCACTATTGCACTCCAGCTTGGGCAACAGAGCAGGACTCAGCCTCAAAAAGAAGAAGAATAAAACAAACAGTCAAAAAATTATCTTGAAGACAAATGATTTTTTTTTTTTTTTTTTGAGAAGGAGTTTTGCTCTTGTTGCCCAGGCTGGAGTGCAGTGGTGTGGTCCCGGCTCACTGAAACCTCTGCTTCCTGGGTTCAAGTGATTCTCCTGTCTCAGCCTCCCGAGTAGCTGGGATTACAGGCGCATGCCACCACACCTGGCTAATTTTTGTATTTTTAGTAGAGATGGGGTTTCATCATATTGGTCAGGCTGTTCTCAAGCTCCTGACCTCAGGTGATCTGCCCGCCTCTGCCTCCCAAAGTGCTGGGATTACAGGCATGAGCCACCACGCCCAGCCAGAAGACATGATTTTAGGATACCCTGCAGTAAGACTGGGTCTTGCCCATCAATGATATTCAGAATTATTTGGTTAGAGCTTATCTCTGGTTTTCAGGGAAAGGTCATTACATAAAAGCTTTGTGTCAGTGGGAGAAAGAAAAGTTGCTGAACCACAATTTGCCCTCTTAACAACTGTGAAGTCCAAGCTATCTCCTGGTCTTCATGGATCAAGTAGGACAAAAGGACTTGCTTGTGTGAGGAGCCAAAAGACAGCTGTAGAGTCAAGCAGAACTGAAATTAGGTCCTAGTTCTGCCACGAGTTTTGTGACAGTGTGCAGGTAAGTCACCTAAGTTTATGTTTTGTCATCTGCAACTAGGGACAAGAACAGTATTTACCTCATAGATTTATTGTATGGGTTAAATGAATTAATGTGTGGAAGTACCTAGCATTGTATCAAGCACACAGTATTTGCCACATAAACGTTAGCTGCAATTGTTACTAAGCTCTATGCAAGATATTATACTGGCTCTGAGAAAGAAAAAAAGATAAGTTGCAGTGCCTGGCCTCAAGAAGCTTAGAGTTCTAGTTTGGTAATTAACATAATTATATGCCAGAAGAGGTAAACAGAAATGCAAATGCAAAGCAATAAAAATGTGGTACAGATAGATGATTTTTTTTTTTTTTTGAGATGGAATTTTGCTCTTGTTTCCCAGGCTGGAGTGCAGTGGCACGATCTCGGCTCACTGCAACTTCCGCCTCCCGGGTTCAAGAGATTCTCCTGCCTCAGCCTCCCTAGTAGCTGGGATTATAGGCATGTGCCACCACGCCCGGCTAATTTTGTATTTTTAGTAGAGACGGGATTTCTCCATGTTGGTCAGGCTTATCTCGAACTCCTGACCTCAGGTGATCTGCCCACCTCGGCTTCCCAAAGTGCTGGGATTACAGGCATGAGCCATCGCACCCGGCCATAGATGATATTGTTAGGAGGTAGGGTTTGAGCAGGGCTCTAAAGAAAGGACAGAATGGCTGGGTGTGGCGGCTCATACCTGTAATCCCAGTACTTTGGGAGGCTGAGGTGGGTGGATCACCTGAGGTCAGGAGTTTGAGACCAGCCTGGCCAACATGGTGAAACCCCATCTCTACTAAAAATACAAAAATTAGCCAGGCATGATGGCGTGTACCTGTAATCCCTGCTACTCAGGAGTCTGAGGCAGGAGAATTGCTTGAACCCGGGAGGTGGAGATTGCAGTGAGCTGAGATTGCACCACTGCATTCCAGCCTGGGCAACGGAGTGAGACTGTCTCAAAGAAAAAAAAGAAAGAAAGAAAGGGCCAGGCGTGGTGGCTCGTGCCTGTAATCCCAGCACTTTGGGAGGCTGAGGCAGGCGAATCATGAGGTCAAGAGATGGAGACCATCCTGGCTAATATGGTGAAAACCCCATCTCTACTAAAAATACAAAAAAATTACTCAGCGTGGTGGTGGGTGCCTGTAGTTCCAGCTACTCAGGAAGCTGAGTCAAGAGACTCTGTTTAAAAAAGAAAAAATTTATATAAAAATATCTGATCTAGTGAACATTTTTTGACCTAAGATGAACACAAATACATGAAATATATATATATATATATATATATATATATATATATATATATATATATATATATTCAAAAAATATAATTGAAGTCTGGAAACTGAACATAGATGAAGGCTACTCATCTTTTTCTCCTATTCCTATGGAATATGCACACATGTATACTTGTGTCATAATCTGAAAAGGAATCTCCAGCTAATAAACATCAGCTATAAGTATTTAATTTATCTGCACTATTTCATTATCATATGATGGTATGATGAAGAAGAATGACAAAGTATTAAATATATTAGGATGTTGGCCAGGCACGGTGGCTCACGCCTATAATCTCAGCACTTTGGGAGGCTGAGGAGGGTGGATCACCTGAGGTCAGGAGTTCAAGACCAGCCTGGCCAACATGTCAAAATCCTGTCTCTACTAAAAATACAAAAATTAGCCAGGTGTGGTGGCGGGTGCCTTTAATCCCAGCTACTCAGGAGGCTGAGGCAGGATAATTGCATGAACCCGGGAGGTGGAGGTTGCAGTGAGCCGAGATGGTACACCATTGCACTCCAGCCTGGGTGACAGAGCGAGACTTGGTTTCAGAAAAAAAAAAAGGAAAGAAAAAAATACATATATTAGGATGTTAAAAGGGACTTAATATTATTTGGCATATTGAAAGAGTTGAGAGGCCGGGCACGATAACTCACGCTTGTAATCCCAGCACTTTGGTAGGCTGAGGTTGGCGAATCATCTGAGGTCAGGAGTGTGAGACCAGCCTGGCCAACATGGCGAAACCCCATCTCTATCAAAAATACAAAAATTAGCTGGGCATGGTGGTGGGCGCCTGTGATCCCAGCTACTCAGGGGGCTGAGGCAGGAGAATCGCTTGAACCTAGGAGGCAGAGGTTGCAGTGAGCTGAGATTGTGCCACTGCACTCCATCCTGGGTGACAAGAGTGAAACTCCATCTCAAAAAAAAAAAAAAAAAAGAGTTGAGGTCCTTTTCTACATTATTACATTATCAGGAACCGGATTCTGTTTTTTTATACTATTTATACATTGTTTTTATGTAGAAGCTAATTTCTAGTGGAAGTATACACTGCTGCAAGCTTTCTAAAGCAATTTGTTGGCAAGGTGGTTCACCCCTGTAATCCTAGCACTTGGGAGGCCAAGGCAGGAGGATTGCCTGAGCCCAGGAGTTTGAAACCAGCCTGGGCAACATGGCAAAACTCTATCTATACTAAAAATACAAAAAATTAGCTGGGTGTGGTGGCCCAAGCCTGTAATCCCAGCTACTTGGGGGACTGAGGCAGGAGGATCACTTGAGCCTGCGAGGTTGAGGCTGCAGTGAGCTCTGATGGTACCACTGCACTCCAACCTGGGAGACAGAGGCCCTGCCTTAAAAAAAAAATAAAATAAATAATTTGTTAATATGTATCAAAATCAATGTTATGCCTTCCAATTGAGCAATTTCTTCTTTAGAAATAAGGCTCAAGGAAACAGTCAGTTTGGAAAATAGTGAAAACTTGGAAACAAATCAAATATCCTCCAACAGGAGAAAGGTAAATTATACTGAATTTCAATATGGAATGTCTTCATAAACATTAAACTTTGTATTATTAAGCATAGGGTTTTGGAACACATTCTATGGCAATAGAATCCATAGAACTTCTCTTTGTCTAATGTTAAAGAAGTGCTTTACATTTCAACAAATTGGGATAAAAGGTATCTGTTCTTTGATTTGATAAACAAACTTTTATCCAGTATCTCTATGTTTTAGGCCCAGTACCTGGGTTACAAAGATGAATATAGTCCCAAACCTGGAGGTCTTCTAGGAAAGGCAGATGTGTAAACAAATAATTACACTGAAATATGAAGAATAAATACTGTAATAGAGATATATGTGTCTTACAAAGTTGTATAAAGGAAGGAATCAGCAATTCTGCTTACATGGTCAAGGAAAGCTTCAAATAATGGACATTTGAGTTAGGTTGGCATGGCTGGGAAGAGTACGTGTAGAAGAGTTAAGTTTGGGCTGGGCACAGTGGCTCATGCCTGTAATCCCAGTACTTTGAGAGGCTGAGGCGGGCGGATCACGAGGTCAAGAGATCGAGACCATCCTGGCCAACATGGTGAAACCCCATCTACTAAAAATACAAAAATTAGCTGGGTGTGGTGGCACGTGCCTGTAGTCCCAGCTACTCAGGAGGCTGAGGCAGGAGAATTGCTTGAACCCAGGAGGCGGAGGTTGCAGTGAGCCAAGATGCGCCACCGCACTCTAGCTGGGCAACAGAGTGAGACTCTGTTTCAAAAAAAAAAAAAAAGAAAAAAGGTTTGTATTTTATCCTCATGGCAAGGGAAAAGTTATTGGAGAGTTTTAGGAAGGGGCATAACATGGTAAAACTATGTTCGAATGATTACTCAGGATTTAGTATGGAGGCCACATTTGGAAGAATACTAGATGAGAGACATTAGGAGATCACTGCTGTAGTTCAGGTACAGTATTATACTGGTTGTGAATGGAGACGATAGGATGTCAGTCAGAAATTTAGGAGGCAGGATTAATAAGTTTTATCAACCAGTTGGACTTGTCTCTCAGGGAAAAGGGGAAGAATCATGTCCAGGTTCCTAACTTGTGTGACTACACTGATGGTGGTGCCATTAAATAGGATAAGTTAACCAAATATAAATGCACAAGCAAATTTATGGGAGAAGAGGTGCTAATAGGATCTTCTGATAGAGAAATAGTTAAAAGCAGTCTGTAGCTTAAAAACATTTCATCCGGAGACCTAAACAGTGGTGAACTTTATGAATATAACATTGATTAGGGAGAGTATGCAGAATTAGGAGAACCCTGGGGGAGACTGTATTTAGGGGCAGAAGATTGAGAAGAAACATTAAGAGATAAGTAAAGATACAGGAGAGCAGTATCTTAAATGAAAATGGAATAGTGTTGTATTAGTTTGCTACTGTTGTGTAACAAATCATCACAAGCTTAATGGCTTAAAACAACATTTATTAACTAACAGTTCCATAGGTCAGAAGTGTGGTGCACCACGGTTAGGTTCTTTGTTCAGGGTGTTAATAGACTGAAATCAAGATGGTGGCCCTGCGGAGTTCTCATCTAGAAGCTCTTGGGAGAAATCCATCTTCAAGTGCCTTCTTGTTGGAAGAATTGCAGTTATAGGATGTGGGTTCTTTTTTAGCTTCTAGCCTGGAATCTTGGGAAGGCATCTTAAATTCTTATCAGAAGTGTTTTATGAAGAATGCACAAAGAAAATAGGACTTGAAAAGTGTTAGTTGGTCATTGGTGACTTTGGTAATGTCAGTACCAAGAGCAATTTTTGTAGAATGGTAGGGGCAGAAGCCAGACTGCAGTAAGTTGGGGAGTTAACTGGAAGTAAGGAAGTTAACTAAGATCTAGAGTTTCTTTCAAATAGCCTGCCAGGAATGGGAATGAGAGAGCTGAGAATAATTAAATTAATGAGCTAGGTCTCAAGGAAACTAGAAGGAATGGGTTCTAGACCACAGAAGGAGGGATTAATTGTGGTCTTGTAGGGAGACTCAGCTTCCTCTGAGAAAGGAGGAAAGGGAATATGAAAGGGAATACAGGTAAGTTTGTAAGGGAGGGCTTGTTGGTGGGCAGTAGGGAAATTGGAGACATTACTACCTAATAGCCTCAGTATTCTCTTAGGAGTTACAGACAAGAGAACTGGGTGCAGCAGCTCATGCCTGTAATCCCAACACTTTGCGAGGCCAAGGCGGGAGAATAACTGGAGGCCCGGCATTTGAAACTAGCCTGGGTGATGTGGCAGCACTCCATCGCCAGAAAAAAAAATAAAAATAAAAATAAAAAATAAAAAAATAAGGAAAAGGGAAAAGGAAAGAAAAATTAGCTGGGTGTGGTGGTATATGCCGGTAGTCCTAGGTACTTGGGAGACTGAGGTGGGAGGATCTCTTGAGCCAAGGAGATCAAGGCTACAGTGAGAGGTATGATCATGCCACTGAACTCTGGCTTGGGTGACTGAGCGAGCAAGACTCTGTCTGTATAAAAAGAAAAATGTTAGAGACAAGGTCTATAAAAAAGGGAGGTAAAATTGGAATTGCTACTTTGTGGCCAGGAGGCCCTTCATAAAATTATGGAATGAATGAAACGAATTAACCCAAGACTAACAAACAGAGAGTGAGAAACATAAAAAAACCCAAGGTGCTCTCCAGATTGTCCACTAAGCTACATCTAGCTCACCTGGCTACCTTTTTGCTCCCTTTTCTCTTATTCTGTTCTCAAACTTAGTCATGTCTAGAATTACTTAACAGATCATCACTCAGAAGATGTGGACTTCCTGCATGTAAATTGCCTTAGCTTTTAACATTTTTAAAAGCTTTCTAGGTTACCTAGGGAATATTGAATAATTGACCAAAATTATTATTTCTTTTCTTAGACTGTGAGCTCTTTGAAGTCAAGGAACTTTGCATTTTTTTTTTTTTAAAGGCAGGGTCTCACTCTGTTGCCCAGGCTGAGGTGCATTGACACAATCATGGCTCACTGCAGCCTCAACTTCCTGGGATCAAGCAGTCCTCCCACCTCAGCCTCCTGAGTACCTGGGACCACAGGTGCACATCACCATGCTCAGCTAATTTTTAAATATTTTGTAGAGATAAGGTCTCACTATATTGCCTAAGGTGGTCTCAAACTCTTGGGCTCAAGTGATTCTCCTAGTTCAGCCTCCCAAAGTTCTGGGATTACAGGCATGAGCTACCATGCCTGGCCACAGAATTTTGAGTCTTTACAAACTCAAATCTTTACATTTGGTGCCTCTAGTACAGCCTGGCACATAGGGAACCCCTAGTTTATTTCTTTAGCTTAAATGACACAGACCTAAGGCTCCCCCTCCTATTTGGCCAGATCATACTATTTTTTTCTCTTTACCTTTACAAATATATTGTGTGTTTTGTAAACTTTAATAAATTTTTTTGAGGCAGAGTCTCACTGTCACCCAGGCTGTAGTGCAGTGGCACAATCACAGCTCACTGCAGCCTCAAACTCCCTGGGCTTTGGTGATGATTCCACCTCAGCCTCTCAAGTAGCTGGGACTATAGGCACATGCCACCATGCCTGGCTAATTTTTCTATTTGTATTTTTGTAAACTTTATGGAAGTACTGTATAACATGTACAGAAAATTACACAAAAAATAAATGTTTAGTTTTCTGAATTTTCTTTTCTTTCTTTTCTTTTTTTTTTTTTTTTTTTTTGTTTTGAGACAGAGTCTTGCTCTGTTGTCAGGCTGGAGTGCGGTGGTGCGATCTCGGCTCACTGCAACCTCCACCTCTCGGGTTCAAGTGATTCTCCTGCCTCAGCCTCCCGAGTAGCTGGGACAACAGGCGTGTGCCACCACACCTGGCTAATTTTTGTATATTTAGTAGAGATGGCATTTCACCATGTTGGCCAGGATGGTCTTAATCTCTTGACCTTGTGATCCGCCTGCCTCGGCCTCCCAAAGTGCTGGGATTACAGGCGTGAGCTACCGTGCCCAGCCTAGTTTTCTGAATTTTCAAAGTGAACACCCAGTTCAACAAACAGAATAAGTATGTCACCAGCATCACTGAAGTCCCCTTTTATGTTCCCTAGCAATCATTATTTCCCTGTAAAGGCAATTACTATCTTGACTTCTAATACTGTAAATTAGTTTTATTATAACTTTAAGTTGGAGGTTGCAGTGAGCTGTCATCACACCACTTCACTCCAGCCTAGGCAACAGAGCGAGACCCTGTCTCAAAAAAAAAAGGAACTTTAAGTGGAATCATATAGCATATAGTATATACTTTTTTGCATCAGACATTTCACTTAGCATTGCATTCATGCAATTTATGTATGCTGTTTTATACAGTTGGAGTCAGGCCAGGCACAGTGGCTCACACATGTAATCTCAGCACTTTGGGAGGCCGAGGTGGGAGGATCACTTGAACTCAGGAATTTGAGATGAGCCTGGGCAACACGGCAAAACCCTCATCTCTACAAAAACATACAAAAATTAGCCAGGCATGGTGGCAGGCACCTGTAGTCCCAGCTACAAAAAATAAAAATTAAAAAAAAAAAGTTGGCATCTATTCATTATCTTTGCCTTATCATATTCCATTATATGAGTCCCTCACAAATTTATTTATCCATTCTATTACAGATGGATATTTGGGTTGTTTTCAGGTTTGGCTATTATGAATAATGCTGCTTCGAACATATCTTGGTGAACATGTCTGCATTTCTATTGGGTGTATAGCTAGAGGCTAAATTGCTGGGTCATAAGGTTTGTGAATGTTTAGCTTTAATAGACACTGCTAAATGATTTTGCATTGTGGTTGTATAGTTATACCGAACTATACTTTCACCAGCATTGTTTGAAAAATGGGTTGCTTAAAAAAAGGAGGGGTTGCTCCCATCCTTGCTAATGCTTGGTATTGTCTGCCTTTTCCAGTTCTAGCCATTCTGATTTTATTCTGCCTTTTTTTGTTTCTGTTGATTAGTGAGGTAGAGCACCTTTTCATATGCTTTTTGGTCATTTGAATATCTTTCGGTGAAATCTTTTGCCTATTCTTGGGGGGATATTTACTCTTATTGATTTGTAGGAGTCCTTTATATATTCTGGTTACAAGTCTTTTGTTGAAAAAAAATATATATAGAGAGAGAGAGCATATATTCTCCCATTCTGTGAGTTTTTATTCGAATACTGTCTTACTTATGGTTACTGGTTTTGTGACTTCTTTTTTTTTTTTTTCTTTTTGAGATGGAGTCTTGCTGTGACACCCAGGCTGGAGTGCAGTGGCGTGATCTCGGCTCACTGCAACCTCTCCCTCCTGGGTTCAAACTATTCTCATGCCTCAGTCTCCCGAGTAGCTGGGATTACAGGCACCCATCACCACATCCGACCTTTTTTTCTTTCTGTTGGTGTCCCCTTCCAGGATGGGACCTGTTTAATAAATTGTTGATTCTCCCAGGTTTTCTTTTAAGGGCTTTTTTGTTTATATTTTACAATTAGGCCTACAATCCATCTGGAATTGATTTTTGAATATAGTGTTGTAAGTATAAAGGTCTCTTTTTTGCCATATGGATATTCAGTTGACTCGAATACCCTTTATTGAAAAGACCATCTTTTCATTACTGCTTCGTCTTTTCATTACTGTTACTGTTTTTGGAATTCTGGGGATCATACATAGATCCACCTATTTCTAGACTTTTTAATTTTGTTCTGTTTATTTGCTTATCCTGTTCCAATAACTTTAAATCTCAGTATTTAAAGTCAGTTAGCAAAGAAGAGAGAGAGAGAGAGAGAGAAGAGGAGAGAAGAGAGAAGAGAGAATACAATCCCACATGTTAGAAAACTAAGAAAGGACAGCATGAAGGAAGGAGGAAAAGGGAAGAAGGTACAGTCATGTGTTGCTTACCAACAAAGGGGATACTTTCTGAGAAATGCATCGTTAGGTGATTTTTTTGTGTCAGTTGTCATAAAGTGTACTTACACAAACCTAGATGGTAGAGCCTACTACCCACATAGGCTGTATAGTACAGCCTTTTGCTTCTAGCTTACAAACGTGTACAGCATGTTACCCCACAGAATGTTGTAGGCAGTTGTAACACAATGGTAGGTATTTGTATATCTAAACTTCAGAAGGGTACAGTAAAAATACAGTATAGGCTGGGCATGGTGGCTCATGCCTGTAATCCTAGCACTTTGGGAGGCTGAGGTGGGCGGATTGCCTGAGCTCAGGAGTTCAAGACCAGCCTGGGCAACGAAAGTTTCCCAAGAGATGGGAGTGAAACTCCATCTCTATTAAAGATACAAAAAAAAAAAAAAAAAAAAAAAAATTAACTGTGTGTGTGGTGGCAGGCGCCTGTAGTCCCAGCTACTTGGGATGCTAAGCCATGAGAATTGCTTGAACCTGGGAGGTGGAGGTTGCAGTGAGCCGCAATTATGCCACTGCACTCCAGCCTGGGCAACAGAGTGAGACTCTGTCTCAAAACAAACAAACAAAAAATGGTATAAAGGATACATATATTAAAAAAGGTACACATGTATAGGGCACTTACCATGAATTGAGCTTGCAGGAATGGAAGTTGTTCTAGTGTGAGTCAGTGAGTGAGCAGTAAATGAATGTGAAGGCGTAGGATTTTACTATATACTACTGTAGACTTTATAAACATTGTACACTTAGGCCACACTAAATTTATAAAAAGAACTTTTCTTCAATAATAAATTGACCCCCCTCCAAGAAAATTGACCTTAGCTTATTGCAATATTTTAACTTTTTAAACTTTTAAATTTTTTTTTTAAAAATTGGCCGGGTACAGTGGCTCACGCCTATAAATCCCAGCACTTTGGGAGGCTGAGGGTGGGCGGATCACGAGGTCAGGAGATGGAGACCATCCTGGCTAACACGGTGAAACCCCGTCACTACTAAAAATACAAAAATTAGCCGGGTGTGGTGGAGTGCGCCTGTAGTCCCAGCTACTCGGGAGGCTGAGGCAGGAGAATGGCGTGAACCCAGGAGGCCGAGCTGGCAGTGAGCTCAGATCGCGCCACTGCACTCTAGCCTGGGCGACAGAGCAAGACTCTGTCTCAAAAGAAAAAAAATTGACACTTGTAATAACAGCTTAAAATAAAAATATATTGTATAGCTATATAACATATATATATATATATATGAGATGGAGTCTCACTCTGTTGTCCAGGCTGGAGTGCAGTGGTGTGATCTGGGCTCACTGCAACCTCCGACTCCCAAGTTCAAGCGATTCTCCTGCCTCAGCCTCTGAAGTAGCTGGGACTACAGGTGCCTGCCACCACGCCCAGCTATTTTTTTGTATTTTTAGTAGAGACAGGGTTTCACCATGTTGACCAAGGCTGGTTTCAAACTCCTTACCTCAAGTAATCTTCCTGCTTCGGCCTCCCAAAGTGCTGGGAATACAGGCATGAGCCACCGCTCCTGGCCCAAAAATATTTTTTATACCCTTATTCTATAAACTTTTTTCAACTTTTAAAATTTCTAATTTTTTTTTACTTTTTTATTTTTTATTTTTATTTTTGAGAGTCTCACTCTGTTGCCCAGGCTGGAGTGCAATGGTGTGATCTCAGCTCACTGCAACCTCCACTTCCCAAGTTCAAGTGATTCTCCTGCCTCAACCTCCCGAGTAGTTGCGATTACAGGCATGCACCACCTTTCTACTAAAGAGTACACTGTAAAATAATGATAAAAAGTAAATACATGAACCAACAACAGTAATTTATTATAATTATCAAGTATTTTGTACTGTACATAATTGTATGTGCTATAATTTTTTTTTTTTTTTTTGAGACGGAGTCTCGCTCTGTCACCAGACTGGAGTGCAGTGGCACGATCTTGGCTCACTGCAACCTCTGCCTTCAGGATTCAAGAGATTCTCCGGCCTCAGCCTCCTGAGTAGCTGGGACTACAGGCACGTGCCACCATGCCCTGCTAATTTTTTTGTGTTTTTAGTAGAGATGGGGTTTCACCATGTTGGCCAGGATGGTCTCAATCTCCTGACCTCGTGATCCGCCTGCCTTGGCCTCCCAAAGTGCTAGAATTACAGGCATGAGCCACCATGCCCGGCCTTATGTGCTATAATTTTATAAAACTGGCAGCACAGTGGCTTTGTTTACACCAGTATCACAACAAATACATGAGTGATGCTTTTGCACTATGACATTGACAGCTACAAAGTGAGGAGGTGATTGGAATTTTTCAGCTTCATTATAATCTTTGGGACCATCATTGTGTATGTGGTTTGACTGGAATATTGTTAATGCTATGCATGACTGTATATCCAGAAAGAGTGGTCAGTTATGTCAATGTTGCTGCAAGGTCAAGCAAGATAGACTGACAAACATCCATTGGACTTAGCTCAGGGCGTCTATTATAATCTTGGAGAAACAATTTCTGTGGAAGGGCGGGGTGTGTGTCTGTTACTTCATGATGGTAATCAAATAGTCTGCATACTACTGAACATCATAAAAGCCAAAATGGTTTTCTATTTTATACCACTCCCCTTCCCATCCTTGCAGCTAAGGGAAAATTAATTGCTCTTCTAAATGAATTTAATACTTAACTTGAACCTGGCTGTTTTAAGTAATAGAAAAACTATGCTTTATTCATCCATCCATTTATCCGTATATTTAGCAAGCATGTATAGTGCACCTACCAACTACCCAGGACATATAAGCATTGTGCTAGGGATGTAAGTAGGGAAGGAAAAGAAGGAAGGAAGCTCAAAATGATGTATTTGACCCATGTACAGTTGTCCTTTCTTATCTGTGGGTTCCATATCCACATATTCTTTGATTCAACCAACCACAGATCAAAAATATTTGGAAAAAAAAGTGAATGCTTGCATTTGTACTGAACACGTACAAACTTTTTTTGTCATTATTCCCTAAACAATATAGTATAACAACTATTTACATAACACTTACATTGTATTAGGTATTATAAGTAACCTAGAGATGATTTAAAGTATACAGGAGGATGTGCATAGGTTGTATGCAAATACTATGCCATTTTACATAAGGAACTTACTTGAGCATCCATGGATTTTGATATTTGGTGGGGTAGGGGGTTTGGAACTACGCCCACAAGATACCGAGGAATAACTATGTATCTCAGTGAGTTAATTCTGTGAAGTATTTTTATAGCCTTTAATGGCTACTCCAAAGGGGTTTATGCTGTGAGGCAGAGGTTGCAGTGAGCCAAGATCACACCACTGCACTCCAGCCTAGATGACAGAGCAAGACTCTGTCTCAAAGAAAAACAAAAACAAAAACAAAACAAAGGATGGGGGGCAGTGGTTTAAGGTGAAGTTCTGTGATCTCAAGATAAAATTTCAGAAAGTGCCTCTTTTTTGGCTAGGTGCGTTGGCTCACACCTGTAATCCCAGCCTTTGGGAAGCTGAGGCAGGTGGATCTCTTGAGGTCAAGAGTTCGAGACCAGCCTGGTGAACAAGGTGAAACCCCGTCTCTACTTAAAATATAAAAATTAGCCTGTAATCCCAGAACTTTGGGAGGCCAAGGTGGGTGGATCACCTGAGGTCGGGAGCTCGACACCAGCCTGACCAACACGGAGAAACCCCATCTCTACTAAAAATACAAAATTAGCTGGGCATGGTGGCACATGCCTGTAATCCCAGCTACTCGGGAGGCTGAGGCAGGAGAATCGCTTGACCTGGGGAGGCAAAGGTCATGGTGAGCTGAGATCGCGCCACTGCACTCCAGCCTGGGCAACAAGAGTGAAACTCCATCTCAAAACAAATAATAAAATAAAATAAAATAAAATAATTAGGCTTGGTGGTGCGTGCCTGTAGTCCCAACTACTCAAGATGCTGAGGCAGGAGAATTGCTTGAACCTGGGAGGTGGAGGTTGCAGTTAGCTGAGGTTGTGCCACTGCACTCCAGCTTGGGCGACACAGCAAGACTCTGTCTCAGAAAAAACAATAAAAAAATAAAGAAGGTACCTCTTTTATGGTTAAGTAAAAAAACAACATTTCAGTAGAGAAGGGCTTTGTTCTTGTGGAGGGTTCTCTGATAATTTTTTCTTTTCTTCGTCTGTATTTATACCTTGGTGCTTATGTTCGAGTCATTTTCTTTTTAGATTTGAGGCTCATTTTAGGGGAAAAAAAGCAGAGATTAGTGTGTTTTTCAATACAATACAATCCCATTAAGTATGGGCAGTGTTAATTATGGTTTAACAAGGGTTAGAGCCAAAGTTTATTTTTGTCCATTGTGCATATTAATAGACCTGCACTTGGAGTTAGGTGGATTAACAAATGCCCAGAGAAACCATTTCAAGTCATAACTTTGAAAGGAATAACTTAAAAATTTCTATGTTACTGATTACAAGTTGACATCCTAGGCCGGGCGTGGTGGCTTATGCCTGTAATCCCAGCACTTTGGGAGGCCGAGGCGGGTGGATCATGAGGTAAGGAGATCAAGACACTCCTGGCTGACACGGTGAAACCCCGTCTCTACTAAAAGTACAAAAAATTAGCTGGGCGTGGTGGTGGGTGCCTGAAACCCCAGCTACTTGGGAGGCTGAGGCAGGAGAATCGCTTGGACCCAGGAGGCGGAGGTTGCAGTGAGCCCGAGATTGTGCCACTGCACTCCAGCCTGGGCAACAGAGTGAGACTCTGTCTCAAAAAAAAAAAAAAGTTGACATCCTAATTTCAAATAATTTAAAAAATCTATTTCTTAAAGCTGTAAGGATGTTATGAAGGATTATTTTACTTTGGAGTACTTGAAAATCCATTTCTTAAAGCTATAAGGACGTTATGAAGGGTATTTTTATTTTATTTTATTTTTTTGTTTTTCGTTTTTTTTTTTGTTTTTGAGACGGAGTCTCGCTCTGTCTCCCAGGCTGGAGTGCAGTGGCGCGATCTTGGCTCACTGCAAGCTCCGCCTCCCGGGTTCACGCCATTTTCCTGCCTCAGCCTCCCGAGTAGCCAGGACTACAGGCGCCTGCCACCATGCCCGACTAATTTTTGTATTTTTAGTAGAGACGGGGTTTCACCGTGTTAGCCAGGATGGTCTTGATCTGCTGACCTCGTGATCCGCCTGCCTTGGCCTCCCAAAGTGCTGGGATTACAGGCTTGAGCCACCGCGCCTGGCCTATTTTATTTATTTTTGAGATGGAGTCTTGCTCTGTCTCCCAGGCTGGAGTGCAATGGTGCGGTCTTGGCTCACTGCAACCCCCACCTCCCAGGTTCTAGTGATTCTCCTGCCTCAGCCTCCTGAGTAGATGGGATTACAGGCGCCTGCCACCACATCTGGCTAATTTTTTATAGTTTTAGTAGAGACGAGGTTTCACCGTGTTGGTCAGGCTGGTTTCAAACTCCTGAACTCAGGTGATCCAGCCGCCTCGGCCTCCCAAAATGCTGGGATTACAGGCATGAGCCACCGTGCCCGGCTATTTTATTTTAGTTAGAATACTTGAAAATGTGGCAAAAGTTTGGTAGGTTAGCAAAGTCTTCAGGAATAACATTAACCTTGGGTTGATCCTTGCAAATTTTGGAATCCAAATAGTGACCACAGCACCTTGGCAAAAGTGGAGCTTTCTTTAGGAGGCTAGAGGAAGAGAAAAAATGGGAAATATAAGCTAAGGTCACATTACAGTAGGAATAAGTAAACATTTAGTTGTTTTACGTAGATCTTTTGGTGGATTCATTCAAACTGATTCTTTTCTTGCAGACTTAGGCTAGAATCTTAGGGGGTCAAAAAATAGATTCTTGGCCAGGCACGGTGGCTCATGTCTGTAATCCCATCACTTTGGGAGGCCGAGGTGGGCAAATCACGAGGTCAGGAGTTTGAGACCAGCCTGACCACTGTTGTGAAACCTTGTCTCTACTAAAAATACAAAAATTAGCTGGGCATGGTGGCATGCGCCTGTAATCCCAGCTACTCAAGAGGCTGAGGTAGGAGAATCACTTGAACCTGGGAGGTGGAGGTTGCAGTGAGCCGAGATCACACCACTGCACTCCAGCCTGGGTGACAGAGCGAGACTCAGTCTCAAAAAAAAAAAAAAAAAAAAAAGACTCTTTTCTTAGGTTTTTGTTTGTTTTAAGAAATAACTAGAAACAAAGATTACAGTATGCTGCAAATCAGTGGTTTCTGGTAATACTTCAGTTCTGATTGGTGAAGAAGGGAAATAGAAAATTAAGACAATTTTAAATGATGACATTTTCAGTTACAAGTTCAATCAGCATAGTCATCAACTGACATTTATTGCTAACCCCTTGGGTGAGTAGCACTGAACCAAATCCCACAAGAAATATCTTCTGCCTACGTGAACAAACCGGTTCTTGAACTATTGCTTTCAGAAGCTATAGATAATAGCAGTTGATTTTAATATGTTGTGAGATTCCAGCCTTGGAATCATGAGGTTAAAATAGGAAAAACCATACCAAAAAACAGTTTTTAATAGAAACTTGGCCAGGTGCGGTGGCTCATGCCTGTAATCCCAGTACTTTGGGAGGCAGAGGCGGGCGGATCACGAGGTCAGGAGATCGAGACCATCCTGGCTAACACAGTGAAAACCCTTTTCTACTAAAAATACAAAAAATGAGCCGGGCGTGGTGGCATGCCCCTGTAGTCCCAGCTACTTGGGAGGCTGAGGCAGGAGAATCGCTTGAACCCAGGAGGCAGAGGTTGCAATGAGCTGAGATCGCACCACTGTACTCCAGCCTAGGCAACAGAGAGAGACTCCATCTCAAAAAAAAAGAAAACTGTATCTACTGTTTGTCTTAAAGAAAGAAGTCATTGTCTTATGCAATGTAACACTAAACATGTACAATTGTTATTATTATTAGTTTTTTTTTTTGAGACAGGGTCTTACTCTGTCACCCAGGCTGGAGTGCAGTGGCCTAATCTCAGCTCACTGCAACCTCTACCTCCCAGGTTCAAGCGATTCTCCTGCCTCAGCCTCCCGAGTAGCTGGGATTACAGGCTCCTGCCACCATGCTCAGCTAATTTTTGTATTTTTAGTAGAGATGGGGTTTCACCATGTGGGCCAGGCTGGTCTCGAACTCCTGACCTCAGGTGATCTGCCCTCCTCGGCCTCCCAAAGCGCTGGGATTACAGGCATGAGCCACCCTGCCCGGCAACATATACAATTGTTTTTAAATAATTCACCAAATATTATTTTAGTATAAGAGTTGAATTTTATTTGAGTAATCCTTTGTATGAATAATGCAAGGTGAACTTTTATTTTGACAAGTAAAAATAAGGAGGTGAGTTGGTTCAGAGCTTATCAGGTACAATCTTAAAATAAGTGATTTGTTCCTGCATTGAAAACTAAAATACAAGAAATCTGGTGGATGTCAAAAATTTATGACTAAAATCTATTTTTACCTGACCTCTAAGGTTGATATCACATTTAACATTAAGGTGTTTTTTATTCTAAACTAAAAGTGATTCTTTTATGCCATCTCTGCTGAAAAATTTAAAAAATTATTTAAGTGTTTAAGTATGGTCAGATTTTAAGTATCTAACATTCTCCAGTAGTTCCCCCTCCCTTGCCTATTCCTCTCCACCCCAGTCTCTTTCTAGTAGGATTCCTATTGCTAGCTACCCAGTCATTACCATTCTAACCATTTAAGGTAGCTCTGCTTGGTTTATTTATTCTGAATACTACAATTCAGTTTCCCTTTATCCTGGCTTCCTATGGCAAGTTGACAAACCAGTTTATTTTTTTCCCTTTTATTTCAACAACTCGTGATTTAGATTGGTTAGGAGGATATAATGTAATCAGGACACAACCTTTTCCCCTCAGAATCTGTATTTGTGAGACTTCCTCCTTTCCCGGCTGAACGTGCTGAAGTCAGATCGAGTACCTTGTGAAGGACTTCAGCCCCCACAGTTCCCTGTGTGCGCATGCCCTCTCATCTTACAGTTGTCAAAGTGCTTTTGCCAGAGCGGTCACATAATCAACCTGAAAGAAGAAAATAAATACTGTATACTTTTAAATTTTATCGATTCTTAAAAACTGGACACTCAAAGGTAACTGCTACTAAGATTTTGTTACTTGAAATTGGGTTATTGCATGTAAAAGAATATCTATTGTGTGTGGTGGGGGAGGGGAAGGAGGTATCTATTTCTCACTTTGCTGTAAATAAGCAAAAACAAAAACAAAAACAAAAAACCCAAAAAAACAAAAAACAACCCCAAGAACACAAAACAAACTATACAGGCAGTTGCTGAGAGACGTTGAATACTACCTTTGCAAATTTTATGTTAATCTATTGCTTACCTTTTGTTTGAAAAGGTCTTATTTATTAAAGGTGGGTCTTGACCTTGACAGAGTGAATTTATGCAGAAAGCAAAATTTATATTTTTAAGGAGTGTTGAGAAGAGAAATGGGTGTTCCTGGTATAAAATTTTTAAAATTCAATGAATATGTTAACATTGATTACAGCTACTATAAAATGTTCTGAGTCCAGCTTACTTTTTGGCTTTTTTGCTGAGGTACAGCATTAATTTTTCCATGAAGAGCATGTAGTTTAAACTGAAGGCATTAACAGCAAGCATTGATACAAGCAACCGGAAAAGCAGAGTGATATTAAAATTATAATCAAATGCCTATTTCAGCCATGATGATATGGCTATTATAAAGACAATTCTAGCTCACTGGAAGTGACTCAAATCTCAGATTATAATGGTTTACTGCAGCACCGTTTAAACCAAGTATGAAAATGTCTCTTTCTGTGACCATCTTCTGTGGCAGCAATAGAACTTTGTGCTGTCTAAATCAAAGCTTCATTTGCCTCTTTGTATTGTATTTTGCAATACTGATCAAAGCCATTGTTTTAGACCAAGGGAACTGAGGAACATAAAAGCAATCTTAAATAGATTTTATTGGTAGTAGCCGGCAATCTGTGTTGTATATTATATTGAGTTGGGTTTTTTTCCCTGGGGGGGTTGAAGGGAGGAAAGGCAGGGGAATGAGGAATAGAAGGGAGAGCAAGGTGGCTGCGAAGCATTTCCTTTAGCCCACCACTATTTTGTGTATGAAACTTTGAAATAAAAGATACTAATGAACCATTTTAATGATAGTCTCTAATAAAATAATAGAACTACTTTTAATCCCATTTGTCTGATATATTTTGCATAATAGTTAATATTTTCATTTTCTGATATGTTGATTTTAACAATAATTATTATCATGAGGATGTCTAGAGGCAGAGCTTCTGTGTGTATCTGAATGCCTTTTCACAAGTGTCCTGAGAAAGATTCCTCTCCAAGTATCTGGGTTAATTAAGTAACTGCATTAAATTTATTAATAACTTTGTTGCAATTGTACTGAATCATCATCTAAAAATAATTATATGTTTGGTCATATGCCCCTTTAACATTTCAAAATATTTGTTTTTAGGGTCTCAGCACTGTAATATTTATATATTTAAAGCAATTAACATGTTCTAAGGACAAGCTAACTACATGTATGGCAGTCTCCGGGTTTTGAGTGATTAGTAATTTTCATCCTTGAATAAGAAAACAGGCTGTATGGTAGAGGTGAATATAGCCCTTCTCTGTGAGATGGAAAATACCATACACTCCTTATATGGCTAAATGAAGCAGTGATGGCAATGCACTATAATTACAATGTATGAAAATTTGAGACTTTGTACTCCTCTATTTTTAACACTTTTGCTAGCATATGGTAATTCAGGGTCTTCAAACCATAGTGTTTCGCTGCTAATACTAGTGATAAGAGAATGGATTCTAAATTTGCCAAAGTCTTGTGACCAAGACAGCAGCAGGAGGATTCAAAATTGAAAATCTGACAACCCCAGAATTATCTTGACTGTCTACTTAAATCTCTGAGGGTTTTTTTTAAAGCCCCACCCCCACCCTATCTCACAGGCGCTCGCTCGCTCGCGCGCACTCTCTGACCTTAAATCCAACCAGAAGCATTTCTCCACTCTGCAGAGAAATTCTTAGGCTCCTGTTGAGACCTGAAGCACTGCGATGCCAAGAAATCTCTTGTGCGGCAGAATTGGAGACAAGAAAATTGGGGAATAAGCAGAAAAACCATAATCCTTAGAGTAACAAGAAGCAAGCACTTCCAAACGTTTCAGTAGGTTTTTACTTCTTTAAAAACGTTTTTTTTAAAATTAACTGTCTCCTAACAAAATGGAGTAGCTGCAGCTACTGGGAGGCCAGAGAATGATTGTGCAGCTGAGTCCTTCTAACAAATGCCAAGGATTCCTCCCTCGTGGTTCGCTGCAGCTAAATGAAACAATTACCAACGCAAGAAGGCAGTTTGCTAATCAAGAGGGCTAATACTGGTTTTTTTGTTTTGTTTTTTTAAAAAGTGTTCGAGCTGGGGAAGGGAGAAGAAAGGGTCGTGTGTGCGGTGTCTTTTTAACCTTGCTGAAGGACGCAGCAGTATTTATTGACGTATGCAAATAAGTGGGGGAGGGTGGTGCTTGGGAAAAAACAGGAACCAGAATCAGTTTCTCATTGCAGGGCGAACGCTCTGAGTTCCGGTGAAGGGAAAAGAGACGTGGCGAAATTGCTGTCTTTTCTGTCTTATAAGCACATCTCTCACTAATACAGAAAAGGAACCAAGACATCTGAAAGGTTGAAGACGCTCTCACAGTATTTTTAGAGACCTTGCTCGACACCTTCCCTATTCCCCACCCAACAGCCTGACCTGTTCTTCTAAATGGGAGATTATGGATTTGCATTGCAATTGGCTAGTAGCGGTGGCGATGGATTTTCGCAAGTGAAACACCCGCCCGCTTCAGCGAGGGACATTCATGATCACATTGACAATAACGCGTCTCTCTTTTTTCCCGTTTCAGCTGCGCAAACCATGCAGGATGATTTACTGATGGACAAAAGCAAAACCCAGCCCCAGCCCCAGCAGCAGCAGCGGCAGCAGCAGCAGCCCCAACCTGAGTCCAGCGTATCCGAAGCCCCGTCCACGCCCCTCTCCTCAGAGACCCCCAAGCCGGAGGAAAACAGCGCAGTGCCGGCCCTCAGCCCAGCCGCTGCCCCCCCGGCCCCCAACGGCCCGGACAAGATGCAGATGGAATCACCGCTCCTGCCAGGCTTGAGTTTCCATCAGCCTCCTCAGCAGCCGCCGCCGCCTCAGGAGCCCGCGGCACCGGGCGCGTCGCTGTCGCCGTCCTTCGGCAGCACCTGGTCCACGGGCACCACCAACGCGGTAGAGGACAGCTTCTTCCAGGGGATCACCCCAGTCAACGGGACCATGCTCTTCCAGAACTTCCCGCACCATGTCAACCCAGTCTTCGGAGGCACTTTCTCCCCGCAGATCGGCCTGGCGCAGACCCAGCACCACCAGCAGCCGCCGCCGCCTGCGCCCGCGCCGCAGCCGGCACAGCCAGCGCAGCCACCACAGGCGCAGCCCCCGCAGCAGCGCCGCTCACCCGCCAGCCCCAGCCAGGCGCCCTACGCGCAGAGGAGCGCCGCCGCGGCGTACGGCCACCAGCCCATCATGACCAGCAAGCCGTCCTCGTCTTCGGCGGTTGCAGCCGCTGCTGCCGCAGCCGCCGCCTCGTCGGCCTCGTCCAGCTGGAACACGCACCAAAGCGTGAATGCAGCCTGGAGCGCACCGTCCAACCCCTGGGGCGGCCTGCAGGCGGGCCGGGACCCTCGCCGGGCGGTCGGTGTGGGCGTGGGTGTGGGTGTCGGGGTGCCTTCCCCGCTCAACCCCATCTCGCCGCTCAAAAAGCCCTTCTCCAGCAACGTGATCGCGCCGCCCAAGTTCCCTCGCGCGGCCCCTCTCACTTCCAAGTCCTGGATGGAGGATAACGCTTTCCGGACCGATAATGGTAACAATCTGTTGCCATTTCAGGTAATACTCTGCTGCACCTACACACTCCTTCCCTCTGCCCCGCTCCTTTTGCCACTTCTCTGACTTTTAATCATCCACCCGCTTATATTTAAAAAGGGCAGCAATGTCCAGCTCCTCTTTCCCCTTCCGAAGCCTCCAGTTCTTTAGGGCTGTTCCATTATCAGAGGATGAGGTTGGGAGAACATTGTGATTACTGGAGGAATCGTATTCGTCCCTTCAGGGTAGAAGAAGCCTTTTTCTTTTAGTTTATTTTCTCCTTCATGGTGTTTGTACCTCTTATTTTGACTTCCTTTGACAAGTAAAGCTGCAAGTGTGTGGCAAGGTGCCGGCATAGTCCCAGGATGAGTAGGCTGAGATTCCTATCATTTTGAGTAGCTACACATTTCAGGTTATGCAATCCTGAGCTCAGGGTGCCGCCTGCAAGCGGTCCACACCCAAACCACCCTGACTTTACTCTTAAAGAGGTTAACAACCCTTGAGTGGTGCTATTTCAGACGGTTGCGTATGCTCAGTTAAACTAATGTGAACACATGTGTTTATGTCTCGCTAAGGTGCTAGAATCATTAATAACAATCAGCATATTGCCCCTGCTGGGAAAATTATGAGTGTGAGATCCTAATAAACACTCACTACTGTGTAAGGGAAGGAGGTGGAAGAGTGGAAATTCTAAGGGCAACCCTCTCCATGTTACCTAGAAGAAGGATTTTTTTTTTTTTTTTCGGAGGTAAGAGACAATAGGACGTGACCTTCAGAGCCATATTGCAATGGAGTCTATTTGCTAGCTAGCACTGAAATATTTAAAGCTGCAGTGTCCTTCATCAGTTGGGTTAAGAAAATACAGATCAATTACATCATTTGAAACTGGGCAAAGTGAAAGTCTTGCAACTTTAATGAAAAATGAGTCCTGTGTCTTGGTGTTAAATGCCAATGAAAAACTCAGGATGTGCCCCAGACAAAAAGGTTGAAATGAAGAGTGTCCTTATTTCTGTTCTTGCTTTCTGATCTAGTCCACAGCCATAGCAATTGGCAGTGTCCTGGGCATCTTGGGTTGGAAAGGCGTAGTGCGGGTGTGTGTTCACAGGCGGCTTTTGCTCCCAGGCAAACACTTATCCTTCACTTAGAAGTTGATTTGGCTGTAAGCTTCTAGGCTCAGTTAAAGAAAAAGGGGAGAGGGGAAGGCCTCCAACAAGACCCAATTTGGATGGTCAAGGAAATGAAGCAGAAATCCTTTGAGGAGTGCTTGGTAGAGCTGACAGTTTGAGAGAGGTATAGTGTCAGGTGCAGATGCAGTCTTCATCTCTTTACATTACAGATGTTTGGAGTGGCTCCCATTCATGAAGGAAGAGATGAGGTTATTGAGAAGGACATGACTCTCTAGGCTAGAGTAATGATTTTTAACTTTGATGACAGAGGATCTTCACAAGGAATTTTCACAAGGATCCTTCAGGAATGGACGATTTCAATATTAAGTTATATTTTTTTCCCATTCTAAAGTTTGTTTATTTTAATAAAATGAGATGTTGCAAGGTGGGATTCATTTCATAGAGAAAAGGAGGAATTTGCTTTCTGGAATTTATGTGCTTATTTTTGGAGGGGGTAGAGCAGGGAGGCTGCATTTGGTAGGAAAGGCCCTCTTTTTCTAACATTCCCTCTCTTTATTCTCATGCTCCGTACCTGAGTTCAGTCTTAGAGGATAACCTAAAATCTTATAGGGAGTTTTGGGAGCTGATAATATAGACAGATCTTGTTATCTTTTTCTGGGAGTTGACTCTGAATACAACTAGCTATTGGTGAATTATCTCCTGGCATGGGGATTAGGGAGAGATTAAATCCACATAGTTTCGTCAAACCTGATATTGACGAGGAGTATAGGGATTGCCAGTTGTTACACAGCAAACCATTCACCAATGATGCTAATAAGAGCCAAATGGACTGGATTCAGTATAGTCTCATCTTTCCATCCCTGGTGATGCTATTGGATAGGCAAAAATGGCCAAAAGATTTGTAGGAGGACAGATTTGATTGAAAATTGAGCATTATTTATTTGGCCTTGGGAAGAATTACATATACATTATGTCTCATTTCTTTTTCATAAAACAGAGCTTAGGGTTTTGGAGCAATTTTAGGATCAGAGGAGGAAGTTGGTTGTGCTTTGGCTGGGATATTAGACTTGATTTCTGTTGATAACCGTACCAAGTTTGTGTTAGAAACAAAGAACACCTGAGTCTTGTGTGCAGAATTTTGTGTATGTGCATTTATTGAAATAATTTTTCTAAAAAAGGAAGAAAATATCTTAAGTGGTTTCGATGATTTTTTCAAAATATTTATTCTGGCAAATGTGATTTTATTTAAATCAGAGTTTATTTTATAGAATAGCAACTTTATTTTTTATTTAACAGATTTTTGAGCTATTAATAAAAGAGTCTTTCTGCAGTGATCTACTCTAATGTATGTTAAAATTTTTAAAGAAACCCATTCTACCCTGCACTGCTTCTTTTTTGCCAGTTTCTGCCAACACAATAGATTTTGAGTAGCTTTACTTACATGGCTTATATTGCAAAAGCAATCACTGTATTTTATGTGTGTGTGTGTGTGTGTGACAATGTTTCACTTTTGTTGCTCAGGGTGGAGTGCAGTGGCATGATCTCGGCTCACTGCAACCTCTGCCTCCCGGTTTCAAGCAATTCTCCTGCCTCAGCCTCCCGAGTAGCTGGGATTACAGGCGTCCGCCACCACGCCCGGCTAATTTTTTATATTTTTAGTAGAAGCAGGGTTTCACCATATTGACCAGGCTGGTCTTGAACTCCTGACCTCAGGTGATCCACCTGCCTCGGCCTCCCAAAGTGCTGGGATTACAGGCATGAGCCACCATGCCCGGCCTAGCAATCACTGTATTTGAATGTTGTTTTACAAACTATAATACTTCTTTATTCTAATAAAGTTTATTGGTTTCTCTGGGTTTTGGTGGCTGCTTTCTTAGGGATTACTTTTATCTAAAAGTCACTTCATTTCTATAAATAGGGAGACTGAGATCCTGAGAGGTAGAGTGACTGAACTCAGGTCCTACAGTTCTAGCTAATTTTGTTGTATGTGTCCTTAACGTCCATGTAGTGCAGGTGCTGTCAGGTAGAATTCATTTTAAGTAAGATTCTCTTTGGACTCCATTCAGAGGGACTTAGTGAAGTTTTCTATTAGGCTAATGCATCTTGGTGATGTACCTCTCAGCAACAGAGCTCAAGAACAGAGAGGCACTCCACTGGGGGGAATTATATATGTGAATCTTTCTATATTTCTACAAGTCAAGGAAGCCTAGATATGTATTAGTTTGGTGCATAAGTAATTGTGGGTTTTACCATTATGGCAAAAAAGTAATGGCAAAACCCACAAATTACTTATGCATCAATTTAATAAAAGGACTAGAGCTATTTTCTTTATGTTGTAAATTTGGGTTTAAATAGCATTGCTGTCAAGAAAAGTTTAGGAGGGACTTTTGAGAGCACCTATTCTAGACTACTATGCTCATTTTACAGAGGATAAAATCAAAGTCCCAACATGTGAGGTGACGTACCCAGGTTCAGGTTGATAATTTCTGTCATAAGCAAGCTTTGACAGCAGATTGCCTGGATTTAAGTCTCCACTTTGCAAGTTATTGGCTTTGTAATCATAAACAAATTATATAAACGTGCTGGTTCTCAATTTCTTCACCTGTAAAATGGGAATAATATTAGTTTTTGGCCTTGTATGAGTTAAAATGTGAAACTAAATATAAAGTGCGTAGCACAGTGCCTGGCCCATAGTAAAGTATCCCATAAACGTAGGGTTATGATTATTCTTACTGTAATGGTGACCATAGGCTTTGCATGATCTTGTCATAATACGGATTACTGATTTTTTTTTTTTTGAGACAATGTCTCACCCTGTCACCCAGGCTGGAGTGCAGTGTGTTATGTTGGCTCACTGCAGCCTCCACCTCCCGGGTTCAAGTGATTCTCCTGCCTCAGCTTCCCAAGTAGCTGGAATTACAGGTGCCCGCCACCACACCTGGCTAATTTTTGTATTTTTAGTAGAGATGGAATTTCGCCCTATTAGTCAGGCTGGTCTTGAACTCCTGACCTCAAGTGATCTGCCTGCCTTGGCCTACCAAAGTGAATTGCCGATTTTTCATACAGTGCATTCTAAATATCCCCAAACTTCAGTGTAATGCCATTTGTTCTTTTTTCCTGTCTGATGGTACCTTCATGATCAGAGCCTTTGACCATTGTAGTAATGTGAGGATCCAGCATTTACCTATGGGCCAGGCCCTGTGCCAAGCACTTTACATATAGTTTCTCACTGGAACTCCTTTGAGATAGGAACTCCTTTGACATAGGAGGACTATTGTCATTCTTGCTTATTTTTTTGTTTTGTTTTTGTTTTTTCGGGGGATGGAGTCGTGCTCTGTCGCCCAGATTGGAATGCAGTGGCGTGATCTCGGCTCACTGCAAACTCTGCCTCCCCGGTTCAAGAGATTCTCCTGCCTCAGCCTCGTGAGTAGCTGGGATTACAGGTGCGTGCTACCATGCCCAGCTAATTTTTATATTTTTAGTAGAGACGGGGTTTACCATATTGGTCAGGCTGGTCTTGAACTCTTGACCTCGTGATCTGCCACCTCGCCCTCCCAAAGTGCTGGGATTACAGGCATGAGCCACTGTGCCCGGCCTATTATCCTTGTTATATTGACAAATAAATTGAGGTTCAGTGCATTTACACTGTTTGCTTAAGATCACAGCCAGTAATTGGCAAAGTTGCCTCCAGAGCCCATGGCTCCTACTCCCTTGACTATTCTGTCTCTAGGACATCGCTTAATAGTGCAGTGTAGATGTAAGAAGCTGGACTGAATCTGTACTTGACCCTATGAGATACCCTGGAAGCTGTGTTTTTAAAAAATTTTGTATTTGTAGAAATGCAGAAAGAAAAAAATACAGTGACTGTAAGTATGCCACCATGAAGATTCATCGGTTATAATTTTTTCTGTTTTTTACTTTACATATTTTACTTTACATATTTTTTAATATTATGAAATCAAAGTCCCAAAATAGGAAGTGACTTACCCAGGTTCTGGTTGATAATTTGTCACAGAAGCAGGCTTTAGCAGCAGATTGCCTGGATTCAAATTTAATTTGGAAAAAAAAATCAAATTATTCCATACTTTCTGTCTGTATCTCTGCCTTTATCCTTCTCCTTTTTTTTTTTTTTTTTTTGAGACAAAGTCTCACTCTGTTCCCCAAGCTGGAGTACAGTGGTATGATCTCGGCTTACTGCAACCTCCATCTCTGGGTTCAAGCGATTCTCCTGCCTCAGCCTCCCAAGTAGCTGGGACTACAGGCACGTGCCACCATGCCTGGCTGATTTTTGTATTTTTAATAGAGACGGGGTTTCACTATGTTGGCCAGGCTGGTCCTGAACTCCTGACTTTGGATCTGCCCGCATCTGCCTCCCAAAGTGCTGGGATTACCGGCATGAGCCACCGCACCCTGCGTATCCCTCTCCTTTTCCTTCTATTCCCAAGTTAAAGGTGATTGCAAGGAGTTTTATATTTTATGACATGTCTAGGTAATTATAACTTAGTATTAATTTTGCTGGTGGGTTATCAATAACTGAGGAAGAAGTTTCTTACATGAATTCATGGGAATACAAATGATATTAAAAACAAATATGCCTACTCATAATAAATTTTTAGGAAATACCAATATTTTTCAAGTAGTTTGTGTTCCTTTTCCTTTTTTTTTTCCAAGTAGTTTGTGTTCTGTCCATTTCCTTTTTTTTTTTTTTTTTAAAGACAGAATCTGTCGCCCAAGCTGGAGTGCAGTGGCATGATCTTGGCTCACTGCAACATCTGCCTTCCCTGTTCAAGCAATTCTCATTCCTCAACCTCCCTGGTAGCTGGGATTACAGGTGTGCACCACCATGCCCCACTAGTTTTTGTATTTTTAGTAGAGACAGGGTGACGGGGTTTCACCATGTTGGCTAGGCTAGTTTTGAACTCCTGACCTCGAGTTCTCTGCCAGCCTGGGCCTCCCAAAGTGCTGAGATTAGAGGTGTGAGCCACCGCATCTGGCCCCCACTTTCTTTTTTTTAAGACCATCTTTTCAGGAGGTAATATAAATTGTCTTGTTTGTGCTTGCTTTTGAATAAGGATAGTATGACCTAGATTTAAGACTCTTCTCTAGTTGGTTTCTTAACTACTATTTCAATGCAAAACCACTTTAAGGTCTACTCATCCCCACAAACTGTTTCAGAACCTGTTATGACATGGTTGATATGAATGCCAGCAAAACCACATTATCTATTTTCTATTTAAAAGAGGGATTGGTTAGGAAATATTAGGTTTTTGTGCTACTAGAAACGTTAATATAAAACTATATACTTCAAAATTGCATGTTGAAAAGTGGTTAGCCTTGTTTAAACTCTTTATGACCTTGTCGTGAGTTAGTACAAAAGAACCCTCTTAGAAATGTAATTTAGATATCCTCTGACAAAGAAACAAATTTCTACTTACATAGCTTTCTCTATTGGTTAGCCAATTTGATGTATTTTTTTTTTTTTTTTGAGATGGAGTTTCCCACTGTCACCCAGGCTGGAATGCAGTGGCACGGTCTCTGCTCACTGCAACCTCTGCCTCCCGGGTTCAAGTGATTCTCCTGCCTCAGCTTCCCGAGTAGCTGGGATTACAGGCGCCTGCCACCATGCCCGGCTAATTTTTTGTATTTTTGGTAGAGACGGGGTTTCACTATGTTGGCCAGGCTGGTCCTGAACTCCTGACCTTGTGATCCACCTGCCTCAGCCTTCCAAAGTGCTGGGATTACAGGTGTGAGCCACCATGTCTGGCCCAATTTGATGTATTTCAAGGGCTGTATAAGGTGTAATGCCATCCAGTTGGAACTGGTTTTCATTGCTAAGTTGATTTTTTATAGTGTTTTGATCTGCAGGTATCAAAAGATTATGCTTTGTTGCTCAGGCACGGTGGCTCACGCCTGTAATCCCAGCACTTTGGGAGGCCGAGGTGGGTGTATCACCTGAGGTCAGGAGTTCGAGACCAACCTGGCCAACATGGTGAAACCCTGTCTCTACTAAAAAACTACAAATATTAGCTGGGTGTGGTGGTGGGTGCCTGTAATCCCAGCTACTCGGGAGGTTGAGGCAGGAAAATTGCTTGAGCCTGGGAGCTGGAGGTTGCAGTGAGCTGAGATCATGCTATTGCCCTCCAGCCTGGATGACAAGAGTGAAACTCCCTCTCAAAAAAAAAAAAAAAATTATGCTTTGTTTACTGCAATATGAAAAGTTTGAGGCTGGGAGTGGTGGCTCACACCTATAATTCCAGCACTTTGGGAGGCTGAGGCAGATGGATCACCTGAGGTCAGGAGTTCGAGACCAGCCTGGCCAACCTGGTGAAACCCTGTCTCTACTAAAAATACAAAAATTTGCTGGGCGTGGTGGCGGGCTCTTGTAATTGCAGCTACTTGGGAGGCTGAGGCAGGAGAATCACTTGAACCCGGGAGGCGGAGGTTGCAGTGAGCCGAGATCGCGCCATTGCACTCCAGCCTGGGTGACAGAGCAAGACTCTGTCTTAAAAAGAAAAGAAAAGAAAAGAAAAGTTGATTAAGCTGTGTGGGTTTTACTGAGGAAAGAGAATTAGATGGAGGGGAGCATACAGTAGTGGACAACCTATGAAACTTGGAATAAGGAAGACATTGGTTAAAGCCTTGGCTCTGTCACTAGTGATGAGGTCAAGTCACTTATCCAGTGATTCTTTTTCTCAGTCTGCGAAAATGGAGGGATGGAGTGGGAGAGAGAGAGTGGACAGAAGGGAAAAGGAGGAGGTGGGAGGGGAGAGGGAGCCTAGCTTCAGGGTTTGGTTTGTGAGAGAATGTGTACAAAGTGTTCTGAAAATTATATACTGTTAGAGGAATACTGTTGTGGCTTTTGGATGTTTGCCTAACTTCTGTAATTGTAGTCAGAATTAGAGTTTAAAAGAGGAAATATTGTTGATATTCAGTAGTCCAAAGTTAAACACTAGCTGATGGCATGTAGTGGAGGGGGCTAGAAGGAGGCATGGAAGAACATCAAAAGGCACTTTGTATATTAGGGTGACTGCCTATTCTAGAAAGCTAGTCATGGTGGTCCGAAGACTAGGGAGTATATATAGACATGTCACACTAATGGTGGAGATGTGTGACTATCTGCTTGTGCTTATGGCTGACTCACCAATGTAAGTGTAAGGGTTTTCCTGGATCCATGAACATTTTAATTGGTGATGGGAGAAATGCTTAAACTCTTAATTTTCTGACTGCTATAAGGGTTGGGTTGATTTTGTTGGTTCTGGAGATATCAAAGGTCTAATTTGAATCTCCTTACCACCATTTCCCTGTAGGCCATGCCTGACCCTCTTTAGGGGCCAGTGTGGTTGTCAGAGTTAGAATTCAGGATGGAGCCTCAAGTTTTGATCTTGAGAGTTGAGGTAATATAGCCATAACTTATAGGAGGCTTTCCTGGGAAGGTTGCTGTACTTGCAGTAGAAACCAGCTTCACAAGGAATTTTCTACAGCTGGTCCTTATACCTTGTGGGTAGCTGCTCCTGTGAGGGTTCAAATGCTGCATTTCACCTATTATACTTCAGTTCTGCTACATTTAGTTTTCACACCCTTTAGTGTTCTTTGTGGTGCTGGGCATTTAAACTTCTTAATGTGAAACCATTCCAATATTTGCATTTTGTGAACTTGAAATAGGAAAGTACTAGTGAATTAAAGTACTACAGTAACTTAGCATCTTGGAATAAAGCCTACTTTTCTCTCCTAAGAAGCACTATTATATAATTCTCAGAAATAATAAATATTATTATATAAATGCTTGTTGGCAGGCCTCAGAGGAGAGAAACAGAAATGGGCACAAAACAGCCTTTATATTATTTGAAGTGATCATAGAATTAATACACACAAAGGGAAGGAAACATTGTGTACTGATTATGTATGCATAGGACTATTGTGTGGCCAAATAGCTTTATTCCTCAAGCATTCAAACTCATTTCAAGGTCAAGATCAAAAACAAGTAACTCCCTGTCTGCAGTAACTCAGTGCAACTAATTAAATGGTCAATGCCATGAAATAAATCAGTGCCTGGAAGTGCCTGACACTTAGTAGGTATTCATTAAATGAATGAATGAACATTTAAACCAAGTTATAATTTTGTCCTTTATCTTTACATGTGGTATATTTAACATTTTTGTGACGGATTCTCCATTCTAGTATTTCTTTTTTTTTTTTTAGACGGAGTTTCGCTCTCGTTGCCTAGGCTGGAGTGCAATGGTGCGATCTCGGCTCACCGCAACCTCCGCCTCCTGGGTTCAAGCAATTCTCCTGCCTCAGCCTCCCAAGTAGCTGGGATTATAGGCATGCGCCACCATGCCCTGCTAATTTTGTGTTATTTTAGTAGAGATGGGGTTTCTCCATGTTGGTCAGGCTGGTCCCGACCTCTCGACCTCAGGTGATCTCCCTGCCTTGGCCTCCCAAAGTGTTGGGATTATAGGCGTAAGCCACTGCGCCTGGCCCGTTCTAGTATTTCTATACAAGATATCTGTAGAATATGGAAACACAGGTGTATGTACATAATATTATAAAGGACATCTTCAATTTGTAAAAATATAAAATATATGTTTCCCAGACTTTATGGACACCCCATAGTTCTGGCCTGTGACTTCATATGTGTAGATTTGGTATGCCAAGAAGTAAGCAGAGTTCTTGCTTTGACATAAAAGGTTTATGACAGCCAATAAATGGGAACACTAGCTTATATCTTAAGAGTTAGATTTTTCTTTATCGCTTCATCATTGATCAACTCATTCTTTTGGAGTTAATTTATCTTGTTAATGGTGATTTGGTTTGTTTCTGACTTGTCATGTCGAGTTATTAACAATAGAACTGACTAGAATGAGAGTCAGGATAATTTTGACAATAACACTTAGAAATATTAAGGAGAAGGCTGGGTGTGGCTGCTGAAGACTGTATTTGTAGCACTTTGCGGGGCCAAGGTGGGAGGACTGCTTGAGCCCAGGTGTTCGAAACCAGCTTGGGCAACATAGTGAGACCCTGTCTCTATAAAAAAATTAAAAATTTTTTAAAATTAGCTGGGCCTGATGTCATATGCTTGTAGTTCTAGCTACTCAGGAGGCTGAGGCAGGAGGATTGCTTGAGCCCAGGAGTTTGAGGTTATAGTGAGCCATGATTGTGCCACTGCATTCCAGCCTAGGTGACAGAGTGAGACCCTGTCTCTAAAAAAATTAAAATATTTTTTAAAAAATTGGCTGGGTGAGGTGGCTCACGTCTGTAATCCCAGCACTTTGGGAGGCCAAGGTGGGCGGATCACGAGGTCAGGAGTTCAAGACCAGCCTGACCAACATGATGAAACCCCGTCTCTACTAAAAATACAAAAATTAGCCAGGCATGGTGGCATGCACCTGTAATCCCAGCTACTCAGGAGGCTGAGGCAGGAGAATTGCTTGAACCCAGGAGGTGGAGGTTGCAGTGAGCCGAGATTGCACCACTGCACTCCAGCCTGGGCAACAGAGCGAGCCACTGTCTCAAAAAAAAAAAAATGTATATATATATATAAATTCGACAAAGAACAGGTTATATAGTATGCCCATTCAGGTAGTCATTAATTCCAGGCATGTGAGATTAGAAAGCAGAGATATAAAAGGCAAATAATTTTCTACCTTAAAGATGCGGTAGGGTTTTTGAGGGCTGATTAAGGATGGGAGGGAATATTTCAGAGGAAACATCTTAGTGATCTGACAATCGAACCCCCTACTCAAACTCCAGGAGTCGTAGTTCTTAGGTTTCAGATAAGCAGCAACTAAAGGAGACGAGAGGTAAATGTATCTAGAAGCACCTCTCTTTTGCAATCTGGAATGGAAAATTTATTTTCCTTTTTTGGACCAGAGAAATATAACCTAGATAAGCAGAGAATTAAAAATAGTGAAAACCAGTAAAGTTTATGAGTTTATGGAGGAAAGGCTGAGAGATAATGTTTGGATCATTTGTTATAAATCTGTTTCTGTGTTTGCATTTGATTTTGTGGGTAGACTGTTCAACTCTTTGCCACATCATTATTTAAAGCAATTATAGGCTGGGTGCAGTGGCTCACGCATGTAATCTCAGCACTTTGGGAGGCCAAGATGGGCAGATCACCTGAGGTCAGGAGTTTGAGACCAGGCTGGCAAACATGGTGAGAGCCTGTCTCTACTAAAAATACAAAAAATTAGCCAGGTGTGGTGGTGCACGTCTGTAGTCCCAGCTACTCAGAGGCTAAGGCAGGAGAATAGCTTGAATCCGGGAGGTGGAGGTTGCAGTGAGCTAAGATTGCCCCACTGTATCCAGCCTGGGCGACAGAGTGAGATTTCATCTCAAAAAAGAAAAAAATAGGCCGGGCGCGGTGGCTCACGCCTGTAATCCCAGCACTTTGGGAGGCCAAGGCGGGTGGATCACGAGGTCAGGAGATCGAGACCATCCTGGCTAACACAGTGAAACCCCGTCTCTACTAAAAATACAAAAAATTAGCCGGGCGAGGTAGCGGGCACCTGTAGTCCCAGCTACTCGGGAGGCTGAGGCAGGAGAATGGCGTGAACCCCGGGGGGCGGAGCCTGCAGTGAGCCGAGATCGCGCCACTGCACTCCAGCCTGGGCGACAGGGAGACTCCGTCTCAAAAAAAAAAAAAGAAAAAAATAAAATAAGTAAATAAAGATGTTGTAACCAGTAGTAGAATCCTGAGGTCAGATAAACAGTTAAGAAGGTTGGCATTAGGTAGTATTTTTGTTACCCATATAGCTATTAAGGAATTCCCTGATCAAAGGGATGGGATTTACATTGTTAAGTTTCTTTTGGCACCTGTGTTCAAAATCATAATCCATGTGCTCCAGCTTTTGGGTGTTGTATTATTTTGATGTCCTCCTCTAAATAGATACTACTAACACAAATATAGGGGACCAGAATGCCAGCACTGGCATCATACTTTCCACATAAATAATTTTATGTAATCCTTACACGTTCTTGTGAATTAGGGATTATTATCCTATTTGAGACTCAGAGAATATTACCTAACTGGTAGTAAGAACTCTCCTCCGCTCTCCCTACCTCAGACCACAGAGGTAACCAAGAGGGGAGTGCAGTCTCCCTGACCTTTTGTTTTGGAATCTCACAAACACACAGCACTCTAGAGGAGGGGCCTATTAGTTTTCATTTTATAAAAATAGGACAAAGTGCCCATACTGTGCAACAACCTTGCTTTTCAGATGAACAAAGTATTATTTATGCTTCCTTTCTGTGCATATACCATATACAGATTTTGACAAAATTGGGGCTCAGTCAGGAGGCGCTGCAGTTCTGAAGGGGGAGGGGGCGGACATCTGGGTTCGCTCCCCCCTCCCTGTTCCCTCCATCCCTTCCCCTCCTTCCAGGCCCCCACCCCCACAGGCCCCTTCTCCCAGCTCCTGGCCCCTCCTGCAGGTCTCCTCCCTGAGCCCCCACTCTGCCCAGGTCAGCCCTCTCTCTTGCCCCTCCCTCAATATGCCTTTGATGTTCTGTTCTTTCCCCACATCTTCCCTAATTCCTCTTATGCTACATTGTCTTACAGTATTCATCACTCTCTGTAATGAGCTGGTTTATTTTGTTTTGTTCTTCCACAGTAGAATGTAGGCTCCACAAGGGCAAGGACCTTTTCACTGAAGTGTCTCCAGGGGCTGTGATAGTACCAGGGATATTTTGGGCACATGGTAAATATTTTTTGAGTGTGTTTATGATCTACATTTACAAATGACTGATTAGGCATTTATTGGTCATTTACATGTAGCTACCAGTGTGAGTAATTAAAACGTTTAGCTGGTTTCTACCAGGTGTAAGGCTGATAGGAATTAAAGTTGAACCATACATTTCCCGTTTTAGGACAACTCCTTGACAAACATGTATTAAAATATAGAATGATAAGGTCTAAAACAAGAGTGTGTTGTGTGCAACAAAGAAGAGTTTGTACTTGAATCAGACAAAGGAATGATTAAATTTGTGTGTGGTTGGGAAGCCTCTAGGAAAGTCTTCAATAGTTTAAGATATTTTCGGAGTTTTTCCGATTTTGAAAGTAATACCTGTTAACTATTTAAAACTTGAGAGGGAAAAAACACAGATAAAAAACCCCAGTTGCCTGTAATTATTATTATTTTTTTTTTGAGATGGAGCCTCGCTCCGTTGCCCAGGCTGGAGTGCATTGGTGCAATCTCGGCTCACTGCAACCTCCGCCTCCTGGGTTCAAGCAATTCTCCTGCCTCAGCCTCCTGAGTAGCTTGGATTACAGGTGCTTGCCACCACGCCCGGCTAATTTTTGTATTTTCAGTAGGGATTGGATTTCACCATGTAGGTCAGGCTGGTCTCCAACTCCTGACCTCGTGATCTGCCTGCCTCGGCCTCCCAAAGTGCTGGGATTACAGGCGTGAGCCACTGCACCCGGCCAATTGCCCATAATTCTATTAATCAGATTCAAATACTCTTAATGTTTTGGTATATTTTCTGTTAATTATTTCTTTTTTGTGTCTGTGTAATGTAATTTACATAGTGGAGATCATTCTGTTTATGCAGTTTTACAGTTTTATAGCCATATTTTTAACATTTTATATAATTTATAAACATTTTGATGATTGCATAATATTCCATTATGGGAATCCATTATAACAAAATGTTAACAATCCATTATACAAAATGTTTTCATATTTGGGGGATTTAGATAGATTGTTTTGTTGTTTTTTTTGTTTTGTTTTGTTTCATTTGAGATGGAGTCTTGCATTGTTGCCCAGGCTGGACTCCAACTGGGTTCAAGAGATCCTCCCACCTCAGCCTTTCAAGTAGCTGGGACTATAAGCATGTGCTACCATACTCAGCTGTTTTCAGTTTTCGAATATTGAACATGATGCTGTCATGAACATCGTTGGGCATCATAATACTTTATTTAGAGGTGAGTGGGCAGAGTTTGACAGGCAGATCAGAAAATGGGGTAGGAGGCTGGGCGCGGTGGCTCACGCCTGTAATCCCAGCACTTTGGGAGGCTGAGGTGGGCAGATCACGAGGTCAAGAGATTGAGGCCATCCTGGCCAACATTGTGCAACCCCATCTCTACTAAAAATACAAAAATTAGCTGGGTGTGGTGGCACACACCTGTAGTCCCAGCTACTCAGGAGGGTAAGGCAGGAGAATTGCTTGAACCCAGGAGGTGGAGGTTGCAGTGAGCCGAGATTGCATCATTGCATTCCAGCCTGGCGACAGAGTGTGACTCCACCTCAAAAAATAAAAAAAAAAAAGAAAGAAAATGGGGTAGGGTTCATTTTTTTAAATTTATATATAATATGTAAATTATTAAATATATAAAATATATATATTTTTAAATTTATATATATATAAAGTTATATATATATAGTTTTTTTTAAGAAGTCAGGTGGTCTTGCTCTGTCACTCAGGCCAGAGCACAGTGGCATGATCATAGCTCACTGCAACCTCAGACCCCTGGACTCAAGCGATCCTCCTGCCTCAGCCTTCCTGGTAGCTAGGACTACAGGCGCATACCACCATGCCCAGCTAATTTTTAAATTTTTTGTAGAGACAGGATCTTGAACTCCTGGGCTCAAGCAATCCTTTCACCTCAGCCTCGCAAAGTGCTGGGATTACAGGCATGAGACACCATGCTCAGCCAGGGTTGTTGTTGTTGTTTTTTTTTCAGCAGAGGGACTAGGTTGTGTACAGGCAAGAAACAACATGGTGTGCTGAGAGAGCAAGAGATTTAGGGTAGGGGTTAGGCAAGAGAGAGATGAGGCTGGAGAAGTAGATAAGTGCCACCAGATCACCAAGAGTATTCTAGCATTCTGTGTCTTCAGCTTTCTCAAGTGAGGAACATTGAAGGATTTTTAAGCTGAGAAACATAGCTATTGTAAGGCTTTTTTAAGTTGGTGAGTGAAGTGATCACATTTTTGTTTTAGAATGATTACTCTAGGATATCTTTGTCAGGAACCAAACTCGGGAAACCAGTTAACGTGGGAGAACCTAAAGTGATTAAAAGGAAGGGACAGATTTAAGCAACAATCAGGGGCACGGTGGCTCACGCCTGTAATCCCAGCACTTTGGGAGGCTGTGGTGGGTGGAACACTTGAGGTCAGGAATTTGAGACCAGCTTGGCCAACATGGTGAAACCCCATCTCTACTAAAAATACAAAATTAGGCTAGGCATGGTGGTTTACACCTGTAATCCCAGCACTTTGGGAGGCCAAGGTGGATGGATCACAAGGTCAGGAGTTGGAGACCAACCTGGCCAAAGAGACCAACCTAGCCAACATGGTGAAACCCCGTCTCTACTAAAAATACAAAAATTAGCCGGGTGTGGTGGCAGGCGCCTGTAATCCCAGCTACTCAGGAGGCTGAGGCAGGAGAATTGCTTGAATCCGGGAGTTGGAGGTTGCAGTGAGCCGAGATCACATCATTGCACTCCAGCCTGGGCGAGAGAGTGAGACTCTGACTCAAAAAAAAAAAAAAAAATTACAAAAATTAACCAGGCGTGGTGACAGGTGCCTGTAATCCCAGCTGCTTGAGGGGCTGAGGCAGGAGAATAGCTTGAACCCAGAAGGCGGAGGTTGCGGTGATCCGAGATTGTGCCATTGCACTCCAGCCTGCGTGACAGCGAGACTCTGTCTCAAAAAAAAAAAAAAAAAAAAAAAAAAGAAATAATTAGGAGCTCACCTGGAAGGACTTGGTGATTACTTGCATGTAGGAAATAAAAGAGAAGGAGGAGTCTAGAATGACTGCCAGGTTTTTGGTTTAGGCAGCTGGGGAAAATCATTTAGAGGTGGAAATGGTTAATAGTGGCAGATTAGAATTTTCATGACTCGTAAATCAGGTGGGTTTTAGAGTGGAGGAATTTTAGAAAGGAAAGCCATGTGTTGGGTATATTTGAACAAGTGATTTGACATTTCTTACCCACCCATGCTTTTGTGTGATTCCTAATGTGTGGAAAGGAAAACCTTATTAGGATAGATTACTTTGTGGACTACTTATTAGAACACTACATCTTAGAGAAGGAACAACTACCATTCTAAGTCAAGAGCTTTTTCTGACTCTAGCCTGATTTTCCTAAATTGTACCCTGAGAATTAGAGGATGTATTAGTTGATTAGTCATGTTGTTTGTGGGTTATAGCCTGGCTTTGCAAAGGACAGTAAGGAATTCCTAACCAATTAATCATGTGGGAGGATTATACGCAATAAAAGAAATGAAACCTGCCATCCTTTTATTTAAGTTGAATAAAATCACTGATAAATCAGTGCATGTTATTATATTAGCCAGTCTGAGATATCATTAATAAGGTCTTAGCAAAGTTGAAATTAGACCTTATGGAATTTAGTTCTGCTGTTCTAATACAAGGCATAGTTTTCTAAATGGGTATAAAGGTGATGAAATGCTTTGCAGCTTGGGGTGTGTAGAGTCATAGGTTGATGAGCTTTGAGGCAGAGGTGGGTAAAAGGGTACAGGAGCCATCAGAACTGCATTTTATGTCTCCATTTGTATTTCCAGGGAGAGAAGTGAGCTGTAACATTCATTAAATTTTCAAAGGGGTCCATAACTTAAAAATGGTTAAGAATTACAGATACAGAGTAAAAGCACTGCTACATGGCACCCAACAACATGGCACCCAATGCAAAGTTTTAAGATTTTAAAACATAGACATCTCTTAAAATTTCTCTTTTTCCCTCTTCAGAGCTGAGAGAATTCCTGCTGAACTTTGATAACGTTTTGAATAAATGAAACCTGATTGCTGTTGTATCTAGCTTTTTCTAAATTCAAATCTAGCAAATTCAAATTGCTTTTCATCAAATAATTTTTTGGCATTCATTTCATTGGTTTGCATATATTTAAGTCACATAATTACAATAATACTGACATTAAAAAGGTTTAGAACTGAGTGCAGTGGCTCATACCTGTAATCCCAGCACTTTGGGAGGCTGAGGTGGGTGGATTGCTTGAACTCGGTAGTTCGAGACCAGCCTGGGCAACATAAGAAGATCCCATCTCTATGAAAAATTAAAAAAAAAAAAAAAGAGGTTTGGAGACAAACCTTTACCATCTCTAGGTAAGCTTGCAATTCATCTGTTGGACAGAAATTTATGGTCTTATTGGTCACGGCTGTTGAATGTGCTGTGGATATTTTTTATAGGGAAGATAAAACACAGAGATTAATCTGGAAAGTCAGGTAAGTGAACGTCTTCGATGGGGTAATTTATAAATAATAGAAATTTTAATACTTCTCACAATTATAGAGGCTAGAAAGTCCAAGATAAAGGCACTAGCTGATTCATTGTCTGGTAAAGGCTCGTTCTCTGCTTCATGAATGGTGCCTCTTTCTGTGTCCTCACATGGCAGAAGGGGCAAACACACACCCTTCAATCAATGTCTCTCTCTCTCTCTCCCTCTTTTAAGAGATGGGGTCTCATTGTACTGCCCATTCTGGACTTGAACTCCTGGGCTCAAGCTATCCTCCTGCCTCAGCCTTCTGTGTAGCTGGGACTACAAGCCTCTCTTTCTTATAAAAGCTCTAACCCCATTAATGAGGGCAGAGCCTCCATGACTTAATTACTTCCTCGAAGGCCCCACCTCTTAATACTATCACAATGGGGAGTAAATTTCAACATGTGCATTTTGGGGGTATACCACATTCAGACCACAGCAGCAAAGCTTCAGCTGTAGTAGATGCTTATTATATATTTGAATAAATAAATGAATTTGAGAGTTTTTATTTTTTTGAGATGGAGTCTTGCTCTGTTGTCCAGGCTGGAGTGCACTGGCGTGATCTCGTCTCACTGCAGGCTTTGCCTCTCGGGCTCAAGAGATTCTCCTGTCTCAGCCTCCCGAGTAGCTGGGATTACAGGCACCTGCCACCATGCCCAGCTATTTTTTGTATTTTTAGTACAGATGGGGTTTCATCATATTGTCCAGGGTGGTCTCGAACTCCTGACCTCAAGTGATCCACCTGCCATGGCCTCCCAAAATGCTGGGATTACAGGCACAAGTCACCACACCTGGCCTGAAAGTTTTGATTCAAGAGTGAGATGTTGTTACATTTCTGGTACAGGAGTTATAACTCAGAAATATTAACTTGACAGGTATTGCTGTTTGTTCAAATGACCTCCTCTCTTTAGGGGAACATTTCTACTCTGCATTCACTTATTTGGTGGTGTTATGACCTAAGGTCTGTTCCTACTATTGTAACCTAATGAAAGGAGTGGAAAATAGAGCTGGGGAAAGTAGTAGGAGTTGGTGATTTCTGGAGCAGAGGGGCATCTGTGAGAGGCCTAGTTCCTGGGTCTCACTGGTAGACTTTCAACTCAGAGAAGCATGCTAGACTTGTAGATTATGTACGGTTTTCTGTGTCTTTGTTTAGCTTTGTAACCAATTATCTACTACTTACAGGCTAGAATGGAAACCTAACCATCATCTGTTACTTTGTTTCTATTGGTAAACAGCCAGTTTAACAAAAGAGCATTTCGGAATGCAATTTGTTTAAGATGTTTAACATCAAGGCCTGGTAAGAACAATTGACTAGACTTTTGCCAGCTCTAAACTCTTTTTCAGCATGATGGTCTATGTATATGTAAATGAAAACAAAAGGATCCTGTCTTGTTTACTTGTTTTGGAAGGAGGTTTTTTTTTTTTTTTAACATGGCAGTTTAAGGTGTAGGTTTACCAGGTACTTCATTGCCATAGTGCTCATTTAAAAGGAAAAAAGTTATCTGGGTGGGATGGGGGTGGGGTGGGGAAGGCTTTACTATTAATGCCATCTATGGAATGGCATTATCAAAATAGTTGAATCTAGTTAAAAATCGTTGGCTCTTATGCTGCAGAAACACAATCTAAGTAATTTCAATGATTTTACAATGCTGATGAAACATTATTTTGAATATTTGCCAAATTAAACTTTGTGTTAATTTTAGACAGAACAAAGACAGATTAATTGTGCTAATACTTCAGGTGGTTACAAACTAAGACTTTTAGTGAATGGAAAGTTTTAAATTTTACTTTCATACGCATTACAAATTTAACATTTTAGAAGATTTGGGGCTGGGTGGGAGATTGATTTTTTTTTTTGAGACGGAATCTTTATTGCCTAGTCTGGAGTGCAGTGGCCCAATCTCCGCTCACCGCAACCTCCACCTCCTGGGTTCAAACATTTCTGGCTCAGCCTCCGGAGTAGCTGGGACGACAGGCATGCGCCACCACACTTGGCTAATTTTTGTATTTTTAGCAGAGATGGGGTTTTGCCACATTGGCCAGGCTGGTATCGAACTCCTGACCTCAGGTGATCTGCCCACTTCAGCCTCCCAAAGTGTTGGGATTACAGGCGTGAGCCACCATGCCCGGCCTGGAGATTGACTTTTATCATATTTTGATCTAGAATTTCTCAACATTTCAAAGATATGAGCTCATCAGAAGGTAATAAAATTATTTAGTTAACATTTTAGAGCTTACTGCCTGTTTTCTGCTTATTTGCCAGTGTAGATGATTCATTTTACCTATTAACTCTGGTGTGATCTAGAATATGAAATGTTATTCCAGAGTAGCTATTTTAAGGTAGGTGAATCATGCAGGTATAACACAAGGTTTTCATTTTAAAATGTAACGGGATATCTGATATTCTGCGTTAGGCTGAGATTCGTTATATGTGAAAAGTAGAAAACAGCTTTTAGGAAATTATAGCTTAAGGTCAAAAATTCAAGGCCTGTGGTTAGGATTAAAGGCAGAAAAATCTCTTGATAGTGAATTTATTCCTTCACATTGTGAGGTATAATGGAAGGTTGAAGCATACAAGGGGGTTGAGGTGACATATTCTGTTAGTGGGACATAAATAATAGAGAATGTATTGAATACTGAGACATCAAAGGACACTGAAAGACAGTGAAGATTTCAGCAAAGAGGACAAAGCTGGGTAAAAGGATGCTTCAGCTTTTGTTACAATAATTAAATATTTAAAAGGGCAGCCATTTTATACAGTCCAAGAAGTTAAGCAATTGCCCATTTTATATTCCAGTTTTATTCAAGCAAGCCATAGGCAAGCAAGCTGATATTAGGAATTTATATTAAGAATTTTCTTCTAGGGGTGTCATAAGCAAGTTCAAAACCGAATCTTTTAATCTCTTGGGGCATGATCATAATATTCATGATGCCCCGAAGACACTTCGTTTGTTCTAAACCATCAAAGAAAGTGTGTTCAACATAATTTGCATTGCACATATTATTAATAATCTGGACTGATGGCTTTTTACAGTAGTCAGTATTATAAAAAGATATATAGAAAAGTTATGCACTATAGGTCTATGTTCACCTGAGCCTTAGGAAGTCGAGGCTGCAGCGAGCTGTGATCATACCACTGCGCTCCAGCCTGGGTGGCAGATTTGAGACCCTGTCTGAAAAGAGAAAAAAAAAAAGAAAAGGTGGGGAAGTGGAACTGCTGTGAGGTCAGGACCTGGAGTGAATGAGAGCATCTCTTCATGCTATAGAGCACCCTATGACAATCTCTATTGTTCTTACTCTATAGGTTTCACAAAAGGTCTTTGTTTGACAGTTTATGTTGGCCTACTGTGGGTAGTTCACTTGTGGGTAGGCTGGAGAACAGGATCTATGCTTGTAATGGTTTTCATTAAAACACAGACCCATGTCTCAATTTTTTATATACCTAGGCATACACATATGCACATATATCCATGCATCCTGTAAGATTGAGTAGGAGACATTTTCAATTGGCCATGTAATGGCAAAGTCGTATCAGTGATCTAAAAGTCAAAATTTCTCTTTGATTTTGTTTTTGGTGTTTGTTTGTCTGTTTGTTTGTTTTGAGATGGAATCTTGCTCTGTAGCACAGGCTGGAGTGCAGTGGCGCGATCTCAGCTCACTGCGACCTCCACCTCCCAGGTTCAGGCGATTCTCCTGCCTTAGCTTCCCAAGTAGCTGGGATTACAGGTGTGTGCCGCCACTCTGGGCTAATTTTTGTATTTTTAGTAGAGACGAGGTTTCACCATGTTGGTCAGGCTGGTCTCAAACTCCTGACCTCGTGATCTGCCCACCTCGGCCTCCCAAAGTGCTGGGATTACAGGTGTGAGCCACTGTGCCCGGCCTTGTTGTTGTTTTTTGAGATAGGGTCTCACTCTTTTACCCAGGCTGCAGCGTACTGATGTGTAATCACAGCTCAGTGAAGCCTTGCCTTCTTGGGATCAGGCGATCCTCCCATCTCAGCCTCCTGTGTAGCTAGGACTACAGGTGTGGACCATCATGCCCAGATAATTTTTTGTAGAAACGGGGTTTTGCCATGTTGGCCAGGCTGGTCTTGAACTCCTGGGCTCAAGCTGTTTTACTGCCTCAGTTTCACAAAGTCCTGGAATTACAGGCCTGACCTCTTTGATTTTGAAATACTGTTTTGTCAGTGGTCATTTATAATCATTTGTTGTTAAAATGAATTTATTTTTTTTTTATTATTTTTTTGAGGCGCAGTTTTGCGCTTGTTGCCCAGGCTGGAGTGCAATGGCACGATCTTGGCTCACCGCAACCTGTGCCTCCCAGGTTCAAGTGATTCTCCTGCCTCAGCCTCCTGAGTAGCTGGGATTACAGGCATGTGCCACCACGCCCAGCTAATTTTTGTATTTTTAGTAGAGACGGGGTTCCTCCATGTTGGTCATGCTGGTCTCGAACTCCTGACCTCAGGTGATCCACCCACCTTGGCCTCCCAAAGTGTTGGGATTACAGGCATGAGCCACCACGCCCAGCTTGTTAATATGAATTTAATTTGATTTCTTGAGTATTCATTGATGGTAGAGACTTGAAAAGCATGCTGGGAGTCAAAGTTGCAGAATTTATTGTGAATCATCATATTGATAAATCAATTAAATATGTTAAATTTAGATGCCACCATAGTGGTTTATATCATTAGTGCATGGCTCTCAAGTTGGGAATTTTATTCTGTGCATATATATATGTGTGTGTGTGTGTGTGTGTGTGTATATATATATATAATTTTTTTTTTTTTTTTTTTTTTTTTTTTGAGGCAGAGTCTCGCTGTGTCGCCAGGCTGGAGTGCAGTGGCATGATCTTGGCTGACCGTAACCTCCGCCTCCCAGGTTCAAGTGATTCTCTTGCCTCAGCCTCCCGAATAGCTCGGACTACAGGCGCATACCACTATGCCCAGCCAATTTTTTTTTTTTTTTTTTTAGTCTTAGCATTTACTTTCTCCACCCTACATTCTTGGAACAGCCTTTAGTTCTACAGGAAATGGCACTGATGGACAGAAGACTAGCATTACCTTCATGAAAGGGCTGTTAGAGCTGCCTGGTAAGAAGGCGTGCCTTGGGGAACTGGGAAGATGCCGTCAGTGTGGGTGGGCAGGAGGACAGCCAGTCGTCCTGCCGTCAGCCCAGTAGCTTCCAGCGGCAGGTGCCCAGGTGCTACCGGAGCTCCTCATAGGGGTAGGGGCAGGGACTGCACCTCCTCCAGGCACTCGTCGTAAGCCTCCTGGTACTCCTCGTGGGGCTTGACCATTATCACACAGGTGGGGCGCTTGGAGCCTGTGGCTGCACCCAGGTCCGTCTTAGAGGGGATATAGACATAGGGCAGATTTCGGTCCTCACACCTAACTGGGAGATGGCAGTATACCTCAATGGGCAGTGTGTCTCCTGCCAAAACCATGATCCCTTTTTCTCCTTTGTTGACAAATTTCTGAACCTCTTTCACCCCGCGCCGAATCTGCTTCTGCTTCACCGCTTTCTTAATGCATTTGTAGAGCTTCCGCTTGAGGCGGCGAGAAGCCAGGAGCTGCGCGATGGGGTTCTGGTTGACCAGCAGCTCCTGGTAGGTGCGCTCCCCGGAACACACCTCCGCCTGAGCCTCGGGCCCTTCGGGATCTGCCTTTATTTTGGTCATCGCAGCGGCCGCTGAAACCTAGTCCCAGGGAGGCTGCCCAGCCAAATTTTATGTTTTTAGTAGAGATGGGGTTTCACCATGTTGGCCAGTATGATCTTGATCTCTTGACCTTGTGATCCGTGCTCCTCGGCCTCCCAAAGTGCTGGGATTACAGGCGTGAGCCACTGCACCCAGCCATCAAAATATATATATATTTAAATGATTTTAATTCTGATGTTCTAGTTCAGGTTTCATAGGATTTAGAGAGTATCTGATATCTTCGCTTATTAAAAAAAAAAAAAATGAGCTGGGCGCGGTGGCTCAGGCCTGTAATCCCAACACTTTGGGAGGCCGAGGCAGGTGGATCATGAGGTCAGGAGATGGAGACCATCCTGGCCAACATGGTGAAACCCTGTCTCTGCTAAAAATACAAAAATTAGCTGCATGTGGTGGCACGCACCTGTAGTTCCAGCCTACTCGGGAGGCTGAGGCAAGAGAATCGCTTGAACCTGGGAGGTGGAAGTTGCAGTGAGCCGAGATCGTGCCACTGCACTCCAGCCTGGTGACAGAGTGAGACTTGTTCTCAAAAAAAAGAAAAAAAAAAAAAAAAAAAGCCAGGCGCCATGGCTCATGCCTGTAATTCCAGCACTTTGGGAGACCGAGGCAGACAGATCATGAGGTCAGGAGTTTGAGACCAGCCTGGCCAACACAGTGAAACCCCATCTCTACTAAAAATACAGATAATTAGCTGGGCGTAGTGGTGGGCGCCTGTAATCCCAGCTACTCAGGAGGCAGAGGCAGGAAAATCGCTTGAACCCGGGAGGTGGAGGTTGCAGTGAGTCAAGATCACACCACTGCACTGCAGCCTGGTGACAGAGTGAGACTCCGTCTAAAAAAAAAAAGCCAGGTGCAGTGACTCATGCCTGTAATCCCAGCACTTTGGGAGGCTGTGGTGGGCGGATCAGGAGATCAGGAGTTCAAGACCAGCCTGGCCAACATGGTGAAACCCCATCTCTACTAAAAATGCGAAAAATTAGCTGGGTGTAGTGGTGGGCGCCTGTAATCCCAGCTACTTAGGAGGCAGAGGCAGGAGAATCGATTGAACCCAGGAGGTTGAAGTTGCAGTGAGCTGAGATTGCACTACTGCACTCTAGCCCGGGCAACAGAGTGAGACTCCGTCTCAAAAAAAAAAAAAAAAAAATCTTGGCTTGGCACTGTGGCTCACGTCTGTGATGCCAGCACTTTGGGTGGCCAAGGTGGGTGGATCACTTGAGGTCAGGAGTTTGAGACTAGCCTGGCCAACATGGCAAAACCCCGCCTCCACTAAAAATACAAAAATTAGCCAGATATGGTGGCATATGCCTGTAATTCCAGCTACTTGGGAGGCTGAGGCATGCGAATCACTTGAACCCAGGAAGCAGAGGCTGCAGTGAGCCAAGATTGCACCACTGCACTCCAGCTGGGTGACAGAGTGAGACTCTGTCTCAAAAAAAAGAAATAACAAAAAACTTTTACTGATGTTAGGAATGCTGGGAAAGTTGAAAAAAAAATTGTTAAAATAAATTTGAGCCAGGCATAGTGGCTCATGCATGTAATCCCAGCACTTTGAGAGGCCGAGGTGGGCGGATCACGTGAGGTCAGGAGTTTGAGACCAGCCTGGCCAATATGGTGAAACCTCATCTCTAGTAAAAATACAAAAAAAATTAGCCAGATGTCGTGGTGCATGCCTGTAATCCCAGCTACTTGGGGGACTGAGGCAGGAGAATCGCTTGAACCTGGGAGGCGGAGGTTACAGTGAGTTGAGATCACGCCACTGCACTCCAGCCTGCGGGACAGAGTGAGACTTCATCTTAAAAAAAAAAAATTGAGTGGTATCTTAGTTCATTTGTGTTGCTGTAACAAAAATACCACAGTTTGGGTAATTACAAAGAACAGAAATTTATTTCCTCACAGTTCTGGAGGCTGGGAAGTCCAAGATCAAAGTTGCCAGTGGGTTTGATGTCTGGTGAGGGCTCCTCTCTGCTTCCAAGATAGTGCCTTGTTGGTGCATTCTCCAAAGAGCATGCTGAGTCTTCACATGACAGAGGGATGGAAAGTCAAAAAGGGTCTAAGCTGGTTCCCTCTAACCCTTTTATAAGGCACTAATCCATGCATGAGGGTGGAGCCCTCATGACTTAATCACTTCCCAAAAGGCCCCCCACCTCTTAATATCACCACAATGGAGATTAAGTTCAAGTCATGAATTTTGGGGGACATTCAGTCCATAGCAGGTGGGATGGGTGACTATTTGGTGGAAAATGAAAATGGTTGTGTGTTACTTGAGATTAATATGTGTGCAATGGTAAAAAGTTGAAAGTTGAGTCATATGTATGGTTTTCTGTTTGGTGATTTTGGGGATAAATTTGGCTTTTTAGAAGTATGGCTTATATTTCTGTAATTCTGGAGTTTAAATGTGACCATGAATTGCAGTCAAAATGGCAGGGTATAATTCACTTTGTGCTGGGGAGATTTGGTGGACTTCAACTAATTTGCCATATTATAATTAGCTCTAGACTAGGAGATTTACCCTAGTTGTTGGGCTTTAACATAGTGTTCTACTGAGTCCTGAGACTGTTGGAAAAAGTAGTGGAGATGGCCATGTTTGTTTTGTGTTTCATTTAAAATCTGCTTTAAAGACCCAGTCAGGAGTTAAGTGTCAAATCATAAAAATAGTAAGGTTCTACAAAGTCTAAAAATTTAGGACATGTTTATAGCCTGTTCTTAAGATTCCAGCTTCAATGAAATTGATATATTATGCCTGTTGTTTCTACATTAATCTTATGTTCTCCTACTCTACCATTCCAGGAACCGAAATAAGGTAGATTGCTACAAGTATGGATTTTAATTTTGGTAATTTAAATCATTAGACAGAACAACTTATTTATAAATTACCCTTTTCAAACCGATCATCATTGTTTCTGTTTGTTAAACTTAATGAATCTCCAACACAACTTATTTCACTTTACAATTCTTATTCATTGACTTTTGTTAAAGCCCCATGTAAACACCACTAGGGAAATCTGTTAATTATATGAAACTGAGTTTCCTAAACTTGCTGAGCAAGCACTACCTTGACAGAGCCTCAGGAGTATCTTAGAAGAAGGAGTGTCTTAGGATGGGAGAAGTTAGGGTACTTAATAAGGTTTTGGGGCCTGGGGTTACTCATAATGTGGTTTTAGGGCAGAAGTAAACAAGATTTGGGTGGGGATTGGTAAAATGTATAAACTGGCCTAGTTGCTGAAACTTCGGAATGCAGGAATTTAAGCAGAGTTACCATGAACTCTGTCTATAGCAGTGCTGTCCAAAGAAATAGACTGCAAGCTACATAGATCATTTTAAATTTTCTAGTGGCACATTTGAAAAGTAAAAAGAAACACTTGAAATTTTTTAAATTTTATTTATTTTTTGTAGAGATGGGGTCTTGCTATGTTGCCCAGGCTGGTCTGGAACTTCTGGCTTTAAGTGATCATCTCACCTTGGCCTCCCAAAGTGCTGGGATTATAGGTGTGAGCCACCATGCTTGGCTGAAATTAATTTTACTAATATATTTTATTTAACCTCTATATGTGAAATGTTATTTCAACACATGATCAATACAAAAATTATTAATGAGATGTTTTACTTTTTTTTGTACTAAGTCTTTGAAATCCGGTGGGTACTTTACAAATACAGCACATCTCAGTTTATTCTAGCGACATTTCAAGTGCTCAATAGCCACATGTGGTTAGTGGCTACTATATTGGACAATGAGGATATATTGTTTTAGGCTGGGCAAAGTGGCTCACACCTGTAATCCCAGCACTTTGGGAGACCGAGGTGAGTGGATCACCTGAGGTCAGGAGTTTGAGACCAGCCTGGCCAACATGGTGAAACCCCATCTCTATTAAAAACACAAAAATTAGCTGGGCAGTGGTGAGTGCCTGTAATCCCAGCTACTTGGGAGGCTGAGGCAGGAGAATTGGTTGAACCTGGGAAGTGGAGGTTGCAGTGAGCTGAAGTTGCACCACTGTACAACTGTCTTGTTGTACACTGTCTTGTTGTACCACTGTCTTGTTGCCTGGGCAACAAGAGTGAAACTCCATCTCAAAAAAAAAAAAAAAAAAGAATTTATTGTCTTAAAACATATATGTTGGAGCTGGGCACGGTGGCTCCTGCCTATAATCCTGGCACTTTGGGAGGCCAAGGTGAGCACATCACTTGAGGTCAGGAGTTCAAAACCAGCCTGGCCAACATAGTGAAACCCCGTCTCTACTAAAAGTACAAAAAATAAAAATAAAAAATTAACCAGGAGTGGTGGCGGGTGCCTGTAATCCCAGCTTCTTGGAAGGCTGAGGCAGGAGAATTGCTTGAACCCTGGAGGTGGAGGTTGCAGTGAGTCGAGATGGCACCACTGCACTCCAGCCTGGGCAACAAAGTGAAACTCCGTCTCAAAAAAAGAAAAAGATATATGATCTTAGAACATATATGTTTGAGCTGGGCGCAGTGGCTCATGCCCATAATTCTAGCACTTTGGGAGGCTGAGGTGGGCGGATCACTTGAGGTCAGGAGTTCAAAACCAGCCTAGCCAACATAGTGAAACCCGGTCTCTACTAAAAATACACACAAAAAAATTAACCTGGTGTGGTGGCGGGCTCCTGTAATCCCAGCTACTTGGGAGGCTGAGGCAGGAGAATTGCTTGAACCTGAGAGGCAGAGGTTGCAGTGAGCCAAGATCGCGCCACTGCACGCCAGCCTGGGCAACAGAGCGAGACTCTGTCTCAAAAAAAAAAAAAAAAAATTATGATATATGTTTGAATGAGCTGTTGTTTAAAACAATTTGAGCTTAGATAGTTTGTGTTCCGTGTCATGATTTGGCACAGTTTATCTGTTCTGAGTCATAGTTTCTGTTTCTATGTGGTTTCTGTTTCATTTCTCACTTTCATGCATAAATCTGTGATCTTCCATTAGCATGCCATTATTAATACACATATACAGAGATATAATCTATAATTTACAAAGACAATGTAAGAGTTTTCTTGGATACTTGATAAATTATCTACCAGACTAAGCCTTCACTTCCAGTAGGTATTGTTTCATCAAATTTTCTAAACAAAAATTGTCTAAAAGTGGCTGAATGCTTATATTGTTCCACCAGTTTTTATTTTATGTGGTGCTTTCTTTATAGCTGACAAAAGCATTTTACATATATTCTCACTTATAAGATATTTCATGGTATTTTCTTTGAGCTTTCATGTTTATAGCTTTTATTTATTGATTTATTTTTTGAGATGGAGTCTCACTCTGTTGCCCAGGCTGGAGTGCAGTGATGTGATCTCAGCTCACTGCAACCTCTGCCTGTATTTATATATGTACCAGGCTCAAGCGATTCTCCTGCCTCAGCCTCCTGAGTAGTGGGATTACAGGCATGTGCCACCACGCCTGGCTAATTTTTGTATTTTTATACAGACTGGGTTTCATCATCTTGGCCAGGCTGGTCTCGAACTCCTGACCTCAAGTAATCCGCCCGCCTTGGCCTCCCAAAGTGCTGGGATTACAGGCATGAGCCACCACGCCTGGCCATATTTATAGCTTTAAATGAAATTGTTTTTATTTAGTATAGATGTTATCAACACAATTATAACATTATTCAAATGAAGAGTAGTTGTTAAAGTCATCATATATCCATTGGAATTGAATTATACCCTCAGTTTTTCCAAGAGACTACAGATTGTTCAATAGTTTATGTATTACCCCTTAAAGTGTGTATGTGTGCGTGTATGTTTATATTTTTCTTCCTTTCTTTTGGTTTCCAGCAACTTTCCTATCCTGCATTATTTCAAAATAATTGCTATTAATTTTTTATACACATTCAGTTCCACTTAGTTGAATGGAATATATTTGCCACTTTCCTTTTTCACAGTTTCATAGTTTGCTGCCTGTAAATCATGCCTGATTTTACTTTGGTTCATTATTACTCCTTCATGAAGACAGAATTGAGGTCCCTTCTGCTTCCATACCATAGTTGATGACCACCTTCATTTGTATCTTTATAGCATCCAGGTGAGGTAGGCATTATTGTTATCCACATTTCTCAAATGAGGAAACTCATACACAGGGAGATTAAATAACTTATTCAATTCTATTGAAATTTGAGTGCTTACAGTGTGCTGTGATTTAAATCTTTTTATTTTTATCTAACTGCAGAGCGGCAGAGCATTATAATTCTGGCTACTACAGGTCATCCCAATGAAAGACTGATTATTTTGGGTATATAATTATATAAATAGTGAGTTCTGTCTGCTTTTTCCTTTTCATTTCTTCTTGGCTTCTCTCTCCTTTTTCCTTCCTGAAATTGTTCCTTGAAATTCCACTTTTTTTTTTTTTTTTTTTTTTGAGACAGAGCCTAGCTCTGTCGCCCAGGCTGGAATGCAGTGGCAAGATCTCAGCTTGGCTCACTGCAGCCTCCGCCTCTCGGGTACAAGTGATTCTCCTGCCTCAGCCTCCTGAGTAGCTGGGATTACAGGCGCCTGCTACCACGCCCAGCTAATTTTTGTATTTTTAGTTGAGATGGGGTTTCACTGTGTTGGCCAGGCTGGTTTTGAACTCCTCATATTGTGATCTGCCTGTCTGCCTCCCAAAGTGCTGGGATTACAAGCGTGAGCTGCTGAAATTCCACTTTTGAGTCCTTGCATTTGGAATATTGTATATACCTGATAGTCTCATTGAAGGAAGATAATCATACTACCAGTCTTCTTGCTTATTGTTTCGGCCTCTAAAAAGTCTTTTTTGTTTGTTTTTTTGTTTTTTGACACAGAGTTTCTGTCTCTTGTTGCCCAGGCTGGAGTGCAATGGCACGATCTTGGCTCACTGCAACCTCTCCCTCCTGGGTTCAAGCGATTCTCATGCCTCAGCCTCCCAAGTAGGTGGGATTACAGGCATGTGCCACCACGCCCAGCTAATTTTTGTATTTTTGGTAGAAATGGAGTTTCACCATGTTGGCCAGGCTGGTCTCAAATTCCTGACCTCAGGTGATCTGCCTGCATCGGCCTCCCAGAATGCTGGGATTATAGGCGTGAGCCATTGTGCCTGGCCTAATATGCAGTAAATTAAGACGGTTCAGTCAGAATTTCCAAAATGTCTACATCACAGAATTTTTTTTTAAATAACAGCTTTATTACTGTCAAACGTTAGTGCTAACAAAATTTTTCCAAGTATGCTCAGGGCTGTTTCACTCTTTCTTCACTTGTTCAACATGTTTACTGGGAACTTTAATATGCCAAGAATTAAAGATAAAAAGATTAAGTGAGGCATAGTCTCTGACTACAAGAAGCTAGTGATCTACTTAATAGATGATGATTATATAATGAGGTAAATGCAATGACAGAGCCATATGCTAGGAATTATGGGAGGACAAACAAAGGAGGAGTCAAAAAAAGCTCTCAGGCTGGCAGTGGCTCCTGCCCTGTAATCTCAGCACTTTAGAAGGCTGAGGCTGGTGAATCATTTGGGGTCAGGAGTTCGAGACCAGCCTGGCCAACGTGGTGAAACCCCGTCTCTACTGAAAATACAAAAAATTAGCCAGGCATGATGGTGTGCACCTGTGGTCTCAGCTACTTGGGAGGCTGAGGCATGAGAATGGCTTGAACCTGGGAGGTGAAGGTTACAGTGAGCTCAGATCCCCCAACTGCACTCCAGCCTGGGCAACAGAGTGAGACTCTGCCTTAAAAAAAAAAAAGAAAGAAAAAAAAAAAGGGCTTTCAGAAAAGGGAGGCCAGACACATTGCCCAACTTCCTTAAAATTTGGAAAGACCCAAGAAGAGATTCCTCAAAGGACACACAGGCTATAGGGCTGCAAATAGCTAAGATTTATTTGTAAATAGCAAGTTTCTTCTACATAAATACTTATCAGATTCTTGAAAACTATTAACATTAAGGATGTAGCTTGGTAAACCCTTTCTCCAGGACAGCATCTGGTTAATTTGTGTATGAATATGCAGAAGTTCAAAATGGCATTCTACCACAAAGGAGTCTGACTTTAAAGACTTGTAAAATGTGTAGCCTTGAATCTTTACCCTGGTATTCAACTTGGGGGATTTGTAGGGAAATATTACCATTATCTGTTGAGCTAGACAAGCAAATATTCACTTTCTAGCATACTCAGGCTACAAAATAATCTAATTTCTTCCTATTACCATTTATTTATAGAATACTTATACAGCTCATAAAGCATTTTTCCCACATATTTTTGCTCATCAGAACCTCACCAAGGTGTTCTTTTGAGCCTTGCTTAGGATACCCTATCCTACTTCAACATATCCCAGGTCCTTTCTCCTCTTGTTAAGCCAACAACAGGACTATCAAATATTTTTGGAAGTAAATAATAGCAGAACATTAATGACCAATATTGGCTATGTGCCCAGTACTGTTTTAAGCACTTAACATGTTTTTTTGTTGTTGTTTGTTTTGAGACAGAGTCTCGCTCTATCGCTCAGGCTGGAGTGTAGTGGTGTGATCTCGGCTGACTTCAACCTCTGCCTCCTGGGTTCAAGCAATTCTCCTGCCTCAGCCTTGTGAGTAGCTGGGACTACAGGCATGTGCCACCACACCCAGCTAATGTTTGTATTTTTAGTAGAGATGGAGTTTCACCATGTTGGCCAGAGTGGTCTGGATCTCTTGACCTCGTGACCTGCCAGCCTCGGCCTCCCAAAGTGCTGGTATTACAGGCGTGAGCCACTGTGCCTGGCTGCGTGGTGATTAAACATAGATTAACATGTTTTATCTCATTTCTTCCTCGCAAAAGCCTATAAAAGTAAATACGATTATTATCCCATTTACAAATGAGAAAACTGAGGCACAAAGATATCACATACAAAGTGTCTGAGTCAAAATTAAAGTGCAGGCAATTCAGAGCCTTAAAACCATTCTGTCTTTCTGTCTCCAGGTTGAGAATTATTCCTAGTTAGCAATTCTCATTTCTCCTATTGTCTTACCATTATCTTATCTTTCTACTCAGCCTAGTATGTGGTGTGTGTATGTACATGAAAGAAAAATGGGCTGGGTATGGTGGTGCATGCCTGTAATTCCAGCACTTTGGGAGGCCGATGGGGGCAGATTGCTTGAGCCCAGGAGATTTAGACCAGCCTGAGCAACATGGCAAAACCCTGTCTCTACAAAAAATACCAAAATTAGCAGGGCATGGTGGCATATGCCTGTGGTCCCAGCTACTCAGGAGGCTGAGGTAGGAGGATCACTTGAGCCTGGAAGGTCCAGACTATTAGCCAAGATCGTGCCACTGTACTCCAGCCTGGGTGACAGAGTGAGACCCTGTCTCAAAACAAAAAAAAAGGAAAAAAGAAGTGTACCTTCTCATATTGTTTCTTATTCATTAAGCTGAATTCCACAATAACAAAGGAAAGCAAAAACATGAATAATTCCAAAGCACTTTTTTAGTCTATAATTTTAAATAACTCTCCCAGACCTATTAAAGGACTCAAAAAATCTGTTTTACTTCAGTTTGTTTCCATATTTTGGGGAAACGGTTTACTTAAGTGAAAAACTTGAATAATTTGCCTAGAAAAGTAATTAAAGTATGACCTTTAAGTATAGCTATCTGAAGGTTATTAAATGGACTCAATATGCAAAAATTAATTATATTCCCCAAGTTTCATAGAAACATTTATTGCCTACAAAATAAGATATGAACATAAATAAATATATAAACATAAATACAAGTTTAAGAATTAAAAAAAGAAAATAGCCAGGTGTGTTGGCATGTGCCTTAAGTCCTAGTATTTGAGAGGATGTGGTAGGAGGATCGCTTGAACCCAGGAGCTGGAGGCTACAGATGTACTCCAGCCTGAGTGACAAAGTGAGACCCTGTCTCAAAACGAAAGGGAAAAAGAGTACATAGAGATTACTTTTTCTGGACCCAACTATCACCAGAATATATTAAGACTTTCTGAGGCCGGGTGTGGTGGCTCATGCCTGTAGTCCCAGCACTTTGGGAGGCTGAGGAGGGTGGATCACCAGAGGTTGGGAGTTCGAGACCAGCCTGACCAACATGCCGAAATCCCGTTTCTGCTAAAAATACAAAAAATTAGCCGGGCGTGGTGGCGCGTGCCTGTAATCCCAGCTACTTGGGAGGCTGAGGCAGGAGAATCTCTTGAACCCGGGAGGTGGAGGTTATGGTGAGCCGAGATTGCGCCATTGCACTCCAGCTTGGACCAGCGAAACTCTGTCTCCAAAAAAAAAAAAAAAAGTATTTACTGGACTTGACTTTATGACATTTAAAGTACCCTAAAGTATCATTATTAGAATGGTACTGGCTTTATTTTAAAGTAAAATTTTTTAACCTTCTAAATACCAAATATTTTAATAAATGTGGATGCTTTCCATTTTAGATGCTTTATTAACATGTTCACCTCTTAAATGGGGTAACATTTAAATGGAAGATTAGGTTAAAGACTTAGGTTCTTTTCTCCCTGGAATGCTTACATAACACATAATTTGTGTGTAGTTGGCCTTCTTCAAGGATACTTGATTTGTATTAACTGAATTTAGGCTGGGCGCAGTGGCTCACACCTGTAATCCTAGCACTTTGGGAGGCTGAGGTGGGAAGATCACTTGAGTCAGGAGTTCGAGACCAGCCTGGCCAATGTGGTGAAATCCTGTCTCTACTAAAAATACAAAAATTAGCTGGGCATCATGGCGCACACCCATAATCCCAGCTACTCAGGAGGCTGAGGCAGGAGAATTGCTTGAACCTGGGAGGCAGAGGTTGCAGTAAGCTAAGATCACGCCACTGCACTCCAGCCTGGGTGACAGAGTGAGACTCCGTCTCAAAAAAAAAAAAAAAAAAAAAAAAGGACTGAATTTAATATTTAGTTTCCTCATCTGTAAAAAAAGATATTGTAATATCTACTTCATAGGACAGTTATAAAAATTAAATGAGGTAATCCAATGAGATACTCATCAGCACAGGGTCTGGCACATATTAATTATCTATTATATGGTAGCTATGACTTAATCAGTTCTACGAGGCTTGTTATGAAAAACAGTATACACATCCATTTTCCTCTCCCCAGAGGCAGATTGGCTGCTTTTGAAAAATAAACCAGCATTACTTTGTCAGGGATAGGTTTAGCATGAAAGCAGTTTGGGCGTAAGCCTGTTCAAATTAAAAAATGATAAAGCTTTAAAAGTGGTTAAGACAGCTGCACCTGTAATCCCAGCACTTTGGGAGGCCAAGGTGGGTGGATCCTGAGGTCAGGAGTTCAAGACCAGCTTGGCCAAGATGGTGAAACCCCATCTCTACTAAAAATACAAAAATTCGCTGGACATCGTGGCAGGTACCTGTAATCCCAGCTACTCGGGAGGCTGAGGCAAAGAATTGCTTGAACCTGGGAGGCACAGGTTGCAGTGAGCCATTATAGTACCACTTTACTCCAGCCTGGGTGACAGATCAAGACTCTGTCTCAAAAAAAAAAAAAAAAAAAAAAGTGGTTAAGATAGTTTTGGCTTTTGAATACAATATTCTATTATGTTTATTTTGGTTATTTAATCCAATTTTATTATTTGTCTCATTTTAATTTAAGTCTCTTTTTATCTGGAATTAGAGTTGTACAATAAACTTGAGATTCAAGGGGTTTTTTGTTTTTGTTTTACCATTTTCCTTCCACTAGAAGAGAGGGGTTTGGAAACTAAGATAATGAGCTTCTATTTCTCTGGTCCCAGACCATGAACTTGGAGTGAATTTCTTTGGTACTTACCAGGTTCCCTGTTTTAAAATATACGAACATGTACATTGGTGACCTTTCCAGTGATGGCCAGGGAGTGACAATGAAGAGCTATAGTCTGTAGCTCTTAATCTGTGTGTACACTGGGCAGGGCATCATCTGTTGGTTTCTGAAAGGAGGAGGAGCCCTAGAAAGCTGCTAGCCCAAATTGACACAGCTGTTGTTTTATTGCTTTTATTGCTATAGGATGATTTGCATAAAAGCTGCTGCTTAGTTCCTAAATTCAAGGATCAAGGGGATAACAGGGGGCCACAGCAGAAGCGTTCACGTCGCAGCCCCTGTCAGATTCTGGTGAATCTGCGAATTCTGCTGTATATCTCCTTACCCAACCACCCAAGTCAAACAGCAATTGAAATGAACAGCTTATAGGTATCTTTTACGGCCCAGTGATGCTTCTAGGGAGATGCTGTAGCATGTCATTCTTAAAATGTGCCCTGGTCATAAATGGGGTCAGCTGGGCCTCTGAAGAACACAGTATATCACTGTAAGACAGGAATCCATGGGATTAAAAAAACAACTCATCAGAAGCAGTGGGAGACAGGAGAAGATGCTGTTTGTGGGTAATATGGTTAATAATTGCTTATAGGTTCCTGGAGAAATATTAAAGACATCTTTAGAAATGTAAAAGGTGCATGTTGTGATGATAGATGGCATTAGTTATTTGACTGGCAGTAGGGTTACCTTGGGAGTTTTACTACTGTCTCGTTTAGGTTTAATTCCTGGGTTCCTTCATTGGCTCCTGAATGGAGCAGCTGAAGTCAAGCCGCAGTCAGTGGAGCAGCTGAAGTCAAGACTTTGCCTTCCTTCAGCTCAAAAAATCGAGGACGTGGTGGCTCATGTCTGCAATCCCAGCACTTTGGGAGGCCAAGCACTTTGGGTGAATCACCTGAGTTCAGGAGTTCAAGACCAGCCTGGCCAACATGGTGAAACCTCGTCTGTACTAAAAATACAAAAATTAGCCAGGCATGGTGGCAGGCTCCTGTAATCCCAGCTACACCTCTAAAAAAAAAATATATATATATATATATATACACACACATATATATACACATATACACACATATATATACACATATACATATATACGTATATATATACATATACATATATACGTATATATATACATATACATATATATACGTATATATATACACATACATATATACATATATACATATATATACATATATATATATATATATCATCTCTTATGTCTTGTACCTAAAGTTAGATGATTTACCGGAAGTGTCATAGTTCTGTTAAAGTCTTAGAAATGCCTTTTAAAAATAACAGCTTAAAGGCTGGGCGCGGTGGCTCACGCCTGTAATGTCAGCCCTTTGGGAGGCCGAAGTGGGTAGATCATGAGGTCCGGAGATCAAGACCATTCTGGCTAACACGGTGAAACCCTGTCTCTACTAAAAATACAAAAAATTAGCCGGGCTTTGTGGCACGTGCCTGTAATCCCAGCTACTGGGGAGGCTGAGGCAGGAGAATTGCTTGAACCTGGGAGGCAGAGGTTGCAGTGAGCCAAGATGGCGCCACTGCACTCCAGCCTGGGCGACAGAGCTAGACTCCATCTCAAAAAAAAAAAAGCTTAAAAATAAAAAATTTAAACAAGATAAGAAAAAATAAAAATAATAGATTTATTGAGATATAATTCACATATCATGAAGTTCACTCTTAAAATATACAATGTAGCGGTTTTTAGTATAATGACTAAATTGTGTGTCAGTCATTATGATCTAATTCTAGAACATTTTTATCACCCCAAAAAGAAAAAAAATCAAACTCACTAGCAGTCAATCTGCATTTTGCCCTGATTTCCCAGCCTTAGGCAATGACCAATCTACTTCCTATTTCTATAGATAATATGTCTGTTCTGGACCTTACATATAAATGAAATATCATATGTAATTTTTTGTGATTGTCTTCTTTCTCTTAGTGTTTTAAGGTTCATCCATGTTGTAGCATGTATCAATACTTCATTTAACTTTTAAAATTTTTATATTTTTAATTTTATAATTTATAATTTTTGTGGGTGCATACTAGATATATTTATTTATAGTACTTCATTTATTTTTACTGCTGAATGTTATTGCATTATATGCATGTGCCAAAATTTGTTTATCCATTTACCAGTTGATAGGCATTTGGGTAGTTTCCAGTTTGGGGAAATTATAAATAACATTGTTTTATAAAGTTGTTATAAACATCAGTGTATATGGATCCATAGGTTTTTGTGTGGACATATGTTTTTATTTATCTTGGGTAAATACTTGGGAGTGGAACTGCTGGTTGTGTGCTTAAGTATATGTTTAACTTTATAAGAAACAGCCAAACTGTTTTTCCAAAGTGGCTGTGCCATTTTGCATTCCTACTAGGAATTTATGAGAATTCTGGTTGTTCTGCATCCTAGTCAGCATTTGGAGTTGTCAGGGTGTGTGTTTGTTTTTTTTATCCATTCTAGTAAATGAGTAGTTCTTTCTTAGTTTAAAGTAAAAGTCTTGCAAGATGAATTCATCAAAAGAACAATTTAAATGTGAGGTAAGCATTTACTGAATGTCTGTTGTATGCCAGGCCCTCTGCTCGATAATGGGAATGCAGAGAAATAAGACACATTTCTGCTCCCATGAGACTTACAGTTTATTGAGAGTGACAGGCATGTAAAGAAGTAATTACAATATACTTAGTTCTAATTACCTAGAATCAGTCTGGGATGGGGAAGGAGAGTTGATACCTGGAAGAAGAAAATAATATTAGGAGCTACATGTACTTCTGCATAAAGTTCTAAGATAGGTTTTGATAGCAAAGGTTAAGCTCCCCCTTTATTGTTATACCTAATAAATCAATGCCCAGTAAACTTCTTGAGATAATATTCTGCTGGCTAACAACCCAATGATTTGGGGTGACATCAACTAATCACTTTCAAAAGTCACATATGCACACTAACCAGGGAAAGGGGCAACTTTAATTTTTGTTGGTTTTTGTTTGTTTGTTTGTTTGTTTGTTTCTGAGACAGTGTCTTGTTCTGTTGCCCAGACTGGAGTGCGGTGGCACCACCTTGACTCACTGTAGCGTCTGCCTCCCGGGTTCCAGTGATTCTCCTGCCTCAGCCTCCCAGGTAGCTGGGCTTACAGGCACATGCCACTATGCCCGGCTAATTTTTATATTGTTAGTAGAGACGGGGTTTCACCATGTTGGCCAGGCTGGTCTCGAACTGCTGACCTCAGGTGATCCGCCCGCCTCGGCCTCCCAAAGTGCTAGGATTACAGGTGTGAGCCACCGTGCCCGGCCTAATTTTTGTACTTTTTTGATGCCTTCTCTTCTGACCGTCATAGTCATTGCTTTCCCTTTCTGTATCCTTCCTGGGTTGGCCTCATTTCTGCCTTTTCCCTAGCACACTGCTAAGCTGTATAATCACTCCTTTTTATTTTCAATATTTTCTTTTAGTCAGACACCATTGACTGGAAAAATCACTCCTTTTTAAATTGCATATGTACTTAACTATGAACTGTTTACCACAGTCAGCAATGGCAGCAGGTGGCATTTGTACTTTTTATACAGTTGACCACTGTAGCATTTACCCTGCTGAATCCAGCCTCAAAATGTAGGGTCATGTCAGGTAATTCCGAGAGCCATGTTTCTCTGTGTATGATATACTAAGCCTCTTATCTGACCTGCCTGGCTAAAACCAGAAGAGCTGTGAAGAAACATTAGGAATAGGGAGAACATGAAAAGACTTGGCAAAAATGTGCTTCAAGTTGAGTCATGTTTATCTAATTTTTGAGCATCCTTCAGAGCAGGTGATACTATCCTTGGTTTTTTTTTTAACTTCTCCAGAACCTTAGCTTGGTTTCCTGTTACACAGCAAGTAAAAACACAATCTGATAAAAAGCTTTAAGTAAGTGGAATTAGTCATCCTCAGGAAGAAAAAGATGAGGAATCTATAATTTCTCTGTATGCCCTAATCTTTTTTTTTTTTTTTTTTTTTTTTGAGACGGAGTTTCACTCTTGTCACCCAGGCTGGAGTGCAGTGGTGTGATCTCGGCTCACCTCAACCTCTGCCTCCCGGGTTTAAGCAATTCTCCTGCCTCAGCCTCCCAAGTAGCTGGGATTACAGGCATGCGCCACCACGCCCGGCTAATTTTGTATTTCTTAGTAGAGACAGGGTTTCTCCATGTTGGTCAGGCTGGTCTCGAACTCCCGACCTCAGGTGATCCGCCCACCTCGGCCTCCCAAAGTGCTGGGATTACAGGCGTGAGCCACCGTGCCCGGCCTGTATGCCCTAATCTTATACTGGGCTATTTTGAGGGTTCTTGAGAATTTATTGCATGGAAGACTGTTTAACAACAATTTTAAAGAATATTAAAATTCACAGTAGATGCTGATAATTTTCCCCCAAGGACAGAAAAGGGAGAAAAGTTTCAACTTCATTAGGACTTTAGGTTAGATATAAGGAGCATTTGCTTGCCATTGAGTGACTGAAGGAGAATATAGAATTAGGTTTTCCAGAGGGCTACAAATATAATAGTCTCATTTGGGATGGGTAAAATATACCATTGAATGAAGACAGTGAGTGGAGGCAGGATTGGAGATGTTGGCATTTTAAAATAATTCTCTCTCTCTCTCTCTCTCTCTCTCTCTGTGTGTTTGGAGAAAAATAGGTTCGTATATTATGTAATGAATATCTATTTAAAAACAGATAAGGCATTTTCATTGCTCTTAAACTGTTTATAGTGCAGAAGGGACCTGACATATTTCCCAATAACATATACTGAGTAGAAAATAAGAGCAGTAGGATGGAAATTTAGAAGCAGCTAGTTTTGTGAGTTTGTCCTTTTTTTTTTTTTTTTTTTTTTTGAGATGGAGTCTCTGTCACCCAGGCTGGAGTACGGTGGCGTGATCTCGGTTCACTGCAACCGCCGCCTCCCAGGTTCAAGCGATTCTCCTGCTTCAGCCTCCCGAGTAGTTGGGACTACAGGCGCGTGCCACCACACCCAGCTAATTTTTTAGTATAGACGGGGTTTCACCGTGTTAGCCAGGATGGTCTCGAACTCCTGACCTCTTGATCTACTTGATCCAGCCTGCCAAAGTGCTGGGATTATAGGCATGAGCCACCGCGCCTGGCCTTTTTTTTTTTTTTTTTTTGAGACAGAGTTTCACTTTTGTTGCCCAGGCTGGAGTGCAATGGCATGATCTCGGCTCACCGCAACCTCCACCTCCTGGGTTCAAGAGATTCTCCTGCCTCAGCCTCCTGAGTAGCTGGGATTACAGGCATGCGCCACCATGCCTGACTAATTTTGGATTTTTTGTAGAGATGAGGTTTCTCCATGTTGGTCAGGCTGGTCTCGAACTCCCGACCTCAGGTGATCCGCCTGCCTCAGCCTCCCAAAGTGCTGGGATTACAGGCGTGAGCCACTGCGCCCTGCCAGTTAATCGTTTCTTATGTGTTAGATGCATTTAACTTCGGAATGTTTTATCCATGTATATGTTGCAGTCATGTGATAAATAGAAAACTCTTCCTTAGGAATTCCTCTAAAAAGTTTTTCTGTTTTCAATGACCACATTTATCTTTTCCTAGCTCTTTCAGACATCTACCATCCTTTTGATTTTTGGTCCTGTCTGTGTCCCTTTCTTCCCAACTAAGCCTCCATTGTTCATGGATCACACTGCAGCTAGTTAGTGTAGAAGCATTAGAACATTACTGGTATGGACTTGAGAGTCACAGACCTAGTTTTATGTCCTTATTTCTGATCAGCTCTGTGACTGAGCAGTTACATAAACCTTTGTGAGCCTCAGTTTTCCTCAGTGAAATGGAGATAATACCTACTCTGCAGCGTTGTAGTGAGGAGGGAGATAGAACTTTAAACCATTTAGTCCAGTGCCTAGCACATGGTTAATTTTATCATTTGGTTCCAGAGCTACTTTTATCCCCAGATGCTGTTGGCCCTTTCAGCCTTCCACTTTGTATGTCTAGCAGAGGAAATGTCTAGGTATAAGCTAGAAAGAGTAGCAAGGGGTTCTGGATTCCTCTTCCAAGAAAAGGGCAGGTGAATGGGTTAGGGCTGTTAGAGGCGGACCTGGGATTGTATAGAGGTAGATCAAACTACTTCTTGAGGTTAATTAGTTGTCAGTTGAGCAAAGGTCATTGACCAAGGGCAAGTGAGGGTCAAGTTGCTTGTGTTGCAGGGTGGGGTCAAAGAAACCTGTCTCTGGATTGTGACAGATTAAGTTAAAGGGAGTGTTTGTAAAAAGGATGTAAGGCTAGAGAGAATAGGAGGAAGTCAAGGAAGCAGTACAATGAGAATCCTTAAGAGCACGGTCTGGATTTGACTGGGTTTGAGCCCTGGCTCTGCCACTCACCATCCCCATAACCTTGAGCCAGTTATTTATTCTCTCCAAGACTTAATTTTTATTTTATTTTTATTTTATTTGAGATGGAGTCTCACTGTGTCACCCAGGGTGGAGTGCAATGGCGTGATCTCGGCTCACTGCAGCCTCCGCCTCCTGGGTTCAAGCGATTCTCCTGCTTCAGCCTCCCAAGTAGCTGGGGCTACAGGCATGTGCCACCACACCGGCTAATTTTTGTAGTTTTAGTAGAGATGGTGTTTCACTATGTTGGCCAGGCTGGTCTCGAACTCCCGACGTTGCAATCTGCCCACCTCGGCCTCCCAAAGTGCTGGGATTACAGGAGTGAGCCACTGCGCCCAGCGACTTGTTTAATTTATAAAATGGGACAAAAGCTACCTACTTAATAGGGCTGTGAGATAATGCATATAGCATACTTAGAACAGTGACAGGCACATGTTAAATACTTGAAAAATTTATTACTATTAAATCCAGCTGAGGGAAGAAAGAGAGGACTAATGCAGTGGAGGTGAGCTGTTCTGTGTACAGCTAACTGACAACATCTTCACTGGTTATCTTCAAAGAAAAAGAGTCAATAATGGGCTGCATTATTTATAGATGTTCTAATACTTCTTGGTGTGTTTGCTTGTAAAAACAAATAATGATGCTTTCCTGTTTCTCTGTATTGGGAAACAAAACTTATAAAAAAAGGTCTAACAGGTTAGTTGCCACTTGCAACTTTTGTCATTGAATGATAAATTGTGGCCTGGTTTTCTGTATACATAATTTCTGTTGATGAATTCCACTGTAGATTTTTCTGTTTTTTTCTATCCTTTTTGTTCTGTTTTTGCAGACTTCCTGGTTAATCACTTATTTCAGCAACGTTTACTACTTCTAAAACAAAAAGGATGAATGGTATGCATCAAATATAAGTTGATGAGGCATGGATGGAATTAATTTTAATGAGAACTCTCAGAGGCCTGAAGTTTGTTTAATTAAGCCTGTACAAATTCTATCATGCCATTCACATGTCATATGTTTTCATCTCTTGAGCATTAAGTGAACCCTGTTAGGTTAGTATCTGTGAACTGCTAGGTTTAAAAATTTATTTTTCAGTACTCTTGAGATAGCATCACAGAAATCTTTTTGTGTTCTCCCTAATATTATGGTAGCCACCATGGTACAGATGCCTATATGTTCTGTATTTAGTACTGAAGAAACCATGAAGAGAGAATTATCCCCTACCCTTTTTTTTTTTTTGAGATGGGGTCTCACTCTGTTGCCCAGGCTGTAGTGCAGTGGTGTGATCTAGGCTCACTGCAACCTCCACCTCCCAGGTTCAAGTGATTCTCCTGCCTCAGCCTCTGAAGTAGCTGGGATTACAGGCACCTGCCACAATGCCTGGCTAATTTTTTTTTTTTTTTTGAGACGGAGTCTTGCTCTGTCGCCCAGGCTGAGTGCAGTGCCATGAGCTCGGCTCACTGCAACCTCCGCCTCCCCAGTTCAAGCGATTCTCCTGCCTCAGCCTCCCGAGTAGTTGGGACTACAGGCGCGTGTCACCATGCCTGGCTGATTTTTTGTATTTTTAGTAGAGACGGGGTTTCACTATGTTAGCCAGGATGGTCTCGATCTCCTGACCTCGTGATCCACCCGCCTTGACCTCCTGAAGTGTTGGGATTACAGGCGTGAGCCACTGCACCTGGAAAATTATCCCATTTTATAGATGAAGATAACCAAGGCTTAGAAGCATGTTCAAAGTGACATGCCAGTAAGTGGGAGAGCCAAAATTTGAAAATTGGATTTTGATTTTAAAATCTGTGCTTTTAAAAACTAGGCCACCAACTGTTTCTCTAATACTCAGTAAATCAGAAGACTGCAAAACTGACCCTCTGCAAGGTAGCCAGGCTTGTTTATTGCCTGCTGCTCACACTAGTCCCTGCCCTCACTTTACTGTCTAATTTTACTGAACAGAATCATGGGTGTAAAGGCTTAACTTGAATCATCCAATTTAGTGGCTCTAGCCAGTTACAGAATTTATTTTGTTTTAAATTATGATTAAGTAGGTTTGAGCTGGAACCCAGGAATCTATGTTTTAATCGGCTCTACATGTGATTTTTGACAGTCTGACAGGTTTGGGAACCATTTCAATTTAGTTACATGAATCCCTCCTCCCAAAATCCTGTTTTATTTTCCTGACAGGTAGTCATCTAATGTCAGATATCCATTTGTGATAGGAACTGACTGTTACATTAAAACATTGTAATGTGCAGTTAGTTACAGTGCTGTTTTTCTATAGAAGTAACCATGGATTTAAATAATTTCTTTGGCCAGATTTTTATACTCCTTAGGTTTTGGCATTGAGGGCTCTTGAATCTTCTCTGAACCTTGCCTTCTTCATGTGTAAAATGGGTATATTGTTATCTACCTTGAGGGATTATCAATAATTAAATGAAAAAATAAACTGTCCTGTCTGGAAAGATTCTTGAATGCCTTCAAATAGCGTTTTCTTATAGTTCCCTTACCATGTCAGTCTATTCTGAAACACTCTCATGTCTTCAGAGTTCTAGTTAGAAGTGTGGATGTGATAGAGGGCTCCTAGATAATTCATTTTGGGATTGTTAGTGCCAGAAATAGGTTATCATTTTGCCTCCTCATCAGCATACTTCTTTACCTCTGGCTTTTTCTTTGGACAAAGTATATGATAGACACCTCTTATGGGTACAGATAAGCCTGCATTTCTGGAAATTCAGCTTTACTCCTTAGAGTTTCCACTAATAACTTGAACCAAAACAAAACAAATGATCTGCAGGAAGACTTTAAAAGAAAAAACCTTCTTAGATTGTATAGAGACCAAAGTAGACAACCAAAGAAAATATTCCATGTCTCTTTCCTATCCAAGGGGAGAGATAGGTAATGGGTGAGTGTTGTCCATAGAAGAGGATAAATGATCAAGTGCAAGGCTGGAAAAGACTGCTCAAGACCCTGAAAATAATCTCTCATCACTGTAGTTTGACTTGGTTTGGTTGTTGAGTTGTATGCTTATCTTGCTTTTCTTAACCAAAGCAAACTTGATCTGTTCTTTAGTATTAACTTAGTTTTTTTTTTGTACGTGTGTGTGTGTGTGTGTGTGTGTGTGTGTGTGTGTTTTTTGAGACAGTCTCGCTCTGTCGCCCAGGCTGGAGTGCAGTGGCGCGATCTCGGCTCACTGCAAGCTCCACCTCCCAGGTTCACGCCATTCTCCTGCCTTAGCCTCCCTAGTAGTTGGGACTACAGGTGCCCACCACCATGCCTGGCTAATTTTTTGTATATTTTTTAGTAGAGACGGAGTTTCACCATGTTAGCCAGGATGGTCTCGATCTCCTGACCTCGTGATCCGCCCGCCTCAGCCTCCCAAAGTGCTGGGATTACAGGCGTGAGCCACCGTGCCTGGCTCTTTAGTATTAACTTAGAACATGAGCTGTGTTTCCCTTGAGGCTCAGAGTACTAAGAAGAGTTTGTAGGTGATAGTTTCCTGAAGGCTTGAGTGAAATGTGGTGAAATAATACTTTTTTCTTTACTTAGTTTGTGTTAGAGTTCTAGTTTCAAAATGTTTTTGAATCTAACATCTTGAAAATACTCCTTTGGGTTAAGGTTTCTTCGTGTCAGTGCTTTTCAAAAGGTAATTTTCGTACTTTGGACACATTAAAAATTTTTTTTCCTTTTTGCCATTATCTTCATGAATACAACTTAGAACACATTTTTATTTTTAAATTTTGAGATGGAGTCTTGCTATGTCGCCAGGCTGGAGTGCAGTGGCGTGATCTCAGCTCACGGCAACCTCTGCCTCCCGGGTCCAAGCAATTCGCTGCCTCAGCTTCCTGAGTAGCTGGGATTACAGGCACGCACCAGCATGCCCAGCTAATTTTTGTATTTTCGGTAGAGACAGGGTTTCACCTTGTTGGCTAGGATGATCTCAGTCTCCTGACCTCATGATCTGCCTACCTCGGCCTCCCAAAGTACTGGGATTACAGGTGTGAGCCACTGCGCCTGGCCACATTTTTATTTTTAAAAAGTGTATCCAATATATGTAACTTACTGGTCAGAAATGTTAAAGGTAGGCCGGGCGCGGTGTCTCACGCCTGTAATCCCTGTACTTTGGGAGGCCGAGGCCGGTGGATCACGAGGTCAGGAGATCAAGATCATCCTGTCTAACACGGTGAAACCCCATTTCTACTAAAAATACAAAAAATTAGCTGGGCATGGTGGCGGGTGCCTGTAGTCCTAGCTACTCGGAAGGCTGAGGCAGGAGAATGGCGTGAACCCAGGAGGCGGAGCTTGCAGTGAGCCAAGATTGCGCCACTGCACTCCAGCCTGGGCAACAGAGCCAGACTCTGTCTTAAAAAAAAGAAAAAAAAAAAAGAAATGTTAAAGATATCCAATACATTTTCATTGAAATTATAGTCACCCTTTGGTTTTTCAGGAAAATGATTCCGTTTGAGTTCTTAACTGTGGTCTTTATCGTTTGCACTCAGGAATTCCAGACCAGCCTGGGCAACATAGTGAGACCCCATCTCTTAAAAAAAAATTTTTTTTAATTAGCTGGGCATGGTGGCAAGTGTCCTAGCTACTAGGGAGGCTGAGGTGGGAGGATTGCTTGAGCTCAGGAGGTCGGGACTGAAGTGAGCCATGATTGCACCACTGTACTTCAACCTCGGCAACAAAGCAAGACCTTGTCTCAAAAAAAAAAATTGTGGTCTTTCTCTGGGGTGGGGTGGGGGGAACATCTCTGTTCGTTTGACAATAAGGTTATTGGGTGGAGGGTAGAGAGCAAAACCAATTAACTTGACTCGTCCTTTTAAATTTACTATTTTAGTTCCTTTGCGAGAAAGTCACTCTGCAATTACATTGCATTATAGAGTATTAGGGAAAATGATGCAATTTAATTAATTATGGAGACTTGTATTAAACTTAATGTTACCAAGTCATTGTTCTTTTTTTTTTGAGATGGAGTCTTGCTCTGTCATCCAGGCTGGAATGCAGTGGTGTGACCTCAGCTCACTGCAACCTCTGCCTTCCAGGTTCAAGTGATTCTCCTGCCTCAGCCTCCCAAGTAGCTGGGATTACAGGTGCACACCACCATACCTGGCTAATTTTTGTATTTTTAGTAGAGGCGAGGTTCCACCCTGTTGGCCAGGCTGGTCTCAAACTCCTGACTTCAAGTGATCTGCCCACCTTGGCCTCTCAAAGTGCTGGGATTACAGGTGTGACAAGTCATTATTCTTAATGAAAAGAGCAGGATCAGCGCGGTAGCTCACGTCTGTAATCCCAGCACTTTGGTAGGCCAAGGCAAGAGGATTGCTTGAGCCTAGACATTCGAGACCAGCCTGGGAAACATAGCGAGACCCCATCTCTACAAAGTAAATAAATAAATAAACAAATAAAAAGAAGGACTGTATGCTGTTGGGGCTCTCTGTAACTTTCATTCATGTCATCAATCCACAGCAGGAAGCAAATGATATGGTGTTAATTTTATGAAGTAATTTTATGTATTGTCTTGTTTTTGTTTTTATTCTTAGGACCGGAGTAGGCCCTATGATACTTTTAACTTGCACTCGTTGGAGAACTCCTTAATGGATATGATAAGGACTGATCATGAACCTCTGAAAGGTAAACACTACCCTCCCAGTGGCCCACCAATGAGTTTCGCTGATATAATGTGGAGGAATCATTTTGCAGGTTAGGAATATTCATATGTCCATTTCTTGCTTGGTGTTTTAAGCAAAAATCAGCTTTTTAATAATTTTGATTTTTCTGGTTTGTTTTTTGTTTGCTTGTTTTTGTTTTGCTTCTGTAAAGCATTGTGGAATGTATTTAAAGTTGATTTTTTTTAACCTGGGTTCAGCTACCTATAATAATCAAGGTGGATTGTTATCAGTCATGTCTGGCAGGAGCATGAATTGGGTAGCTGAGGTTAGTCACATTATGAGTTAATAGCGTGAGACCAGCAGCCAGGTTTTCTGGGCTTTGTGCATTTGGAATCCTCAGCTGAACCGGGATAATTCATTTAAGTCCATGTATATATACTGCAAGGAGCTGTGAGAGTTAGTAAAGCAGTCTTCAAAAATTGCTTCAGAAAACTGCATATAAAGGACTTCTATTTTATTACAGCATAATCCCCTTCCTAGTATAGGAAGTATCACCACACAGGCTTAGGGGCAGCTAGTGACCCTTTGCAGTCTCTGAGGCCAAATCACAAGAAAAATATCTTAAAGTACATAAATGTTTTGGGTTAAATATAAGGCAGAAAGTCTCAAAGTTAGCAATATTAGGACTTCCTGTTTTTACAGCCTGTGTAAATTCAGGATAGATGTTGGTATTTAATTCATAATTACAGATAGTTCTTTTTATGGGTTATAGGACTTTTTAGATACCTTAAGATATTTAAAAATACTGTAATGCAAATTACCTATGGAAATATCCATTATACTTGGGTTAAGATCTAAATTTCCGAAAACTGTGAAGAGGTAGCCATGGGGATGCCCATCTTGTATGAACCATTATGTCTTTCAAAATTGTGAGAAATTCAATCCCCTCCGGTTCTCTCTAGGCCCATATTATAGTGTGAATGACTGTGAACACCTGATGCTCATTTCCTCAAGCCACACCAGAAATCTCTTTCATCATTTTCTTGTCACACTCATGATTTTCTTCTGCTTTCCTCATTTTCCAGTGAAAAGAAAGTAGTCAATAGGTTATAAAGAAAAGAAGGGGTTTTTGGGGAAAGTGAGTTTATTTTTTTTTTATTTTTTATTTTTTTTATTTTTTATTTTTTTGAGACAGTGGAGTGCAGTGGCACAATCTTGGCTCACTGAAACTTCCTCCTCCTAGGTTCAAATGATTATTCTGCCTCAGCCTTCCAAGTAGCTGGGATTACAGGTGCCCGCCACCTCGCCCTGCTGGTTTTTGTATTTTTAATAGAGATGGGATTTCATCATGTTGGCCAGGCTGTTCTCAGACTCCTGACCTCTAGTGATCTGCCCACCTCGGCCTCCCAAAGTGCTGGGAGTGCCACCGCACCCGGCTGATACTTGCATTTTAAGGAAAATATTAAAAAAAAGTTTTTGACTTTAAAAAGTGGAGAAAATTAGAAGAACAAAAAGGTAACTAAAAAATAAAGATTGTGATGGTGTATTATTCGTCTAATTCTCATATGATAAGCATTATCCATGCTTCTATCAGATCTTTGTAATTTATTGCTAGGCCTTGACTTTAGACTCTTAGGTTGTTTCCAGTTTTTCCTCCATTATTAGGTAATGCTGCCATGGATGAGTTCTTGCACATAGCTTTTCCTTAAGGTAAATTAACAGTGAGAGTCTTTGGGTCAAAAGAGATAAACATTTAGGTGGATTGAGCTTTAAGAGAAGGATGGTAGGCTAGAGGACCTGCCATGTGGCTTCTGTATGAGTCTGTTCGGAAGCACTTCCCTCTACTATCTGGTTTTTCCTCCTCCTTTTTTTTTTTTTTTTTTTTTTTTTTTTTTTTTTTTTGAGATGGAGTTTCGCTCTTGTTGCCCAGGCTGGAGTGCAATGGCGTGATCTTGGCTTACCACAACGTGTGCCTCATGGGTTCAAGCGATTCTCCTGCCTCAGCTTCCTGAGTAGCTGGGTTTACAGGCATGTGCCACTACACCCAGCTAATTTTGTATTTTTAGTAGAGACAGAATTTCTCCATGTTGGTCACGCTGGTCTCAAACTCCTGACCTTAGGTGATCCACCTGCCTCGGCCTCCCAAAGTGCTGAGATTACAGGTGTGAGCCACTGCGCCCAGCCTCCTCCTACTTTCAATATCCTTTACTCCCACTTGAACATGGGGAACACTATTTTGAGGGTCTCAAAACTCAAGTACAGGGTAACTGGATTTTTGTTGGTTTTTTTGAGACAAAGTCTTGCTCTTGTCGCCCAGGCTGGAGTGCAATGGCGTGATGTTGGCTCACTGCAACCTCTGCCTCCCAGATTCAAGTGATTCTCCTGCCTCAGCCTCCTGAGCAGCTGGGATTACAGGCACCTGCCACCACTACCAGCTAATTTTTGTATTTTTAGTAGAGACGGGGTGTCACCATGTTGGCCAGGCTGGTCTCGAACTTCTGACCTCAGGTGATTGCCCGCCTTGGCCTCCTAAAGTGCTGGGATTACAGGCCTGTGCCACCCTGCCTGGCCCCAGAGTAACTGGTTTTTGTATGTTTGTTTGTTTTGGTGTTTTTTTTTCCTAGAGCTTAATTTCCTTTGTTTTTCAGAAAAAAATACATTTTTACTCATTATAAGAAATCCAAATAGTATGTAAAAGGACGAAAAGGAAAGTAAAAAAGAAAAAAAAAAAATCACTGGAGGCAGGGCGTGGTGATTGCTTGAACCAGGGAGTTGGAGGTTGCAGTGACCGAGATTGCGCCACTGTACTGCAGCCTGGCGACAGAGCGAGAGACTCTGTCTCAAAAAAAAAAAAAAAAAAAAAAAAAAATCACTAGAGACTCTCTACCTAGAGGTAACAAAGGTTATTATTTTTATTAACATCCTTCCAGATATTTTATATTCTCCATATAGGAGATGAAATTTCAACTCAGTCTTTCTGACTTTGCAGTCAGTGAAACCTGGGTGTGAATTCTGTCTCTGCCTCTGGCTGCCTATTAATCTGGATAAATTAACCTCTTCAAAGCCTCAGTGTTCTTATTGTTAAAATAAATTCCCTACTTCATAGAGTGAGTGCGAAGATCAAATAAAGTCCCTGGCACTAGAAACTGCTCAAATGTTATCCACAATTTTTTGCTGGAAGTAGTATGGTATCCTTACAGTACTGACTTCTTTCCAACTAGACTTCAGCTAAATGTTGAAATTTTTCAGGTGCAAGTTGTCAAAATTTTATATTTTTCATAAGTAGTGATTATTGAAGGATAAACGTCTTACCATTTTCAAAGCCACTTAAAGGAGAAAGGAAAATAATTTTTTGGTTATTTTGGTTTTCCAATTGTAAATCTGAATGATGTAAAAAATATATAATAAAATAGGATATCTAGTACTTTAAGATGTACTTGAAGAACATGGTAAAAATATGTTCACAATAATATTTTATCTTAGAAATGTATTCAGTAAAAAATCTCTTTATTCAACTATCCTCTTGATTCAGGGGAAAAAAGGATTAGCATGGGAGATAACAGAATAGGAAGTTTAGGAGATAATGAGACTTCTGTTTTAGTAAAGTAAATAAGCTTTAATAGTTTTTTGGTCATGTATTCAGTTTACCAGCCTTGAAGATATTTGTAGGAAATTTTAAAAGTTTCTCTATTTCATCCCCCATGATAAAAATTATATAGAATAAAAGCTGAATTGAACTTTCTTCACAGCACACTGAAAAATATCTTCTATAGCATTAATCAGATCACAGAATGCATATTTAAACAAAAATTTGACTAATTTATTTTTTATTTATTTATTTTTTTTCTGAGACGGAGTCTGGCTCTGTCGCCCAGGCTGGAGTGCAGTGGCGGGATCTCAGCTCATTGCAACCTCCGCCTCCCTGGTTCAAGCAATTCTCCTGCCTCAGCCTCCTGAGTAGCTAGGATTACAGGCATGTACCATCACACCCGGCTAATTTTTGTATTTTTAAATAGAGACGGGTTTCACCATGTTGTCCAGGCTGGTCTCGAACTCCTGACCTTGTCATCTGCCAGGCTTAGCCTCCCAAAGTGCTGGGATTACAGGCATGAGCCACTGCGCCCAGCCGGACTAATTTATTTATTTATTTTTTGCTTTTTAAAGATCCCAAACTACGTGCTTGGCTGTAACGGAATAAGGTAATAATCTCCTGGGTTTTTTTTTTTTTTTTTTTTTTTTTTTTTTTTACTATGTCTTACATATACTTTTCTTTTCGTTTGAGAGAATGCCTCAGAGATGAGAAAGGAGGCTTTTGAAGAGGGTAATACTCTAATGACAGCTGTTTCTTATTTTATTTATTTATTTATTTTTTGAGACAGGTTCTTGCTCTTTCACCCAGGCTGGAGTGCAGTGGCACAATCTTGGCTCACTGCAGCCTTGACCTCCCAGGCTCAAGCAGTCTTCCTGCCTCAGCTCCCTAAGTAGCTGGTACTAGAGGCACAGGCACCATGCCTGGCTGATTTTTTCTATTTGCTGTAGAGACAAGGTTTCACCATGTTGCCCAGGCTGGTCTTGAACTCCTGAGCTCAAGCAATCCTTCCACCTCAGTCTCCCAAAGTGCTAAGATTATAGGCATGAGCCACTGGCCCTGGCCCTGTTTCTTATTTCTTTTTCGAAGTACAGAAATCCTTGGGTTGGCAGATGTAGTAGGAGGGAGCAACTGTTCTCTGTTCTCATTTCTAGTGGATTGAAGGAAAATGCAACTCTCTTCATAACTATGAGGATTAAGGGGATTAATCGTGTTGAGAGAGGTGGGGTAAGAGATAACGAAAAAGATTCATCCCTATTGTCTTCTTTATAGCTGTTCCTTGACTTTCTACCTATGATGCAGGTTCACTAAGCTCCTATGGAACCACTCTGAAAACTCATGGTCGTCAGGTCAGGTTTGATTAATCATATTCTCCCAACTCTAGAAGGATAGTAAGGAAATACCAACTATAGCACATTGAGCAGAGAAGTAAGATCGTATACCCTAACTGGGGAAGCCCAGTATAGCAGGCATCTTGGCAAAAACAGGGAGGAGTTACTTTTTCTTCATCCCATGCAATTTCCCTCTTACAGCAGAAAAATAGTCCTGGCTGACTATCTGGGGTTCGTGCCTAGTAAAACATTTTTATGTATTTGAATTTTCTCTTCCCTCACCATTCATGGAACTGAGATTTGAAAAGTGAAAAGAACAGGTGTCAGTTGAGAACTGTTATTGAAAGCTTTGCTTTTCGAAAGTATGCTGAGAGTGTCTAGAGAAAAATAGCTTATCTTTCAGTAATAGTGCTTTAAAACAGATAATGCCACCCCTTTGGTGTTAAAATGGAAGAGATAATGCCACCCCTTTGGTGTTATAGAGGCATTTTTCTTTATTCATCACAATTTAAATTTAGTATTGTAGAGCCTTTCACAAAATTTGTCCCCTCTTACGGAATTTTGAGGTCTTCTTATTTTAGAAAAATATGCCTTCATTACATTTTATTTGCTTGTTTGTTCCAGAAAAATATACTGTCTCTTTATTTACTTCTGTGGCTTGAATTATTGCTCAGTTCTATTTTTGTGTTATTTCCCTTGATAGCCCATATCTGTTTATCTTGTTTGAAAGTTAGCAGATTACACAAACTGTTAGGGGGCAGGTTCTAAGTCAGCAAGAAGTGATGGTTCTTGTTTTGTACATTCTTGGGGGCAGAGACAGTAAGTAGAAACTGAGTGATTTGTATAAGTACCCTCCCATTAATTTGCGTAATCATCCTTTAAGCATAGCATTTAAATTACCTGAGTTTTTAGCGGCCAGGCATGGTGGCTCACGCCTATAATCCCAGCACTTTGGGAGGCTGAGGCGGGCAGATCGCTTGAGGTCAGGACTTCAAGACCAGCCTGGCCTACATGGTGAAACCCTGCCTCTACTAAAAATACGAAAATTAGCCAGGTGTGGTGGCAGGCGCCTGTAGTCCCAGCTACTCAGGAGGCTGAGGCAGGAGAATCGCTTGAACCCACGAGGTGGAGCTTGCTTTGAGCCAAGATTGTGCCACTGCACTCCAGCCTGGGTGACAGAGCGAGACTCCATCTAAAAAAAAAAAAAAAAATCACCTGAGTTTTAAAAGATAAAGATGATGATGATTATTATTATTTTGAGACAGGGTCTCGCTGTGTAACCCAGGCTGGAATGCAGTGGTGCGATCTCAGCTCACTGCAGTCGTCACCTCCCGGGCTCAAGCTCTCCTCCCACCTCAGCCTCGTGAGTAGCTGGAACTGTAGGTGCATGCCACCATACCCACCTAATTTTTTTTTTTTTTTGTATTTTTTTTTTTTTTGTGGAGACAGGGTTTCGCCATGTTGCTCAGGCTGGTCTCTAACTCCTGAGCTCAAGCGATCTGCCCACCTCTGCCTCCCAAAGTGCCTGGATTACAGGTGTGAACCAGTGCACACCAGGCTGGGAATTGTGATTTAATTGTTCTCGAGTACAGTCTTTATTAAATGAGGAAACAGAGGCACAAAATATTTAACAACTTGCCAAAAATTACCCGCTATTAGTATGTGAATAAACTAGGATTTGACCTCAGGTCTAAGCTCACAGGTTTTGATTATTGGTTATTTGGAACATATTTAGAATATTTTAGTATCAAAGTTTTATCATTTCCTTAAAACAGATTTAAAAAACAGTTTACTATATTTTTACATATCACAGTATTACATTTTTAAGATACTTTTCTAAAGCAATGTCTCTCTAACTTTATAGAGAAAGTTAGTGGGAAATAAAACCCAGTAGAATATGCATTTTACCTGGTAAGTCTTTCTGAAACGTGGCACTAACATTCTGTTACATGAAGCTTTCTGATGTACTTGCCTTTTTCGAGCAAAGGGAGTGATTAGAGGAAGGTACAGCAGTTGTTCCCTATCTCATAACATATTGTAGAAGTAAAGAGATGACTTTCGTAATCAATTATGAATTAATGAAAATTTCAGTTTTTATTTTGAACTCATAAAAGCATGAGTTTAGTTGGATTCTGAAACTTTGAATCATGATAGACATAGTTTTTTTTTTATAACTAGTGTTTTAAATATGAATGTGAATTGAGCTTATGGGACTGTGATTTTAACAGAACGAATAACCATATGTAACCCTATTCTCTAACCTCTCCCTTCATCCCCTCTCACCCCTATTTATCAGATCCTGTGCAGTGGGGAAAGTGGGACACAGTCTCAGATTTCCACAGCATCATTTAACTTAGTAAAACCAAGTATGCCTTCCAGTTTTTGAAATCTTACATTTTACACTATACTTAAAAGATAGCTAGCTGACAAGAACAATTTAAAAATAGCAGACCATGGACAGGTGACGAAATGTCACGCTGGCAACACCAGACTACATTATACAAAAATCATCAGATGTCACGCACTTGATTCTATTTTCACAGCTGATTAAACAGCAGTATTTGTTGGACAAAAGGAAGAAAAAAGAAATGGCCTCTTCTGAATTTGGAATCAGTTTTTCTTTTGCTGTTATATATTTTATTTTCCTCCAAAATTCCTTAATAACTGTAAAACTTAAGATATACAATGTATTAAGTTAAAAAATTATGAAATAATTTCAATTTTAGAAAAGAAACCTTTACACATATACACTCCCTAACGTGGAAAACTGTAAATCAAAATGTTAACAGTGCTTATCCTTGGTGAGCTTGTTTTCTCCATTTTTTTGCATTATGTGATTTTTCTCCAATGAAAATATATTGCATTTTATAATCTAAAAATTACTTTTGGAAGAGGTAAAGAAACCAGCTTAAAGATGCTGTGAATGATTTTACTTTAAAAAATTACATTATTAGTTGGGGGAAAAATTAGATTATATTTAGATAATTGATTCTGATGGATGTGGCCTTCTCGACCCAGAGTGTCTTTTCTTTTCTTTTCTTTTTGAGACAGAGTCTTGCTCTATCTCCAGGCTGGGGTGCTGTGACACGATCTCGGCTCACTGCAACCTCCACCTCCCAGGTTTAAGCGATTCTCCTGCCTTAGCCTCCCGAGTAGCGGGGACTACAGGTGCATGCCACCACACCCAGCTAATTTTTTTGTATTTTTAGTAGAGATGGGGTTTCACCACGTTGGCCAGGATGGTCTTTATCTCTTGACCTCTTGATCCGACTGCCTCGGCCTCCCAAAGTGTTGGGATTACAGGCGTGAGCCACGGTGCCCAGCCTGGAGTTTCTTATAAAATCTTTTGTTGCTCACTTTCATCCAGAGACCTGCTGAAGTCAAAGAGGTCAAAGAATTAGAGAGAATACCAAGAAAGGTAAAAAGTGTTCTGCTTTTCACCAATTAGTGATACTTTCAATCTGCAAAACACTGCCTAAGGCTCTTGTTTTACTGCATCATAAGGAAGTTTAGGTTGGAAGTAATCAGCGTACGATAGAGAATAATAATTTGAAAACTACCAAGCTTCCTTTCAGTTTCATCTTTCCAAGCTGAAAAGTTCTAGGAGCTTATGGAAAGGGTCAAAAAGGATCCATGTAGGTATGTTTAACTTCTGGAGGACAAAAAGGGTACCCCTTTACATTTGGGAAACTAAGTAGTTATAGGAACATGTAAAAACTTTATTTGATATAGTGGTTGTAAACTACATAATTCTTTACCGTAAATGGTAGACACAGGAAAGAAAAGAAGTCAAATAAGGATCAGCTAAATTTGGGTTTGCATGATTTCCTTGATAACCCTTTATTATTATTCTAGAAATATTTAGGGAATATTGCTAACTTTTTAGATAGCACACCCTCCTCTAAATATTCCTTGGTTAAAGTTTGAAAAGATCCTCCATATATGCGATTTCCTTAAGTTCTGATGGGCAGTGATTTTGAAGTCTTGATGGGCTTTTAGGTAGACTTTCCAGTGACTGGCTAATCATTGTTATATTTGAATACCCCAGAAAAGGATGAAAGCTGGTTTAGAGTAAATCACATATAGTTTTCATAGATATTAATATTTTTTGATAATGAATCCAAATAAGGTCTTGATTATCCAAAAACGATGGTGAGAACATTGAGATAGCTAGTTGAAATGAGAATATACTTTCTCCCTACTGAGTGAAAGCCTTGTTCTGGTGACAGTTTTTCCTATTATAGGTTCTGATCAAGGTGGTGGTAGGAGATAACACTTGTTGCCAACTATAATTTTCAGGGACTCTAAAATGACTTAGGAACTGAAAAAACGTAAGGCACGTAGAACAATTATATATAGATACAGTACATGTATCTTTTAACAATGGGGTAGTTTTTGAAATTCCTAATAATTAGCTTCTAGTAAATATGAAAACGTTTATGAAATCTATAAAAAATAGATGGTTCTTTTAGATTTTACTCATATGGCTTTTTAATAGAAAACATGATCTAATCTAAGAAAATAATTTTACTATATTACAAATGCTAGCAAAATTGTCTCTGCAAAACCAGAGAGAGATGAAACATTTTTTTCCTAATAAGGTTTGAAACGATAAAAACTAAAAATTTTCATTGAAAGCTCTATAATGCTTCATGATAAAGTTAGAACAGTTTTATCAGAATCCATCAAATTCTAGTGGATTTTCTTATTTATGGATGTATTTAAGATTTTCTCATTCAATACATACATACACACCAATATAAGTGATGCTTCACTTGCGAGGGTTTTGTTTTTCCCTGCCTCTTTTTTTTTTTTTTTTTTTGAGACGGAGTCTTGCTCTGTCGCCCTGGCTGGAGTACAGTGGCGCAATCTCGGCTCACTGCAACCTCCACATTCCGAGTTCAAGTGATTCTCCTGCCTCAGCCTCCCAAGTAGCTGGGATTATGGGCATCCACCACCACACCCAGCTAATTTTTGTATTTTTAGTAGAGATGGGGTTTCACCATGTTGGCCAGGCTGGTCTCTAACTCATGACCTCAGATGATCTGCCCTCCTCGGCTTCCCAAAGTGCTGGGATTATAGGCATGAACCACTGCGCCCGGCCTTCCCTACCTCTTAATATGAAATGACCTTTTACAAATTATCGTAGCCTGGGGAGCAATAAGAAATCAGGATGGTCCTGTCTAGGCAAAAACTTCATTTGCTTAGGAATTCATGATTCTCCCTTTTTATTTAAGGCAAATGCCCTGCTTTGTCTACTGTGATGCTTTCCTTTTGGGCAAAAAGAACTTAATAATGCTATTTGCCTCCAGTCCCCTGTAACGGAGTTTACCATCAAATGATCACTGACTCTTTTGCAATTATGTAATATAAAACTGTGTATGTTGTAAAAATCAATCATTTTAACCTTATCTCCAGCTTTTTCTGTATACTTTCTCCGCAAAATACTGTTGACATTTATTTAAACAATGGTAGTGAAATAAGATTAACATTTTTTGAGAATTTCATGATAACCCTTGACATAATTGAACATTAAAACCTTGCAGAGCCAAGTTTATAGATATTAGCTTTACACAAAAGCATTGTTTCAATAACTATTTTGTTGAAGGAATTTGGTCAAGAAAGCTTTCTAAGTACATTTTTTTTTTTTCATATAAGACTCTCTCAAATTTTCCTTTTGGTACATCTACCTCCTTGTCCCAAATAATTAATGAAGAAAACATAACAAAAATGTCTGCATCTTCCATTCTTGCCCCTAGGGGCCATTAGTTGAAGCATCTGTTTCTGACTTAACATCTTATAGACCAGGGGTTGGCAAACTTTGTGAAGTGCTAAAGAGTAAATATTTTAGGCTTTACGGGCCACATGGTCTCTGTCACATATTGTTCTTTGTTTTATTTTTGGTTTGGTTGTGTTTACAAGCCTTTCTAAATGTAAAAATGATGCTTAACTCAGAGGCATACAAAAACAGGAAGCCAGCTGTGTCAGCAGACGTTTGCAACTCCTGTTATAGACTTAAGGATGAACATGTGGAGATTAGCATTATATTCAAGGTCATATCACTAGTTAGTGTTAGGGAGAGCCACCAGAACCCTAGATTTTTAGGCCAATCATTTTCCCCCATTCTGTCTCTTTTATGAATTTTACCGTCTTCCTTCTGGTTGCCATTCTGATTATTATATTGCATTTTTGAGCCACTATGAAACCTCTCTTTTTATTCTCTCTAAGCTTCAAATTTATATACTTGTTTGAATCTATTTTTTTTTTTTTTTTTTTTTTTGCTGCTTGAATGGAAGGACAGTATAAATGGTTGTTTAAATAAAATGTTTAATCCAAGGAGTTGGCATGTTTAAATTGGAATGCAGGAGATGTGTTAAATTTCAGACTATTATAACAGAAGCTTCTTTTTTTGTTTTTTTTTATTTATTTGTTGTTGAAACTTTGGCTTTAAGACTTTTCATGTGTATGTTTTATGACTTAATTTTTAAAACTGTTGTAACTGCTTTGGCCTTTGATAGCATTGTTATAGATTAATCTGTTTTAGATTTTTGTAATGTTTATATTTTAAGATGTGTTTGAAATGATTACATTAAACATTCTTTTTGCTTAAAATTATTTTATTTTTTAGGACGCATGGGGATAAATTTCCATCATCCAGGAACAGATAATATTATGGCACTTAACAGTAAGTCTTCATATGAAATATTCTATTAAATTAGCAGTCAAGTTTGCAGCATGTAGTTTCTACATTCTTGATTGTTGGTTACATTTTAACCTTCCGCTGAAAGGAGTATAGACCATTGTTCTGTACTAGTGGTTCTCAAAGTGTGGTCCCTGGACCAGCAGCATCAGCATTGCTTGGGAGCTTATTAAAATCTCAGGCCCCATGACAGGGCTATTGAATCAGACACTTAAGGATGAGGCCCGGAGGTCTGTATTTTAACAAGCCTGTATGTGATTGTGATTCAGGCTAAAGTTTGAAAATTGCTGCTTCAAACCAGGGTTGGCAAACTATAGCTCTGCAAGCTGGATCTGTTTTTGTAAATGAAGTTTTATTGGAATATAGCCACACCCATTCATTTATGGATTGTCTGTGGCTACTTTTGTGCTACAAAGGCAGAGCCACAAAGGCCAAACTATTTACCATCTGACCCTTTACAGAAAATGTTTGCCAACTCCTGCTGTATACCATTGGGTTGGAGGAATGAAGGAGGTAGGTGAAGGGAGAGAGGAAGTGGGGTAGAGAATATAATGTGAATGAATAAATCAACTTATTTATACATAACTCAGAATTTTTTCATGGTGGTAGATAGCCAGGTATTTCAAGCTGGACATCCAGGGGTCTCCCATTAATGGAATTTGCATGGTATATATGTCAGCAGCTTTATAGGTTTGAAACAGTTTTGTCAGTATAATTGTTTGATCAAGTTCTAAAGCAGCAAAAACTTACTAACTGGAAAGTCATTATATTAATTAACACCAGAAGAAATAATCTGGGTGGCATCAGCTCTCCTTCCTAGTGTCAATGGATCAGATACCTTTGCAGAAGAACAGTCTCTAAATGGAAATTGTTCATTTTCAGAAGGACCTGTATAAGCCATTGAATCTTTTAGACTTTAAGTTTTCTCCTCTAGTAAATGAGTGATATCAGATTGTCCCCTCTCATCTTCCCAGATATACAAGCTGACTCTCAATACACATGGGAGACATACTGGATAAATCTAGGGTTGTGTACAATATTATTTCTTTCCCTCTTGCTTGAGTAGGTATGTTGAATGTCATTGGAGTTCTTTAGAACAGATTTTAGGTTATCTCTAAAATATATATTTCACATCTCCTTGGTCTGACATGCAACCAATGAGTACTGCTGAGAACCACTGGCAGTGCTTGATGATGCAGGTCCTAAGCCTCTCCATGCATATTTTTTTCTAGATTGCTAGTATCCCTGCCTTTTGGCAGGGTTAGGGAGATGGTCTTAGAGACAATAAGAATTCCAAAGTATCTACCTCTAATTTTCTAACTTCTAAATGAAAGGTCACTTTAAATTTAGATTATGCTGCCTCTAACTTTTTTTCTAGTCGATGGGAATTAATAAACATGCTTAACTTGCTGAACTTGAGCAATAATTAATTGTGAAAAGACTTCAGTTAGATTATGGGATTTAAAGTTGAATGTAAAAGAAAAGAACAGTATGGTAGTGTGTCTGCCTGAAGGAATGAGTGTGTATCTCAGAAAAGACCTAATTGACATGATGTGAATCCTCTTCTGCAAGAGGGAGAGGATATAGTTTGTGATTTTTTGTGGGAAAAAAATGGAGCTAAAAGACATTTTTCTTTTTAAAAACTTTTTATTCTCTTTGGTTTGATTTTCTTTAATTCTCTGCTTTTAAATCCAAGATTTCATTTATGCTCTTTCCATTTTGTTCATGTTGTGTAATCCCCTGTTTAGCTTCAATTTCTCCAATCCTTGAGAGAAGGGGGGTGATTAGGTAATCTTAATGATTGTTTTCAGCATGAAGATACTGTTATTCTGTAATTTTTTTAAAGTACCAAAACGGCCATTTTGCTGATACCTATAACAAATGTTGATGAGTTACACATAGTTGCAACAGATATCAGAGTGCATCAATCTTTGAATGTCTCTGTGGTTGCTGCCCAAAGTCAAAGAACCTTGTTGTCTCCTTAAAATAAACCATACGAACAACCAGAGTTTGATGTTTACATTACCTACCATCAGTTTTCTTTCAAAGTTGACTCCAGCTTGAGATGATCAGAACAAAAATATCCTCCATAGTAGGTACTTGTGGGACCTGCCAGCTTCGACAAATTTGCTGGGATAAACCTTGTTTTCCTTTTTGTACAGTTGATCCCAGCCCATCTGGTGACTTACATATGTAGCATATGCACAAACACACACCTATCTATTATTTTTGTCTTCTTTTTTAAAATATGTATGTATTTTTTATATTTTATAGAGATAAAGTGTTGCTATGTTGCCCAGGCTGGTCTTGAACTCCTTGCTGCAAGCAATCCTCCCACCTCGACTTCCCAAAGTGCTGGGATTAAAGGTGTGAGCCACCACACCTGGTCTTTCTTTTTATGCCTACCATTTGTTGCCCTAACACTTTTTGTCCGTGACTGGTCTATCCTTCTTCCTTTCTGTCAACCTTCATGTAGGAATAATTGAGATCGCTGGGCGTGGTGCCTCACATCTGTAATCTTAGCACTTTGAGAGGCCGAGGTGGGCAGATCACTTGAGGTCAGGAGCTCAAGACCAGCCTGGCCAACGTGGAGAAACCCCGTCTCTACTAAAAATACAAAAATTAGCTGGGTGTGGTGGCGCATGCCTGTGATCCCAGATGCTCAGGAGGCTGAGGCAGGAGAATCGCCTGAACCCAGGAGGCAGAGGTTGCAGTGAGCCGAGATCACGCCACTGCACTCCAGCCCGGGTGACAGAGTGAGACTCCATCTAAAAAAAAAAAAAAAAGGAATAATTGAGAAGAAGTAACAAATCCTGAAACATTGTTAATTCAGAATTGTGATTATCGAAGGGACTAGGTTGAAGTTGAGCTGTATTTTCGGAAAAGAAGGGATTGGCTAAGAAAATTATAGCAAATTGAGACAGTTTAAATTTTTTTAAAAAAGAAAATGCGAGTCAGTTGTAGTTCTTTCTTTCTTACCCTTTTTTGCTATGTGAAATTTGTGCTTCCTAGGTCTCTATGGAAAGCTGCCAATCATTATGTTTCCCAAAAAATCTTCCATCCTTTTTTTACTTTCTTGACCTCACCAAAACCTGTCTCCTAAAGATATGGCCTCAGTTCTCCTGACTTTATGGGAAAGATAGATGTCATAATATACATTCTTCTCAGTACTACTTTCCAGCTTTGAATTGGCCAAGTTCCCATTTTTTGGTGTTCCTAGTGCATGCCCTCCAGTTATACCTTCCTCCAAGAATCACCACTGCTGACATAATCTAGAAGACAGAAAATGAAGCTTAGAAGACAAAGATAGGATACCACTATGGAAGACAAATAAGAGTTACCAGTAAACCTTCAGACATTTAGGGTGTGGAAAAATTGGCGAGGTTTGTGTAAACCAAAGAGTCTACTGATTTTTCCTGTTCAAGACCATGAATCTATTAATAGTAAGAATTGGCAGGCCAGCCTTTATGGAGGAACCCAAGAGGCACATTCCAAATTTTGGCCTTTCTCAAAATATTAGGTCCTCAAGTATTACAGAATATAGAAGGGGAGGTAGGGGGAAGAAACTCCAATCCATCAGTAAGACCTGCCACTTGTCCAATATTTCCAAAATAAAGTTAGTTCTGAGGCAATATACCCCTTCTACTTAATCAGGTAATATATTTTTTCCTAACTGTTTAATAATTCTGCCCATTTTATTTTAATCTTCCTTACTTTTAAACAAAAACACTCGACGTTTGCATAATGTATTTTAATTTTTCCCATTGGAGAAGGAGGCTGCTAAGAGTTCTTCTAGCTACATATGTGGTAGTAGTTCTACCATCCGTATTTTTCTAATACTAATAGTAGCTTGTGTTTCCTTTTTCTTTTTCTTTTTTACATTCTAGGTCAGGGATGTCCAACCTTGTGGCTTCCCTGGGCCACATTGGAAGAATAATTGTCCTGGGCCACAAATAAAATACACTAACTCATATTGTTTTAAATTTGTCTTAAAACAAATCTCATAATGTTTTAAGAAAGTTTACAGATTTGTTTGGGCCACATTCAAAGCCGTCTTGGGCCACATGTGGCTTGCGGGACGCAGGTTCGACAAGTTTGTTCTAGGTGTAGAGTTGGTTTAGCATTCGTGGTCTTGTGTAGGATTGATGCCTAACTTGGTGACTTTTCCTCTATTATGCTGATCCTTAGAAAAGGATACTGGTGCCTCCATGATTCATCACATAAACCAAATTTATGTTCAAATTAATGTTCAAAATCAGCATGCCTGGTCTTTACTCCATTTGACTGGTCAGTTCCTCTTTTTCCAAGTAGAAAATGGGCTTGGGAAAACAGATAAATATCGGAAAGTTGCTTGATAGGTACAAAAGCAGAAACTGGGAATAGTGTTTCTTAAGGAATAGTATCATTCAGTTCTAGGAAGATGTCTTTGAAGCAGGCTGGAAGGCATGTGAAACTTGAAGATGCAGCAATGAATTAGCAAAGCCAAAGGCATCATCTGGAGTTAGGTAGATCCCATTCCCTCTTTACAAGCTATATGGCCTTGAGGCCACATTCTTAACTCCTCTTTGCCTCGATTTCTTCACCTGTAAAATGGAGATAGCAATCAGGAAAGTGGTTATATATATATTTTTATAAAGCTTAGCATAGTGCCTGATTTGTAGATAATGCTCATATGAGCTGCTATTGTGAATGTTTGCAACAGGCTTATTATTACCTTTAAAGATCTTTCTTTCTTTACATATTAGTTTCAAAAATATAAGTTTATCTCACATTGTTTACATTTAGGTAGATGCTTTCCTGATAGAATTTAAGACAGCACACCTGTAAGTCATTTGGTTACATTTATTTACTTATTTGGAGACAGAATCTCACTCTGTTGCCTAGGCTGGAGTACAGTGGTGTAATCTCGGCTCATTGCAACCTCTGCCTCTTGGGCTCAAGCGATTCTCCTGAATCTGCCTCCCGAGTAGCTGGGACTACAGGCACACGCCACTATGCCTGGCTAATTTTTTGTATTTTTAGTAGAGATGGGGTTTTGCCATGTTGCCCAGGCTGGTCTCGAACTCTTGAGCTCAGGCAATCCGTCTGCCATGGCCTCTCAAAGTGCTAGGATTACAGCTGTGAGCCACCACACCCGGCCACGTTTAGATAGGTGCTTTCCTGATGGAATTGAAGACAGCACACCTGTAAGTCATCACATAAGCTAGCATAGCTGTATTGAGATGTGGTTCCATTTGTTTTTGTGTGAATCTTTTTCTCTGGATGAAATACTTTCTATTACTTGACTTTGGAACATGCAAATGTGCACTGTCTTTGGATCCTACTGGCCTTTCTCAGTTGTTAAATATCTTGTGATGTTGGCACTTTAAAAAGTGTCACACGCTGCTGTTTGGAATGTATTAATAAAATGATACGGCCACTTTGGAAAACAATTTGACAGTTTCTTGCAAAGTTAAACATACAACTATCATATGATGCGGGAGTTCTCCTGGGAATTTACCCAAGAGAAAAAATGAAAACGTATGTCCACACAAAGACATATGTGCGAATATTCAAAGCAGCATTGTGGATAAACAAATTGTGGTACATCCATACAATGGAATACTACTCGGCAAATAAATAGGAATGAACTATTAATACATGCAGCAACATAAATGACTGTCAAAATAATTATGCTAAGTTAAAAAGCTAACAAAAGAATACATACTAGATGATCCTGTTAATATAAAATTCTGGAAAATGTAAACTAATCTATTGTGACAAAATACCACAACTTCAAGAAAGGAATTTTTGTAGTAACATTGTCTTCTTTTTTCAGAGGACAAAATTGAGGGCTTAGATCTTGGAGAAGTCATGTGTAATGATGGCATCTAGTTGAGCAAGTTTCTGAATCTCCTTAAGCCTTTGCTTGAAAACCTGTAAGTGGGCAGTTAGGATATTTACTCTACCTCATTGTTTTTGTGAGATTCAGATGAAGTAAGGCACACGTACAAATAGGGTATTATTACTGCTACATTTGGGAAGTAGGAAGCATAGTCTTACCCAGAGAAGATACTTCTAAAGAGTTAATTTTTCTTTTTTTGAAGATCATAGCTTTGTAATATAACAGAGATTCAATATTGTTTAAATTAAAAGTTTTCCTGCCATTCCTTTTCCGAGATCTTTGATGTAATTAGAGTCTGTTACAAGTTATAAGGAGATAAATTAGAATTCTGAAGTACCACTTCCCTTCTGACAAGGAAAGATGATTGTTTACCCTCACTCTTCCTTATCAAAGTTTGTAACTTTGCAAAATTGAAGATTCCTAGAATAAAACCTAAGTAGTTTGAAGACTTAAACTTTTGATATCTTTCTTCTTTATTTTTTCTGTATCTCATGAATTGATATATAAACATTTTGATATCTTAAGCCAAAAAAAGACACTCACCTCTTTAGAAGCTCTGAGGTCATTGATTGTTAAACAATGTATACATAGCTGATACACCAAGAAACTTGGAACTTTAGGTTATTCTGTTTTCTACATTTTCCTCTTATTAATGCCTTGAAAACATTTTAGAAGGTTTTGCTTATATTTCTATTTGAACTGAGGGCTGCCAGTGCATTTGTGGAATCAAAAGAGGCAATGTGAAAGGGCATTGACATGAACATTTGTGTTGGGCAGAGACCCCTGTGTGGCTGCAGAGCCTCCTCTTCCCCCTCCCTTTTATCCTCTGCTGGGAGTGAACTCCTTGGGGAGAGGCTCAGCTGAGAGGAAGTGGCAGAGAGGGAGCTGAGCACCTGATGCCAGAATGGGAATAAAGCCAGCTTTGCTAGAATTCCAAATGGCATTTTCCAAAATTTGAAGAACACATTGTTGTTTCTGTTCACTGTGAGTGGATATAAGTAAATAATTTCTTGGTAGCATAAAAAAGTATAGTAAAGGAATTATCTTGAGATTCTCAGATTAAAGACATTTTGTCTGAGAATTTTTAACTTTTTGAAGACAAGATTCAGATTTTCTCTTTCTGTCTGAACAGGTTTCTATCTGAACAGGTTTAGAAATAAAACTAATATATGGTTGTGCTATGAATACATTGTAAAGGATGGCTAATTTAGAAATGAAAAAATTAGAAGAATAAGTAATGTTCCATGACTTCCAAGTACTCAAATTTCAAACCATTCTAGTTGGATGCTGCACATGAACATGGTAAGGGACCTAAGAGATGGTTTTGTTTTGACTTTCTCATTTTACAGACTGGAAAGCTGAGATTCAAAAGGCTGTAAGAATTGGCCAGGGTGATATGGAGCTAGGAGCAGAGCCTCTTGCCTCCTGGTTGAGGGTGGTACCTTTTGCTTTAGAAACTTAATTGTTAAGAGTAGTTACATTATTATTATTATTATTTACTACCTTAACACAAACATGCAAATTCGGTGTCTTTGGGAAAATAGTTTCTCTATTATTATTATTTGTCACCTTGTTTATGCTCTGAATGCTTAGTAAATTCTCTTTTCCTGAAAAATAGAATGGTAAACCTAGTTTACATGGCCTGATATTGAATATTGTCAATAAGTGAAGTCTGAAATGTTCTTGACTGACTTTATTGCATTTTGGAAGAAGTTCTTTGTATTTGTGAATGTGTCTAAAGTGACAGTATTGGGTAGTTCTAACCAAATAAGGAAGATGCAGAAAACTGAAAATTTACTTACTCTTCCCGGTGGACTTCCCTGTTTTCTCCACTTGTATAGGCAGTGGAAACTGGACTTCACATTTACAGCATTCACCCCACTTGTAATTAACTATTTAATGTTGGTGTTTTTCTTTAATGTGTATGTTTCAAGAGGGCAGAGACTAGCTTTTATTCACAGTTGGTCCCTGGCTTGAAGTATAATGCCTGGCCTGTTGAATACGCACTCAATATGGGTGATCAGAAGAGAGAGAAGGAGGACTGGGAAAACATCTCAGTGTGACTGTGAAAAGCACAGTCTAACAGTCTTAGAGAATATCCAGTCCACCTTAATTTCTTCCTAAAAGATGTGCTTTAATTCTTCCTTTTGAAAGATGGTTATAACACATATAGATCTAGCAATGAGCAGTTTACGAAGTGGTCTCACAGACCTCTGTGCTTTTGTAATGCTTACTATGGTTTTTCCAGAACATGGAAAAAAATCCACTTTTCTTGAGCACCAACTTTACCCCAGGACTATTTTCTTATCCAGACAAAACATGGCCATATGATAGAGTAGTGTGTGAAACTGAAATGCAGTTTTTTTCCCCCTTTCAACTTTTAGGTTCAGGGGGTACATATGCAGGTTTGTTACATGGGTAAATTGCATGTCAGCATGTTGCTAATGTCATACAGCCAGCAAATAGCTGTATAAGGTTTAGACACACAGATTATTCTGCCAACCAGTTCCTAATCCCGTGTGATTTTTACTCTTTTGGATTTTCCCAAAAGGTCACTTGGGTTTCATTTAACTCCTTTATAACTATTAAATAAATGATACTTTATTGATTGTGGAGAGTCAGTATACTTCCACACATGTTCAGTGTTACTTTCAGAACATAGTCTCCTTCAATAGCAGCAGGAATTTTAAATGCCTTCTTTTCTTCATTACCCTCCACACACATACACTCTTGTTATATGAATAAAGTTTTGTGTTTTTTTTGTTGTTGTTGTCTTGTTTTTTCAGCTGAATATAGTAGAAACAGTGCAGTTTGAGGTAGGGAGGCAGACAGATCTGAGTTTAAACCCCAAATCCATCACTTATTTGCCATGTGACCTTGTGGCAAGTTACCTGTGTCTTTTATTTTTTATTTTATTTTTAAAATTTTTTTGTAGAGACAGGGTCTTGTTATATTGCCTAGGCTGGTGTTGAACTCCTAGGCTCATAGGATCCTCCTGCCTTGGCCTCTCAAAGTGCTGTGATTACAAATGTGAGCTACTGCACCGAGCCTGTGTCTTTTATTTTAAATGGACACTTTAACCCCTCTTTACAAATGGTAAGGTTGTGTAGTGCTCCTAATACCATATCTGGCAAGAAATATACACCAAGGCTGGGTGCGGTGGCTCACGCCTGTACTTCCCAGCACTTTGGGAGGCTGAGGCGGGTGGATCACCTGAGGTCAGGAGTTCAAGACCAGCCTGGCCACCATGGTGAAACCCCATCTCTAGTAAAAATACAAAAATTAGTCAGGCATGGTGGTGCATTCCTGTAATCCCAGCTACTTGGGAGGCTGAGGCAGGAGAATCGCTTGAACCCAGGAGGAGGAGGTTGCAGTGAGCCGAGATCACACCACTGCAGTCCAGCCTGGGCAACAGAGTGAGACTCTCTCTGGGGAAAAAAAAGGAGTACATACCAAACAAATGTTAGTCTTTGTTTCTTCCCTATTCTACCCCCCTTCCTTTGTTTCCTTTTGAGTTCACACTAATTCTCAACTCTAGTTATACAATCAAAACAGGAGCCAAAATAGAAAACACCCATGTCTGAGAGACTGTAATTTCATTGGCGTAGGGTGAAATCTGGTTGGGGGTGGAGGGTGGGCAAGGGATACGGAAAGGACCAAAATTAGATGTGTGTCTATCTTTATTTGAGGATGAACGAATCAAGTAGTATCGGGACTATGCTGTGCATATCGTAGTGTTCTTTCTTTTCCCTCAAGACTTGGTCTGCTTTTATTGTTCCCTGAAGTTTTCCCAAGTCCAGATCAGAAGAGGAAGGTGTTTTTGAAGGATCAGGGCAGGGCTGATATGAATGAGCAGCTTCTCCATGCTACTGCAGCCCTTCCGAAATGTCCAGGTCAATTCCTTGTCATAACTTTCTTCTGTGAAGGAACTCTCCTTCCCACATGAGAGGAGCCTTGTTGATAGAGAGAAGACAACACTGACCAACGGGCCCAGCCTTTGGTTCAGCTTAGGCTCCTGAACACACCAGCACCCATTTTGTTTACCTTCTCTTCTTTCTGTATTATTCCTTATGTTATTTGGGAGTTCAGAAATGTAGAACTAGCAAGTATTGGCTGTCCTGAACAGTGTAGGAATTGAGTCTTTATATACAGTTGTAGAAATCTCATGAGATTTTTGGCATAGTGGTGGTTCAAAGAAGATGGTTTGTTGAAAACAGATGCCAGATATTTGAGTGTATACCACTGTAGTAAGCAATTTCAGACCTGAATTGGACAGATTGATCAGTATAAAATACAAAATACTCTGTTATGTGATTACAATTCTTAGAACTTTCTTCTTTCTTTCTCTCTCTTCCTCCTTCCCACCCTCTCTTTCTTCCTCTCTCCCTCCCTCCCTTCCTTCCTTTCATTCTCCATCTTTCTCTTTTTTTCCTTCCTTCTTTTCTCTTTCTTTCATCAGTTATTGTTTCATTTAGCAATGTGCTACTGAAATAAAAGCAAGGTGGTTATTAATTATTCTTAGTGGAATGCTGTCAGGTCACAAGTATGAGGGTGCATAAACATCACCTGATGTAAGTGGGTGTGGATGCCCACTCTCTCCAGTAAGGTATAGCAGTATTATGCAGAGGAATTCTTTACCGAGGTTTGTTTCCAGAGATGTCTTGCCTGATATATACATTTTTAATTATCTTTTTCTGTTTTGATGAGGAATTTAGGAAATGAACTTGGAAATTCTAGAGTGATTACTTTGATAACATGTTATATATTGAGAAGTTGTATTAGTATCTTATATGTTAAATGTAATTTAGAAAGTAAATTAATACTAAGTATGTGGGGACACTGAAATGTGGTATAGCAAATCCTTGAGCTTGCATTTTGTACAAGACAGGAAGAAGAATAATAGAGGAAATGGACAATGTGGACTAGGGGTTTCCTAGGGAGTAGAAGAGACTAGATGTCAAGGCATGCAGGTATCAAGATTTTTATTCTCTCTGAATAGGTGCTTACTTGTAATGATAATACTGGAAGAGTAGGTTGAATTGGGATTACTGGAATGTATGGGTCTGTTATATGGAATAGTGAGAATGAGGATCTGAAAGATGGTTGGGGCCAAATAATGAAGGGCTTTGGATGCTTCATGAGAAGCTTAGACAGACTAGTATTGTCTTAGTGGAAATTAGGTTTATCCAAAGGAGAATATTCAGTCTGATATGGAATATGGAAAATGATTTCTTACGAAGAATATTGAATTGACTAAAAAGAGTGAATAAAAAAGATAAAACCAAAAGGTGCTAAAGTAATGGCCCCCCAGTAAAAGTGGGATTAGGCTGGGGTCTGTGGGTAAGAACAACAGGAGAGTGTAAAAAAGAACTTTGTAACAATAAGAATGGTCCTACCATGGAATATACAGATCTTTGGTTTTCTAGTTGTGTTCTATGGAATGCCAACATCCAAGAAGGTACTTTAAGTGCCACTGTGGGAGAAGGATACCCAACATTTGGGGCCATGGGTCCTTGCCATGCTTGAACTTGAACAGCCTTGCTTTAATACATTGTCTTTACTGGGGGAGAGAAGGCTCTGCTACTGTATTCACCCATTCTCACACTGCTATAAAGAACTGCTTGAGGTCAGGTGCAGTGGCTCACGCCTGTAATCCCAGCACTTTGGGAGGCCAAGGCGGGTGGATCACCTGAGGTCAGGAGCTCGAGACCAGCTTGGCCAACATGACGAAACCCTGTCTTTACTAAAAATACAAAAATTAGCTGGGCATGGTGGCAGGCATCTGTAATCCCAGCTACTTGGGAGGCCAAGACAGGAGAATCGCTTGAACCTGGGAGGTGGAGGTTGCAGTGAGCCGAGACTGCACCATTGCACTCTAGCCTGTGCAATAAGAGCAAAACTCCATCTCAAAAAAAAAAACAACAAAACCTGCTCAAGACTCAGTAATTTATAAAGGAAAGAGGTTTAGGCCAGGCACGGTTAGCTCACGCCTGTGATCTCAGTACTTTGGGAGGCTGAGGCAGGTGGATCACCTGAGGTGAGGAGTTTGAGACCAGCCTGACCAATATGATGAAACCCCATCTCTACTAAAAATACAAAAATTAGCTGGGCATAGTGGCATGCACCTGTAATCCCAGCTGTGTGGGAGGCTGAGACAAGAGAATCGCTTGAACCTGGGAGGCAGAGGTTGCAGTGAGCTGAGATCGCACCATTGCACTCCAGCCTGGGCAACAAGAGCAAAACTCCATCTCAAAAAAAAAAAAAAAAAAAAAGGGCAAGAGGTTTAATTGACTCACAGCTCTGCATGGCTGAGGAGGCCTCAGGAAACTTACAATCATGGCAGAAGGGGAAGCAAACACATCCTTCTTCACATGACAGCAGGAGAGAGAAGTGCCAAGCAAAGAGGGGAAAGCTACTTATAAAACCATCAGATCTCGTGAGAACTCACTTCACTATCACGAGAACAGCAGCATGGGGGTAACCAATCCCATGATTCAATTACCTCCCACCGGGTTTCTCCTATGGCACATGGGGATTATGGGAACTACAATTCAAGATGAGATTTGGGTGGGGACATAGTCAAACCATATCAGCTATTTAGAAAGAAGTTTGAAAAAAACACACTAGAATAGGCTGAGAGACTTGAAGCAAGCCTCTTTATTCTTTTATCTCATACTTTTTATCTCATAATATCTTTATTAAGGTATTCTAGCAGAACCAGGTAAAAACACTTTTCTATTAGCTCCAGAAATAAATCCTGTTTTGCTTAAGATACCTGTAGGTTTCTCTGTAAGATATTGAAAGCAGTGAAACAGAATGTTGCAAAAGTTCAGTTGGTGAGAATACAGGATATATTTTCTTATGTTTCTAATAACAACTAAATTTTCTGACCAATCCACAAAAGTACCTATAGGCATGTATCATTTTATTGTGCTTCACTGTATCATGCTTCATAGAATTATGTTTTTTATAAATTCCAAGTTTGTGGCAACAGTTGTGCTGTTTTTCTAACAGCATATGCTCACTTTTTTTCTGTATATCATGTTTTGTTAATTCTCACAATATTTTAACCTTTTTTGTTATTACTATATCTGTTATGGTGATTTGTGATCAGTGATCTTTAATGTTACTATTTTATTTTATTTTATTTTTTTTGAGACAGAGTCTCACTCTGCCTGCCCAGGCTGGAGTGCAGTGGTGCAGTCTCAGCTTACTGCAACCTCTGCCTCCCGGGTTTAAGCAATTCTCATGTCTCAGTCTCCCGAGTAGCTGGGACTACAGGTGTGCGCCACCACACCTGGCTAATTTTTATATTTTTTAGTAGAGACAGTGTTTCACTATGTTGGCCAGGCTGGTCTCAAACTCCTGACCTCAGGTGATTCACCTGCTTCGGCTTCCCAAAGTGCTGGGATTACAGGCCTGAGCCACTGTGCCCACCTTGATGTAACTATTGTAATAGTTTTGGGATGCCATGAACTGCACTTGTAGGAGATACAAACTTAATTGATAAATGTTGTGTTCTGTCTGCTCCACCAGCTGGCCATTCTACTGTTTCTCTCCCTCTCCTTGGGCCTTCCCATTTTCTGAGACACAACATTGAAATTAGGTCAATTAATAATCCTAAAATGGCCTCAAAATGTTCAAGTGAAAGAAAGAGTTGCACACCTCTCACTTTTAATCAAAAACTAGAAATGATTAAGCTTAATGAAGAAGGCATGTTGAAAGCTGAGACAGGCTAAAAGCTAGGCCTCTTGTGCTAGTTAGCCAAGTTGTGAATGCAAATGGAAAGGTTCTTGAAGGAAATTAAAAGTGTTATTCCAATGAACACACTAATGGTAAGAAAGCGAAATAGTCTTATTGTTGCTGTGGAGAAAGTTTTAGTGGCCTGAGTAAAAGAACAAACCAGCCACAACATTCCCTTATGCCAAAGCCTAGTCCAGAGCAAGGCCCTAACTCTTTTGCATTCTGTTAAGGCTAAGAGAGGTTAAGAAGCTGCAGAAGAAAAGCTAGAAGCTGGCAAACATTGGTTCCTGAGGTTTAAGGGAAAAAGCCGTCTCCATAACATAAAAGTGCAAGGTGAAGCAACAAGTACTGATGGAGAACTACAGCAAGTTACTTACCCAGATTTAGTTAAGATAGTTGGTGAAGGTGACTACCCTAAACAGCAGATTTTCAGTGTAGGTGAAACAGCCATCTATTGGAAGAAGATGCCATCTAGGACTTTCATAACGAGAGAGGAGAAGTCAGTGCCTGGCTTCAAAGGATAGGCTGACTCTCTTGTTAGGGGCTAATACAGCTGGTGACTTTGAGTTTAAGCCAATGCTTATTGACCATTGTAAAAATCCTAAGGGCCTTAAGAATTATACTAAATCTACTTTGCCTGTTCTCCACAAATAGAACAACAAAGCCTGTATGACAGCACATCTGTTTAACAGCATGGTTTACTGAATATTTTAAAACCACTGTTGAGACCTGCTGCTCAGAAGAAAAATACTCCTTTCAAAATATTACTGTTCATTGACAGTGCACTTGATGGAGATGAACCGGACAGTAATGTTGTTTTCATGACTGCTAATACGTCATCCATTCTACAGCCCATGGATCAAGGTATAATTTATACTTCCAAGCCATCTTGTTGAAGAAATACATTTTGTAGGCCAGGTGTGGTGGCTCATGCCTGTAATCCCAGCACTTTGGGAGGTCGAGGAGGGTGGATCACCTGAGGTCGAGAGTTTGAGACCAGCCTGGTCAACATGGTGAAACCTCATCTCTACTAAAAATACAAAAATTAGCCGTGCATGGTGGTGCACGCCTGTAATCCCAGCTACTTGGGAGGCTGAGGCAGGAGAATCACTTGAACCCGGGAGACGGAAGTGGCAGTGAGCCGAGATCACGCCACTGCACTCTAGCCTGGGCGACAGAGTGAAACTCTGTCTCAAAAAAAAAAAAAAGAAAAAGAAATACATTTTGTAAGGCAATACTTGCCATAGATTGTGCTTCCTCTGATGAACCTAGGCAAAGTTGAAAACCTTCTAGAAAGGATTCTTTATTTTAGATGCCATTTAGAACTTTTGTGATTCATTGGACGAGGTCAAAATATCAACACTGACAGGAATTTGAAGAGGTCAGTTCCATTCCTCATGGACAACTTTGAGGGGTTCAAAACGTCAGTAGAGAAAGTCACTGCAGATACAGTGTAAATAGCAAGAGAACTAGAAGTGGAGTCTAAAGATGTGACCAAATTGTTATAATCTCATGATGAAACCTGATGGATGAAAAATTGCTTCTTATGTACAAGCAAAGAAAGTGGTTTCTTAAGGTAGAGTCTACTTGATGAAGATGCTGTGAACATTGTTGAAATGACAGCAAAGTATTTAGAATATTACATACATTTAGTTGATAAAGCTGTTGCAGGGTTTGAAAGGATCGAATCCAGTTTTGAAAGATATTCTACTATGGGTAAAATGCTCTTAAACATTGCATGCTACAGAGAAATATTTTGTGAAAAGAAGAGTCAATCGATGTGGCAAACTTCACTGATCTCTTTTTTTTAAGATATTGCCTCAGCCACCCCAACCTTCAGCAACCACCACTCTGATCAGTTAGCAACAATCCACATGGAGGGAAGACCTTCCACCAGCCAAAAAAAAAAAAAAAAAAGAAGAAAAAAGTGACAACTTGCTGAATGCACAGATGATCGTTGAGATTTTTAGCAATAAAGTATTGTTTTTTATTTTATTTTTAATTTTTTCGAGATAGGGTCCTGCTGTGTCACCCAGGCTGGAGTGCAGTGGCATGATCATGGCTCACTGTAGCACTCAGCTCCTGGCCTCAAACAGTCCTCCCACCTCAGCCTCTTAAGTAGCTGGGGCTACAGGTATGAGCCACTGTGCTAGGCAACAATAAAGTATTTTTTAAATTAAGTTATATATATTGTTTTTTAAGACATAATGCTACTGTGCACTTAATAGACTACAGTATAATATAAACATAACTTGTATGCGCTAGGAAATAAAAAAATTGTGTGACTTGCTTTACTGTGATATTTGCTGTATTACAGTGGTTAGGAACCATAAGGCTGTAATATCTCTGAAGTATCCCTGTATTTTAATTCATAATCTAACAGTTCTAAGTGTAATAATTAGTAGAAAACAATAGTGTTGTGTTAGTAATAATGAAATAAAATTTAAAAAAGAAAATTGGGGTGAGAAGTTTATTTTCTTAAATTTTGGATTGTGCTGCTGAAAAACAGGATAATGGAGGCTGTGAAAATTCTGAAGAGAATTTCTGGGTACTTTCAAGGTCTTTATAGATTTGAAATACTGATTCTTCAAACTTAGTGGTTAAGAGTAAGGGTTTTTCAAATGTTTACCGACTGGTGAATGGATAAATTGTAGTTTGTCCATACTATGAAATACTACTCAGCAATAAAAATAAACAAAATACTTATACATGTAACAACATGAATTAATCTCAAAAACATGCTAAGTGAAGGAAGTCAAACATATTGGTTTCATTAATATGAAATCATAGAAAAGGCAAACAAAACTATGGCGAGAAGGGAGATTAATGCTTGCCAGGAACCATGAGTTAGGGGAGGGGATCAACTGCAAAAGCACACAAAGAAATTTTCAAAGGTGTTGAACTGTCATATCTTGATTAGAATGGTGGTGGTTATATGTTTATATATAATTATCAAAATTAATCAGATCGTATACTTAAAGTGGATAAATTTTATTGACTGTAAATAATACCTTGAGTTAAAGTAGGTGCTTTAGAGCCAGACTAAACCTGGATTCAGTCCCAGCTCTGCTGCTTAGTAGCTGTATAACTTTGGGCCAGTCATCTTCTCTGGACCTTGGTTTGCCCATCTGGAAATGTGTATAATGATAGCTGCCTTGGGGATTAGAAGACGTACAAGTACTTAGCATATGCCTGGAACATGATAAATTATCAGTAGGTTATTATTTTACTTTATGATCGTCATTCTCCTTTATAAAATATCCCAGTAATGCTAGTATTTTGCTTATCAGTCATTAGTATTACTTTTTAGGTTTGCAAATACAATGGAAAGAAGATTTTTCTGAGAAGAATGTGTAAGAGTAAAAGAGAAGGGAAGGAAGGAGTTTTAAGACATCCAAATGCTTAATGTATACAAAACAAAAACAAAAATAAAAACAAATACTTAATGTGAATGTAGCAGATGAATATATATCCTTCCCCTTCAAGCATCTTTTTTACCTGCTACTTTCATATTGTTCATGGAGAAATTGATCTTTTCAATTATAACTTGCCTAGTTTGAGAAATGCTATCAAACATCAAACATTGGGTTAAAAGTATCTTATCTGCCATTATAAGTCAAAGATATAGGAGGAGCATTTAAAGACAAACCCCAGCACTCCTGCTGTTTAAGAATTTATAGTCTAATGAGGGAAAGGGGGACATTTTGATTCAAACTTTAAGGTCTTAACCCATCTTAAGTGAAATTTTTTCTATGACTAATACTCCAAGGGAAGCTGAAAGGGAACATTAGATGTTTGAATAATTTTATGATGCCTACTGAAATGGTGATTCAAAAAATAAGTTGCAAGGTGTTTCTTAAAAACTGATTTTATCACAAGGAAAGTAATTTTTTTTTTTTGCTCTTGTTGCCCAGGCTGGGGTGCAATGGCTCAATCTTGGCTCACTGCAACCTCCGCCTCCCGGGTTCAAGCGATTCTCCTGCCTCAGCCTCCCGAGTAGCTGGGATTACAGGCATGTGCCACCATGCCCGGCTAATTTTGTATTTTTAGTAGAGACAAGGTTTCACCGTGTTGCCCAGTCTGGTCTTGAACTCCTGACCTCAGGTGATCCACCCGCCTTGGCCTCCCAGAGTGCTGGGATTACAGGTGTGAGCCACTGTGCCTTGCGGAGCACAGGGGATTTTTAAGGCAGTGAAACTATTCTATATGATACTGTAACGGTGGATACATGTTACACATTCATCAAAACCCATGGAATGTACACCAAGAGTGAACCCTAATGTAAACTGTAGACTTTGGATGATTATGATGTGTCAGAATAGGTTCATCAGTTTTTACAAATATACTATGGTGGGGGATGTTGATAATTGGGGAAGCTATGCAAGTGTGGGGCTAGGGGGCGTACACGAAATCTCTGGGTCTTTCTTTTTTGCTGTGAACCTAAAAAGGTTCTAAAAATATAAAGTCTCTAAAAAACAAACAGCAGAGCATAACATGCCCTTCCCTTGGGGAGTCACATGTATAAGAATGCAACCATTAAAACTTAGTGCAGGCCAAGTCATAAGGAATAACAGATGATCTATTTTAGTGTTGCCTCATGTGCCCAGCAAAGTACCATGCCATTAACATGAGAGTGCTGTTGACAGTGTACTTGTCACTGACCATACAAATCCACTTTTGGAATAATTCTTGTATTTCCCCCTGTAAAATACATGTACCATTTAATTTTTATTCTGATGGATTGGAAATAAGCATTTTTTTCAATTTTTAATTATTCAGGTTTATGATTTAAAAGCTACAAAAATATTAGCACTGTGGATTTTCTGCACTATTTTTATAACCAATGAACTAATCTAAAATATTTGTAATGTTTCATTTTTAACTATTCAAATACAAACAGTACACAAATCATAGATACATAATATATGTATCTATGATTTAATAAATATATTGCTCAATGTAGTATCACAAATTGAGCTCACCCATGTAACTAGTACCTGGATCAAGACCAAAACATTACTAATACCCCAAACTAAACCCTTAGGCTCCTCTCTGGTTACTATCGCTAGCCAAGGGTAACACTACTCTGATTTCTAAAAATTAGAGGTAATTCGTATGGGCTCTAAATTGCTTAATATATATGAAACAGTAAAAAGATTCTTTCTCTTAAAAAAAAAAAGAATTCTATCTCTAAGGCTGGTAATAGTTGATAATTGAGAATTAAAGTTCTTAGAGGGAGTAGATAGACCTTTGAAAGAATATTGTATCTTGTTATATCTGGTATAAATCCATCTTAGCATAGATAGGATATTAGAAAGATGAAATAAGTCACATTACTCCCTTTTTAAAAATGTGGAGTCAGCCGGGCGCAGTGGCTCATGCCTGTAATCCCAGCACTTTGGGAGGCCACGGCAGGTGGATCACAAGGTCAGGAGTTCGAGACCAGCCTGGCCAATATGATGAAACCCCATCTCTATTGAAAATACAAAAATTAGCCGGCGTGGTGGTGCACGCCTATAGTCCTAGTTACTCAGGAGGCTGAGACAGAAGAATCGCTTGTACCGGGAGGTGGAGGTTGTAGTGAACCAAGATCATGCCACTGCACTCCAGCCTGGGCGATACATGTGAAGTATTTTGAACTGTTCCCGGCACATAGGAAGCACTCATTAGCTGCTATGATAATCACTATAACAGGACCAAGGTAGTACATAATAAATTCCACAATGAATGATAAAAACAAATCTAAGCCACTGGGCGCGGTGGCTCATGCCTGTAATTCCAATACTTTGGGAGGCCAACGTGGGTGGATCACCTGAGGTCAGGAGTTCGAGACCAGCCTGGCCAACATGGTGAAATCGTGTCTCTACTAAAAATACAAAAAATTAGCTGGGCAAGGTGGCAGGCACCTGTAATCCCAGCTAGTCAAGGGGCTGAGGCAGGAGAATCGGTTGAATCCAGGAGGCAGAGGTTGCAGTGAGCCGAGATCATGTCATTGCACTCCAGCCTGGGCAACAAGGGCGAAACTCTGTCTCAAAAAAAAGCCAAACCAAAACAAAATGAAACAAAAAAAAATCTAAGCATCTCAGATAGATCACTACTTGATATTGGCTACCTATCCCATATGCCATCCTGTCTCTCTGATATCAGAGTTCCCAACCATCATGAACCAATTTACAGTCCCAGCACTTTGGGAGGCCAAGGTGGGCAGATCCCTTGAAGTCCAGGAGACCAGCTTGGGTGACATGGTGAAACCCTGTCTCTACAAAAGATACAGAAATTATCTGGGTGTGGTGATCCCAGCTGCTCAGGAGGCTGAGGTGGGAGAATCGCTTGAGCCCATGAGGCAGAGGTTGCGGTGAGCAGAGATCTTGCCACTGCACTCCAGCTTTTGTGCCAGAGTGAGACCCCGTCTCAAAAAAACAAACCAACAAAACTCCCAGGTAGGTCTTTTGTAACTCTTCCTCTGTCCCCAATTCAACATGCTGCCCTCCACCCCTAAGCCTGTCTAGATCTACTAACTTCATCTATATTACTTGGATGTTTAGTGGTTGAAGACTTGTGTGAACAACATTCTCCTTTATCCTTTATGGGTGTTAATGTCCAATTAGTCATTTGTACCTTAGTATTGCAATCAGATTTGTTTTCATTGGGTATCTGGCCAGAAATCAGATATAAGGGGAAAAAAATGAATTTGTTGTTTGGGAGAGAAATAAGTAATTTTAAAATATGGAGTATTTCCTTTCTCAATAAAGATTTTTCATTGGGTTGTCAGGCAGCATAACATCATTGGGGATGGGAAGAAGGGACAAAGAGACAAGTGATAGGATGTCAAAATTTATTTCATCTTTTTTGAAGTGTTATATTAATCCATCCATATAATTATGGATGAAGCAAATTTGGGGGAGGGATCAAGGTAGGAAGCTACCTACCATTTATTATACTTTTTGTAACAAGAGGAATTCAAGGTGCCAAATAATAAACAGTATAAAAGTCCCTTAAATTGTTTTTGGAATGCATCCCCTTTCGTAAGTTATGTAAACAGTAATAGCTATGTAAATTCAGAAGAGATTTTTTTCAGCTGGGCGCGGTGGCTCACCCCTGTAATCCCAGCACTTTGGGAGGCCGAGGTGGGGATCACTTGAGGTCAGGAATTCGAGACCAGCCTGGCCAACATGGCAAAACTCCATCTCTACTAAAAATACAAAAATTAGCCAGGCGTGGTGACCAGCACCTGTAATTCTAGTTACTTGGGAGGCTGACGCAGGAGAATCGCTTGAACCTGGGAGGTGGAGGTTGCAATGAGCCGAGATCGTGCCACTGCACTCCAGCCTGGGTGACAGAGTGAACGAGACTCCATCTCAGAAAAAAAAAAAAAAGATTTTTTTCATTGAGGTTTGTAGTACAGGAGGAATCAGGGAAAAAAATAGAGCTTGAGCTGGATAATCCTTTCTAATATTTGAGTAGTGGGAAAGTGAAGAAGTTAAAGGTGTGGAGTGAGGGCAAGTCTGATGCCTGAGGAAAAGTGGAAAGTAGTAGAAAATGAGATTGGCCTAGTGGTATTTCAACTATCCGGCTGAAAAGTCTGAATTATTTTCCTATGGAATAAATAGTTTTTTTGTTTGTTTGTTTTTTGTTTTCTGTTTTTTTTTGAGACGGAGTCTCGCTCTGTCACCCAGGCTGGAGTGCAGTGGCATGATCTCGGCTCACTGCAACCTCCACCTCCTGGGTTCAAGCAATTCTCCTGCCTCAGTTTCCTGAGTAGCTGGGACTACAGGTGCCCTCCATCACGCCTGGCTAATTTTTGTATTTTTAGTAGAGATGGGGTTTCACCATGTTGGCCAGGATGGTCTCAAACTCCTGACCTCAGATGATCTGCCCACCTTGGCCTCCCAAAGTGCTGGGATTACAAACGTGAGCCACTGCACCCAGTCAGAAATAGTTTTCTTTAATGCTTAATGTAATACACTGTAAATGTAACTCCAAATTATCTTCCTTTTTCAGTATAAGCTAGTTGTGTGACATTTCACAGTTTTATTTATTTTTTTACTTATTTATTTTGAGACAGAGTCTTGCTCTGTCGCCCAGGCTGGAGTGCAGTGGCGTGATCTCAGCTCACTGCAACCTCTACCTCCAAGGTTGAAGCAATTCTTCTGTCTCAGCCTTTCAAAGTGCTGGGATTACAGGTGTGAGCCACCGCGCCCGGCCAATTTTTTGTATTTTTAATAGAGATGAGGTTTCACCATGTTGGCCAGGCTGGTCTCAAACTCCTGACCTCAAATGATCCTCCTGCCCTGGCCTCCCAAAGTGCTGGGATTACAGGTGTGAGCCACCACACCCAGCCTGTTACACTTTTAAGAAATGGATTAAGCTCTAAATCATTTTTTAAAATAGAACCTGAGGTTTCAAATTTGAGAAACTTTCCACTCTGAAAATCATTCCGCTTGACAGGATCTTTTAGTGATACATGATACCACAGTCTAGCTCTATTAAACAATGTAACAATACATTCTATAGGGCTGGAGTTTTAAAGAGGAAGAAAACCTTTAAAGCACTGTATTATTAAGCATGGCCTGAGGTGGACCCAGTGCCTTAGTCTCATTTTACTTTTGCAGTTCATTTTATAGATCAAAAAGATATTACATTCCCCCATCTGTAATACTGAGTGGAAAGTAAATGGAGAGAGTAAGAGAAGCTTTACTGAAAATTGTGCAGAAACACATTCTGTAAAGTAACAGCTAGTTGTATATAAAATTTCTATACATTTTTCAGGGGAATCTATGAAGAGAGAGAGTGTGTGTGTGTTTGGGGGCAATGTGTGTATAGTAAGAAATTCAGAGTGACCACCGCATGGTACAGTTTTTAGTTATTTAGAATGAATAATTTTTTCTTATCTGGTGGTAAGATAAAGTACAAATGAAGATTTATAAATCAGTTTTTTAAAGTACTCTATGTCTGATATAGATAATAGGCTCCAATATAAACCCTCATAAGACTTCTGAAACATCCATTGTATCTGTTCCAGTGGCTGCCACATCCAGTTAAATTTCTTTTTAAGATTGTGATTTAGCCTGTACTTCATAAAGGTTTTTTAAAAAAATATAGTGTCTGCAGTCAAGTTGAACAGTATCTTCATATCAATTGAATAGTTCCAAGAATACATAGAAAAGCTTTGTGTGAATTTTTTTTTCATTTCTAAATTCACCATTTTGATACAAATACCCATGGTTTTCTTCTATGTTTACATGCAGCCAGGAGCTATGGGCGGAGACGAGGTAAATTTTTTTTTTTTAAATGAGATCTTTTGCTTGCCAAATTGTGAGTAAATATGAGTGTGTTTATGTGTGTGTGTATTTATACCTGTGTGTGTGTAAAACAATAATTATCATATGGTGTGATGTTCTATCTTAATTATTTTAGCAAAATAATTTATCACTTTCATTAAAATTATTTTTTTGTTGTTGGTAATTTGTTCTTTTAATTATAAAAAAGATATAGCAAAGACTATTTCTCCTTAAAGTTTTTTGTTATATGGTTTATTGTGAATAAACATGAGGAAATAAAGGCCAAACATATATATTTTTCTGCCCTGTATTCATTGTGTTCTTTTCATACAACTTAGAAGGCAGAACTTGGGTTTTGGAGGGCAATTCTTGATCTTATTAGGTTGGCTGGTGATTTTTTTCTGTTATATTCAGAGTCAGATTTACCCCGGAAGTAAATGAAGCTTAAGTTTCAGAGCCTCTCACTTGCTTGGACCCCTTCCAAAGTCTACGTAATTTTTGTGTTCTTTTGCTTAAAGAGGGTCCCCAAAATAGGCTTTAGTCCCCATAAAACTTGCATTCTCTCCTGGTCACACCCAAACAAAATAATACAACTTTCATTTGTGTAATGCTGTAACTGTTCTAAAGCATTTCCCATATCTGTAGTTTTTTCAAATAATTTTACGAAGTAGCTAGGAGAAGCCGGATGTCGTAGAAAGCATATGGGACTTAGGGTCAGACACGTAGGTTGTAATCACTGACTTATCATTTAGATTTGGTATGCTCATCTGTAAATTATGAGGTAATAAAACCAGTCTTGTCCTACTTCAGAGTATTAGTAAAGTTCTAGTTAAAAAAACAGGGAAGTGAAAAGCTATCCATGTAAATTAAAAGTATTCCACAAATATAAGTTACTTTGGTGCTCATTTGCAGAAGCTGAAGGAGGAGTCGTAATTTACTTGCTGTGTGACCAAGTTAAAGCCAGAGTCAAGATCACAATCTGTGTCTTTTGGCTCTTTATTTGCTAATGTTTACCATTCATCAGGCTGTCTCTGACTTTGTAGTTGAGTCATGAAGAGAAGATAATGATGCTAAATTCGTAGTATTTTATTATGTTTTAAAAAATATTAAAAATATTTTCTGCCTATGCTTACCCAAACAATACTTTTATCATTTATTTCACAGCAAATATTTGTTGAATGAGTGACTACTGGCAGAAGCTAATATATATGTACAGTGGATCATACAGTCCTTTTGCTTTTCATCATCATCATGTGTAAAAACGTTTGTGTAAATGATTATTTTCTATCCTTGGAAATAAATATCATTAAATTTTATTGCCTTATTTTTAAATTTAAAAAAGTTAAAGCCTATAAATAATGTTATTAAGACATATTTTGTACCATACTTGTTTCATGTTGCTAGAAAAATGATCACTGTCAGGAAAGAAAAGGAAATGGACTGTTTTATGTAGAAAATAGACACCATCTGGAGAATAGACAGCAGGGCCTGGCTTTTCCTCTTCTCACGTACTAATCAGTCACCAGATCTTGTCAAGATTTTCCCTCTAGTTTTCTCAGGCCTTGTCCTTCTCATTTCTGCTATTTTTATTTCTCCTGTTCCATTTCTACAACTTCATCTTTCTGAAACACCGCTTTGTGTCATCCCCATTCTCAATTCAGGGTCCCCATGATCTGGCTTCTGCCTCTTTCACCAACATCATTATCTTCATTTTTCCCACTTCATCTTCCCCTGACCAATCTATTTGCTTTCCCACTCTCTGGCCATACAGGTCACCCTTCCTCTCATCTATGTATCTAAGAACTATCCTTATTTTACTAGTTCAAACCTTACCCTTTCCAGGAAGCCTTCTCCAGTGGCCTTGCAGACAGTGTTTTCCTCTGATTCTGCTGTCTTGCATTCTTCCTGCCTTTTCTGTATGCCCTGATTCTTCATCTGGGATAAGTTCTTTGAGGATAGTTGTCTCTAGTGCCTAACACTGGGCCCTACGTAGCGTTAGCCCTTATTAAGTGCTTATTGATAAGGATTATTTTGAAATAACACCCTACATTTATGCAGAGCAGAGTTTGCCATCATATTTTTAAAAATTATCTTATTTTTATAAATAATAGCATATTAATACTATACATCAAGAATATAAAGTCGCCTATAGTTTCTAAGCTTCTGAAAAAAATACTCATCCTTTTTTCATTTTACTTTCTCCATATCTATTTGTGAGGTTGATTTTATTGTTCTCAAAAGTCACGATCTTCTTTGTATGAGGTGCTACACTAAATATTTCCTAGAATGACTTGGTCCCTGCTCTTGGTCTGCAGTTTGATAGGTGTAAATGAAGAAGAGAATGATGAGAGAGAGAGGAAGAGAGACAGAGAGAAGTGCAAATGCTAAAAGACTGAATGTTGCCTTTCTGTAATGAAAAAAGAACGGACAGAAAATGTTTTGTCCATGCTTTCAATAAGTCTTTCATTTCCAAAGCTGAAAAAGAAGTCATCTTCCTTAAATGTAATGATATAACCATATGGGATGAAGCATGTCTAGATCGCATATCTAGAACACTTATTCTCTGAGATGTATTCATTTGAGCCAACTCTGCATAGTATACTTCTGATGAATTGGCAGACTTCCTCATGCTTATTTTTTCATGTGAACAGGGATTAAATTAATGTTTGATCCCTTTCCTCTAATTAACATTTAGACTTGCCCAAAAAGAATAAAAATTAAGCTTGCTGATGTATGTTACTTCCCTCTACCTATGATTAAGGATAGAACTGGAGTTATAACTTATTTTCTATGTGTTACATAAACATGTTGGTAAACTTTTTTCTTTTTTTGAGACAGAGTCTCACTTTGTCGCCCAGGCTGGAGTACAGTGGCATAATCTTGGCTCACTGCAACCTCCGCCTCACGGGTTCAAGTGATTCTCCTGCCTCAGCCTCCCAAATAGCTGGGACTACAAGCATGCACCGCCATACCCGGCTAATTTTTGTATTTTTAGTAGACATGGGGTTTCACCATATTGGCTAGGCTGGTCCTGAACTCCTGGCCTCAAGCCATCTGCCCATCTCCCAACGTGCTGGGATTACAGGCATGAGCCACCACATCTGGCCATGTTGGTAAATTTTCTAGGAACAGAAATAAAGGGAATGTAATATATGTGAAAGTTTTTAGTTCTGTCAGCAAGAATTTGGCCAGTGGACTTTTACACCTCTCCTGATAAGTGTTGAAAAGTTTCCTGGGATGAGTAGAATTTCAGGACCTATTTGGATAATGGAATAGGAATGGGAAGCAAGACATTCTAGTATGTGTTTCTCCTTAGAAGAAGGCTTAAAGATGAGATTGCCATGACCAGAGGCTTGGAGTACATATCTCTGAGTGTATGCTGTGGGACCAGCTGGAGAGGAGAAGCTGGTAGTAGGACGATCTATGCTGCCTTAATGAATGTTTTTGAAACAGGCGGTGAAACTCCTGGACACAGATATTGTCAGGCTTTAGAAAGAGGGTTTTATGATAAAGTAATGAAAGCAGGGGATAACTTGAACATCAGCTCAAGGCTTGGATGAGGACATTGAAGGTAGACTCTTAGCAAACCAAGTGCTTCTAGTAATGTAGTTGAAGCAGTAATAATGAGAAATGAGAAGAATGACATGAAAGAATAAGATTGAAAATAAATATCAATTACATATAGTTTAAAAATACCCAATTATATTTCCCATTTATATCTATTTTGAATTTGTTCCAGTAGACAAACCTTGATTTCATTTGTGGAATAAGAATCACACCAAAGAATCTTACCATTTTTCTTTGGGAGTGTTCTGCCTTTGATAAGCTTTAATATGTGTCCTCCTATACAACTGCAACCCCTGTTAGAAACTAGTCTACCAGGTAGTGTCATTTAAGACTTTTGCCTACACATTTAATATATGCTGTGCTTTTCATTTCACATGAGAATGAGTTTTTATGCTCTCCATGAAACTATTGTCCATAAGTAGACATGTTGGCTATGCCAGTATTTTTGATGTTTAGCAGAATTTCTTAGTTATAGAGCAGTAAGGAGAATATGAAAAGTCCTTTTAACAATGCAAATGAGAAAATACAACTAGTCTACCAGGTAGTGTCATTTTGGATTTTTGCCTACACATTTAATATATATTGTGCTTTTCATTTACATGAGTATGAGTTTTTATGGTCTCTGTGAAACTCTTGTCCATAAGTAGACATGTTGGCTATGCCAATATTTTTGTTTTTGTTTTTTGCTTTTTGAGATGGAGTCTCACTCCATCGCCCAGGCTTGAGTGCAGTGGTGCAATCTTGGCTCACTGCAGCCTCCGCCTCCCAAGTTCAAGCAATTCGCCTGCCTCAGCCCCCCAAGTAGCTGGGATTACAGGCACGCACCACCATGCCCGGCTAGTTTTTGTATTTTTAGTAGAGATGGGGTTTCTCCATGTTGGCCAGGCTGGTCTCGAACTCCTGACCCCAGGGGATCGCCTCGGCCTCCCAAAGTGCTGGGATTATAGGCATGAGCCACTGCACCCAGCCCATGCTAGTATTTTTGATGTTTAACAGAATTTCCTAGTTATAGAGCAGTAAGGAGAATATAAAAGGTCCTTTTAACAATGCAAATGAAAAAATACAAAGAATGATTAGAGTTACTGTTATAAATGTACTCCTGCATATATTTAGTTCATAAAAAATATATTGATATTAATGGGTTGCATAATTGATAACAAAAGTTCTAAAATCCAATCAAACAAACTCGTGTGCTGAGTTAAAGTTGAGTATTTCTGTCAAAAGCCTGCTCGAGGGAAGAGAGATCAGCTATTCCAGGGAGACCATGCTAGAAGCACGCCATCCTGCTAATTCAAACCCAGTTGTATGAGCTTGCTTGTTTAAAGGTATGGATGATTCTAGAATAAAACATGGACGTGAATCGGAGAATTTTCTGAATGTTCATGGTTGTAATATCTGAAAATGTTACTGCTCATAGTAATAGGAAAATTTGAGCACAGATGATAGTGAGGGGAAGATGACTAGTTTTTCACTGTCTTGGGAATTTAATCTGGGAGGGGCCAAAAGAAAGACTGAAGGAGGGATTTTCTGGGCCTTCCACCCAAATTTTACTCATTAAGTGTCTGCATACCTATACTGTACTAGACTCCAGATGTGGTCTCTGACACTGTTCAGTGGTCACTCTTGTAGGGAGAGAGACAATAAATAAGTGAAACGAATATATTTATTCTTAACAGTTGTGATAAATACTAGGCAGAAAAGAATAGGGGAGGTCACCTCTGAAGAGGTGATATTTAAACAAACTGAAAGGATGGAGAGATAGCTATCTAAAACTTTTTGGTATTAAGGAATTTTTAAATATATACAAATGTAGACTAGTTTAATGAACACCAATATATCCATCATCAGCTTCAATTATTATCAGCATTTTTGCCAGTTTTGTTTCATATATTCTCTTCCCTTTTTCCCTGGGAATATTTTAAAGGGAATTTCAGATATTATAAGACAGATAGCTAGTTTAAAAGGGGAAGGTGGAAGGAACTGCATTTGTAAAAGGCTTGAAGCAAAGTACAGATACATGCTACAACATAAACCTCGAAAACATTACACTAAGTGAAAGAAGCCAATCTCAAGAGTCACGTATTTGTATGATACCATTTATATGAAGTGTCCAGAATAGACAAATCTATTGAGACAAAACGGAGATTAGTGGTCGCCTAGGGCTGAGAGGTTGGGGGAAAACCAAGAGTGACTGCTAATGGATTAAATGGATCAATTGTGTGATATGAGAATTATATTTCAAAAAAGTCGTGTTTCTTTAAAAAAAGGCTTGAGGCAAGAAAAGGCTTACTTTGAGGAAGCCTAGAATGACTGATGCTTGGTAGGTGATGGAGGAGTATGTCTTAAGATGAGTTTGGAGGAAGGAAAGAGAATCTGATCTTGCTGGACATTAGCTCCTGGTAAGGATTTTGAACTTGGTCCAAGTACAAGAGGAAATCTTTGAAGCTTTAAAGCAAGGTCAAATGATTGGATTTATGTTTTTAAAAGAGCACGTCTGGTTGCTGTTTGGAGTGAAGTGAAAAGAGAATTGGGTTGCCTTGTTAGGAGGTGATGTCAGGCATGAGATGAGGATAGTTAGGATAGGGTGATGGCAGTGGAGTTGGAGAGAAGTGAACAAATTAAAGATAGATCTTGGAGAATGGGATCAACAGTAGTGTTTAACAGATGGTGTCAGGTTGCTGAATTAACCTTGGAGGGTAAATAAGAAGGAAGACTCAAAAATGATTTTGAGATTCTGGCTGAAGTGATTGGGTGAATTGTAATGCCACATATTGAAATGGGACTGGGAGAGAATAAGTTTAAGGTAGATATCAAAAGTTCACTTGTAAACACATTAAGTTTGTGATGCCTAAGAAATACCAGATATTAATATGAAGTAAATCTATTTTTAGGTAAGATTTCTGTGTAATAAAAGGGATTCTCCTGTTCCTGGGGATCTGAAATCCTGCCATCTAGTTAAACTCTCTCATTATGCAAATGAGACCATAAGTGAAATGTTTTTTGTTCAAAGTCACCTACTGGACACTAGGCTGGAACCTATCTTGACTTCTAGGGAATATGTATGTATTTTATGAGGGAGTCATGCCTCATAATTCCTTTTTCTTAAACCCCCAAAGTGACTGATTGCTGAGCTACTTACAAGACTAAAATGAAAAGAGTCAGGCTTGGAGTAGAAGTGCTGGGCCAGAGGTACCCTGGAGCTGCTGGAGTGATGGCAGAGGCCTTGGTGGGAGCTCAGAGGTGAGGTCCCAGCAGCTTTCACAGCATAGCTTGGCCAATGGGCTTTTGTTTTTCCATCATTTGCTGAAGGAAAGGGAGCCTTCTGGGGAGGAATTATCTTGGACAAGCCTTCCATGCTTAACTAATGCTTTGCAAGTCTTCTATTTGGCACTTTTCCTGCAAGCTTGTTTGGTTTTAAGCCATCTCCACATTCAGAGATGATTTGTCCAATTACTGGACCAAAAACTAATTATAGATAGTAATTGAAATAGATATCAGAGAACCAGACCATTGGTTGAAAGCCAAATGGCCAACTTGCAGCATTTGAGAAACCTTTCTCCTGCTTTTATTGAAATATTGAATATACATATTTTATGTGGCAGTATCATGGTGTTCTAAAGCAGGTTTATATCCTCCTCACATAGAAATATATTTTTTGATAAGTAATGTGGCTTGCTTAACACATTTTGGTCTTGGAAATATTTCCCTTAAAAAAAAGAAATATGTTAGAGAGATGCTAGTTAGTGAAGCAAGACTTCTCCTGGGGCACAATTTAGGTGCAGCCTCTTAAATTTTCAGTTTCTAGTAACACATGTCCAGGAAATAAAATTTTACTGACTTCTCAGGGATGATTTGTTTTGGAGATGGATTTATGCCAATCAAATGAATGCATGAATACCATCCTCACAAGGGATTACTGGACAAATCAGAATACCACTGTTTTCTCATGGAGCTGGTTGCATATGGAAATAAAATTTCAGTAGCTGACTGTCTACTAGCTCAAGAGTCACCCCTTCACAATTGCAGAGTCCTGAATTTATTAACGGAATAGTCCTTCAGGAGCTTATAATAAGAGCAGAGGGGCCAGAAGCAGTGGCTCATGCCTGTAATCCCAGCACTTTGGGAGGCTGAGGCAGGAAGATCACTAGAGCCCAGGAGTTCAAGACCAACCTGGGCAACCTAGTGAGACCCCATCTCTATATTAAAAAAAAAAAAAGAGAGAGAGAGAGCAGAGGGAAATAGATTATTTTCAAGCTCTGGAAATACCACGTGAACCATTCTGTCCCCTGGAGGAATAATCCTACGTAGTATGATAAAGTCCTCATATCGCCTGTCGGTCTGCGCTGGGTAAATACTACAAGCTCTTACTCTACCATTCTGTCTTTTAAATCCTTTCTGCAGACTTTTTGTTCTGCCAGCACTTCAGGCAGTCATGTTACAGTAAGGATGATTAGGTTATAGATTTTGCATTCCAGTGTTGAGAATATACTTTCCTTAACTTGATTGAACTTGGATATTTCCCAGGGCTGCATATACTTCACACAAAATATCTCTTTCAGTGGCTGCCTGTAGCAGACAAATAATCTTCACATCAGTGATTCTTAAACTTGAGCATAGGAATCACTGGGGAAATTTGTGCAAATACAGATTTTCAAGCCTGACCCCCACAGATTCAGATTAGTAGATCTGGGGGTTGGGTTCTCAGACCTATATTCTTAATTATTACCCACAGTTAGAGAAATATCATTTATGTGTTAGTTCTTAGCAGTTTCATTTCCAAGGCCAACTTTATTTTATTGCTAACGTCTATCGTACTCTAAATACTAATAATAAGACAGAGGTTTGGTTTTAAAACCTTGGGAAATTTCTTAATTACCCATAACCACTTAATAAAACTGTCCAAATTTTTACAACTCTTGATTTTGTTTTCTTTGCCAAAGTACTCTGAGCTGTGGTTATGTTGGCCATGCAGAAAATTCTTTTTGTGCCAGAATGTCTTCCACATCTGCTTCTTCACTCTTTCACTGCTCTCGTTCAAGACTTCCTCATGTCTCATCTGGACAGTCACAGATTTCTTCAGACTCTCACCTCATCCACCCTCTCCCTGAGTTCAAAATGTTGGAAGTAATAGAAGTTATGGTAGGATTTTGGTTAGAGGACAACATGGTCATAGGTATCTTAGAGAAGTCATTCTGACAGGACAGAAGATGGATTATGTGAGAATATCATGGTCTCTATGGAGTTAGTGTCGTTCAAAATAAGCCAGTATTAGAGCTGGGCACAGTGGCTCACACCTATAATCCCAACATGTTGGGAGGCCGAGACAGGCAGATCACTTGAGGTCAGGAGTTCAAGACCAGCCTGGCCAACACGGCGAAACCTTGTCTCTACTAAAAATAGAAAAATAAGCCAGGTGTGGTGGCACATGCCTATAATCCCAGCTACTGGGGAGGTTGAGGCAAGAGAATCCTTTGAACCTGGGAGGCAGAGGTTGCAGTGAGCCAAGATTGTGCCACTGCGCTTCAGCTTGGGTGACAGAGCGAGACTCTGTCTCAAAAAAAAAAAAAAAAGCCAGTATTAGAATAAATATTAAATTCAAAAAATGGGAAAATAATTTTCCATTTTGTAATATAGAACATTAATGCCTGACCAAATAAAAGCAATAGGAAAAGTCTCAATTTTCTAGGACATGGTTACATCTCTGCCATTCTCACACCTGTGTATTGTGTTTCATCATAGATTTGCAGCCACATGCCTTTTCACTTACTGTTTTCCTTCCCTGGATGCTGCCTCACATTTAACATTTTTGGTGTGCCTTTTATGTGACCTAATTAGGGCAGGAAGATACAGTGGTGAACAAGATTAAATTGGTCCCATCCTAATAGAGTTTACAATTTAATAGGGTTAGGGAAAGAGATACTCAATAAAAACGCACCCAAATGGTATAATGGTCCTTGGGGAAAGTGTTAGGAAGGAAGAATACAGGGGGCTGTGTGTGGATAGAAAAGGGAATCTAACCTAATCTAAAGGCTTAGGAAAGTTCAACCTGAGGAAGACTTTTCAGCTGAGACCTGAAGAATTAATAGGAATTAATTAGGAAATTGGAGAGTTGAAAAGGGTATGTTTGTTTTAGGTAGAGGGAACACATTGTCCTTATGGCTAGCAGCAAGGAGGAATAATCGAAAATACGAAGGAGGTCTGTGTGATTGGCAGTTAGTGAGCAAGAAGGAGAGGCAGCAACTGTGACGTAGAAGGGGTGTGCAGAGGCCTTGCAGTTCACAGTTATGTTTTTGTACTTTATCCAAAAAGTAATGGGAAATCATTGAGGGCTTTCAAGGATGGGGTGAGGAGTGTGCTTACATGTTCAAATTAATGTTTGAAAATGGTACCTTTGGCTGTTTTGTGGAGAAAGCATTGTGGGGTACGAGGTAGAAGTCAGTAGACTAAACAGACTATTTACTCTGCTTGAATTGGCAGGATTTAGTGAGAGATGGATTTGACGTGGAGTATAAGAGAAAGGGAGATGTCAAGGATGATTTCTAGGTTTCTGGATTGAATCCAGTGTGGATAATCAGCATTTTTATTGAGATTTTAGGGAATATTAGAGAAGGAGCAATTTTGGAGGGAAAGATCAAGAGCTGTTTTGACAGTACTTGCTCTGTGGCTTCTTGTTCCTTTACTTCAGAAACTCCCACTCTGACAAGATTCTGCTCAAAATTGCCCTCCTGTGAAAATACTCTAAAAATCTCTCCCCGCCAATCTCCAGGAGGGCAGTAAGTTGTGTTCTTGTGTCACTTGGTAAAGTCTTCTCTTAGCACATCTCTGTTTTATAATTATTTATGTACTTGCCTGTCTCCCCCACCAGACTGTGATTCCTTTGGCAAGGAAGTATCTTATTTGTTCGGTGTCACTGAAATATGGGTGAATATTTCCTCAAGTGTTTTCCACTGAGTTTTGTATGGTAAAGGGTTCCTTTAACATCTGGGTAATGCTGGAGTAAGTTAATGTTTTTTTTTTGAGACAGGGCCTCACTCTGTCACCCAGGCTGGTGTGCACTGATGTGGTCTCAGCTCACTGCAACCTCTACCTCCTGGACTCAAGCGATCCTCCCACCTCAGCTTCCCCAGTAGCTGGAACTACAGATGTGCATCACCATGCCCGGCTAATTTTTGTATTTTTTGTAGAGACAGAGTTTCACCATGTTTCCCAGGCTGGTCTTGAACTCCTGGACTCAAGTGATCCACCTGCCTCGGCCTCCCAAAGTGCTGGGACTATGGGCATGAGCCACCATGCCTGGCCAGTTAATGTTTCTTTACTGTAGAACTTTTCGTAGCCTTTTATTTTCTGAGGTGGAAAAGCATAACGTACGCATTATTTTCCCAGATTATTTCATTTCCCCTTCCCCAGCTCTCGTTTTCTGAGTATCTAATGTTACTAGTGTTGAAGGTAAGAGGTGGGTTTGGGAACACTCACTGGGAAATGCTGATTTGCGCATGTGCCTGACACTGAGTAGGCATGTAATTCACTGAGTGTGGGCTATGGAATAAAGCAAACCTGTCAGCTCTAGGAGAACGTCACTGGATGTCTTTGGAAAGCTCTTTTTGCCTATAGTTGCTGCAAATCTATTTCTTTCACCCCCAGTGATCAAAACAAACATCAAGGGATGAGAATTTACTGTCTATTGTTTGTTGCTGCCAGGCTAAAAAAGATGGGTGGCATGAGATGACAGATTTTGTTCTGTTTCTTTATAGCTAAGCTGGGGAAAACTGAACAAAAAATTATTTGGTCTTCTTATTTAACTCCTAGCATTAAAACAGTGTCTTTTTTACACTACCTGGGTTGTTCACAAAATAACCAGAGTTATATTAATAACTTTAACTTTTTTGTAAAAGAAATACATGTTCAGTATTTTTCTAAGGGCTATTTATATTCTGTTTTAGAGTTGGCTGTTGTGACACAAAAACCTAGGTTTCAGGGAAATAAAGATAGTATAGACTAAATGGGGAAGACACTGCTCTTTTTTTTTTTTAAGAGTATATTAATTTATTTTAGAGGGGAATTTTCCTTTTTTCCCCCAAAAGTTAGAGTACTCTAATGGTTCATTTTTAGAGTGGAACCTAGTGGAAAGTTTTGCTAGGAAGTCACTGACTCAAACAGGAAATATATTTGATTTTAAATTTAGATTTTATTTTGTAATGCCAAATGACATTATTGTGTTATATTTACTGCTGGTAAATTTACTGCTGACTCTAACTGCTGGTATCTTTCTTATAGTCATGTGGATTGGGTAGATACTTTTGCTCTACAAACTTTATTTGGCTATAGAATTAATGAAAATAATTCTTTTTTCATTTCTTTTCGTATATTTTTTGAGTGATATAAAATGTAGCCTAGATTAGTAGGGTTAAGGGTTTCATAACCACATCCACATTTATACTCCCACATCTTAAGTTATGTGTTTTCATTTACTTACCCTGTCCTTTATTATTGCGTATGTTTATTTCCAAATTAGAGTAGCTTGGAATGACAAGGAAAACTTGATGATCTTTAGTTCCACTATTAGAAAAGAAGTTATCAGCCTCTGTCACCAGTTTTGTATTCCCTTGGCTATCAGGACCACTCTTTAGAACTAAACCTCTGAGATTACCATAAAGAGCAGATAAAAATCTGTGGATAGAGATTACTTTGTCCATTTATTTTAAGAAATGACTAAAGAAAGAAAAAAACATAGCTGCTGAATATACTCCTAGTAGCTATGATAGAGACTGAATGAGTAAAATGCAGTGATTTTTTAGCAAGGAAACCACTGAAATTTTGATGCTTTTTTTTTTTTTTTTGAGACTGAGTTTTACTCTTGTTGCTCAGGCTGGAGTGCAATGGCACGATCTTGGCTCACTGCATCCTCCACCTCCCGGGTTCGGGTTCAAGCGATTCTCCTGCCTCAGCCTCCTGAGTAGCTGGGATTACATGCATGCACCACCATGTCCGGCTAATTTTTGTATTTTTAGTAGAGACGGGGTTTTGCCATGTTAGCCAGGCTGGCCTCGAACTCCTGACCTCAGGTGATGCGCCCACCTCAGCCTCCCAAAGTGCTGGGATTACAGGCATGAGCCTCCATGCCCACCTGGATGATTCTTTTTCTTTAGTTAGCAATCTGGTCATCCCAAGGCTGTGCCTACCCTTACACAAAAATGATGATAAAAAGTTATCTGGTAATATTCAGTCCTGTTAATCTTGGAAAAGCCACAGCTCAGGACACCTTTTTTTTTGTATGCTTCTCTCTGCACTTCGGGCTTCTAATAGAGCATTTATTGTCCTAGAAAATCATTTTAATTATAGAAACTCCCACATTTGTTTCAGGTCGATCTTCTCTCTTTCCCTTTGAAGATGCCTTCCTGGATGATAGCCATGGTGATCAAGCCTTGTCATCTGGCTTAAGTTCTCCCACTCGCTGTCAAAATGGGGAACGAGTAGAACGCTACTCTAGAAAGGTGTTTGTTGGAGGACTTCCTCCTGATATTGATGAAGGTACTATGCATTCATTAATGATTTTGCAAAGGCTGAGTTTGTTATTTGTGTGTTCTGACCCTGCCTCTCCTCTCCAAGTCAACTTTAGGACATCTATATCTTAGTGCATAGGAGGTGAGACTATTTGGTGGATTAGAAAGTGGTAGTCTATTATTGTACTAAGTACTTCATGTTACATTATCTCATTTAATCCTCATAGCTATCTAATAAGGATATCCTAGCATCTCCATTTTATAGATAAGGAAACTGAGGATCAGAGAGAAATAATTTGTTCAGGGTTATATAGCTGATGGTGCAGTTGCAACTCAAATTCAATTAGATTCCAGAGCTTCTGCTCATGTGCATCACACCAAACCATCTCACATTTTAATATAAATACTGGCCAGTGCAGTGGTTCACACCCGTAATCCCAGTACTTTGGGAGGCCAAGATGGGAGGATTACTTGAGCCCAGGGGTTCAAGACCAGCCTGGGCAACATAGCAAGACCCTGTCTCTACAAAACAAGATTAGCCGGGTATGGTGGTATGTGCCTGTACTCCCAGCTACTTGGGAGGCTGAGGTGGGAGATCACTTGAGCCCAGGAGTTTGAGGTTACAGTGAGCTATGATCATACCACTGAACTCCAGCCTGGATGACAGAGTGAGACCCTGTCTCATAAGTAAATAAATAAATAAAAACAAATACCTATTAACAAAAAGCATAATCCACCTCTTTAAAAGAATGAAGATGAATTAGAATTTTTCTTAATAATAGTTTTGAGATGCTATCAGTCCAAAAGTGAGTGTTCACTTATGCCTAAAGCCAGTTTATTTTAGCACACGGTAAGTTGTCAATAAATATTTGTTGAAAGGATGAATGAAATAAAATTGTGACAAAGTTAACTTAAGCAAAAAACAACTCTAGTTCCAGTAGGCTTTGGGTCTGATATAAAAATACTGTCTGATATTCTAACAGTCTTGTTTTTCTAGCATTTTTCTAGCTATGACACACTTCAAATTTATCATGATTTCCTTTTTTCATGGTGACAGGAGAAAAGTCTCAAAAAGTGGTTTTATTTTAGACTAACTACATTAAAGTTATACATAGCTGAATGCTTATTTTCCTCCAAATTGTTCTTGTATTCATGTTAATCTCATCTATTGATTAGATTATCTTCAAGACAATTTTTAAGATCATGGCTGAGAGAGTGGTACCCTAAACCTGAGTAGGAGCCAGGTTATAACCTCTGCTTTGAGTCATATGTCAGAGGGAAAATATAAATGTATTGATCTATAATTTTTGATATATTTTCTATATAGGGTACGTAATATGTAGTTATTAAAGAGAACATTGGCCATCAACATTTTCTTATCACCCAATAGAATTACCTACTTATTGCCCCTACTCCTTACCAAAAGAATCGTATCTATTTCTTAAATAATCTTAGAGGTTCCTACAAGTGAAACCATATTTTAAATATTTTCTGTACCTTACTTTCTTACTAAAATCAGAGAACATTCCTATTTTTAGAATCTTTCTATTTGACATAGAAGTCACCTTAGTTTAATATGAGATACTTTTCTTCCAAATTCTTTATGTCAAGTTTATTGGCAGTGAAAGGAAATGAATTATAGTTAGAAACACACTTTGCATGATTAAAAGTGAATAACCAAATGTACACCCAAGCAATGGTATTTCACTTAGTAGGTTTCACTTCCGTAAAGATGCTATAGAAAACAACCCTCAAAACATTTTTTTAAACTAAAAAGACATGTTTTGTGCTCTTCTGGTTTTCTGATTGCAATATTTTTTTCTCTTTTGCTAAGATTCTTTCTTTGTTTTGTAGATGAGATCACTGCCAGCTTTCGCAGGTTTGGACCTCTCGTAGTAGACTGGCCTCACAAAGCTGAAAGCAAGTCTTATTTTCCTCCTAAAGGTAATGCTCTTAAAATGTTTCCACTGCTTGCCTGTTGGAGAGATAGCATGACAGTTCAATAAAAGGCAGCCTTTTAACTCTTGAAATAGCTGTTGAATTTTTTCCCCCAATTAGGAAAACATTTTAATGTTGATCATCCTTTTGTGTATTATGTTTCCACTTAGAGACTCTTCCCCTGAAGCACACTGATTGTTTCATGGCACCGATTTTATTGACAGTGAGACCCTGGAAGTCTGTTGTGGATGAGCCTCCTGCTAATTTTCATTATTTTGAAAGGAAAGATCTAGGGTTTTGAGGAATGTCAGCAATGGTAAAGGAAAAGATTATTTAGGGTCAGATTTTATTTGTATTCCATAGCCCTGTGGTTTTATAGATCTTGTAAACCCCAAACCTGGGAAACCTAGTGGCTAAAGAATGGCATTGTACAAAATTATCTTTATCCACATCTGTATATTAAGTGACTTAGCCTGTTTGGGAGCAGAGGGCAAACTAGCAAAAGACACTCCATATGACCTTGCTTCCCTGATTTTTGGGGAGGCTCATTTGATAATTTATGAGTGCATGAAAATATATTGCTTTGTTCATAGTTTGTCATTTCTGCAGAATCTAGGGAACTTTACTGGTGATATTCATTTGGGTGTGTTCCTAGATTTATATAGAAGAATGTTTTGGGTTAAAGGTTTTGTTTGTGTTACATTCTGTAGATATGCTTCAAGGATACATTTCATTTCAGAAAAATGGCTTTTTGATACGTATTATTGTGTAATATTACTCAGCACAAAAAGATGAAGTGAAAATACTTGTCCTTCCTGTGCCTCATAAATGAATCAAATTATAGCTTAACCTGAGGAAGGCAAGTGGCTTCCTTTTATGTCCGGTTTGTTAGGTTTCATTGTCAGTTGTACTTCTCCAATTCTCACTCTCTTCATAACCCACAAAAATAAGTTAATATAGAGGGCTGTTGCTTGTTCTTTGTTTTTTTTTTTTTTGTTTTTATTTGTTTTTTTTTTTGAGACGGAGTCTCACTCTGTCGCCCAGGCTGGAGTGCAGTGGCGTGATCTCGGCTCACTGCAAGCTCCGCCTCCTGGATTCACGCCATTCTCCTGCCTCAGCCTCCCGAGTAGCTGGGACTACAGGCTCCTGCCGCCACGCCCGGCTCATTTTTTGTATTTTTAGTAGAGACAGGGTTTCACCGTGTTAGCCAGGATGGTCTCGCTCTCCTGACCTCGTGATCCGCCTGCCTTGGCCTCCCAAAGTGCTGGGATTACAGGCGTGAGCCACCATGCCCGGCCTTTTTTTTTTTGGTATGTTTTCTTATCAATTATTTATTATAACCATATGAATAATTCCAGTTATTATTTTTATTTCAATAACTATTATTATTATTTTTTATTATTATTATACTTTAAGTTTTAGGGTACATGTGCACAATGTGCAGGTTAGTTACATATGTATACATGTGCCATGCTGGTGTGCTGCACCCATTAACTCATCATTTAGCAATAGGTATATCTCCTAATGCTATCCCTCCCCCATCCCCCCACCCCACAACAGTCCCCAGAGTGTGATGTTCCCCTTCCTGTGTCCATGTGTTCTCATTGTTCAATTCCCACCTATGAGTGAGAACATGCAGTGTTTGGTTTTTTGTCCTTGTGATAGTTTGCTGAGAATGATGATTTCCAATTTCATCCATGTCCCTACAAAGGACATGAACTCATCCTTTTTTATGGCTGCATAGTATTCCATGGTGTATATGTGCCACATTTTCTTAATCCAGTCTATCATTGTCGGACATTTGGGTTGGTTCCAAGTCTTTGCTATTGTGAATAGTGCCGCAATAAACATACGTGTGCATGTGTCTTTATAGCAGCATGATTTATAGTCCTTTGGGTATATACCCAGTAATGGGATGGCTGGGTCAAATGGTATTTCTAGTTCTAGATCCCTGAGGAATCGCCACACTGACTTCCACAATGGTTGAACTAGTTTACAGTCCCACCAACAGTGTAAAAGTGTTCCTATTTCTCCACATCCTCTCCAGCACCTGTTGTTTCCTGACTTTTTAATGATTGCCATTCTAACTGGTGTGAGATGGTATCTCATTGTGGTTTTGATTTGCATTTCTCTGATGGCCAGTGATGGTGAGCATTTTTTCATGTGTTTTTTGGCTGCATAAATGTCTTCTTTTGAGAAGTGTCTGTTCATGTCCTTCGCCCACTTTTTGATGGGGTTGTTTGTTTTTTTCTTGTAAATTTGTTTGAGTTCATTGTAGATTCTGGATATTAGCCCTTTGTCAGATGAGTAGGTTGCAAAAATTTTCTCCCATTTTGTAGGTTGCCTGTTCACTCTGATGGTAGTTTCTTTTGCTGTGCAGAAGCTCTTTAGTTTAATTAGATCCCATTTGTCAATTTTGGCTTTTGTTGCCATTGCTTTTGCTGTTTTAGACATGAAGTCCTTGCCCATGCCTATGTCCTGAATGGTAATGCCTAGGTTTTCTTCTAGGGTTTTTATGGTTTTAGGTCTGATGTTTAAGTCTTTAATCCATCTTGAATTAATTTTTGTATAAGGTGTAAGGAAGGGATCCAGTTTCAGCTTTCTACATATGGCTAGCCAGTTTTCCCAGCACCATTTATTAAATAGGGAATCCTTTCCCCCTTGCTTGTTTTTGTCAGGTTTGTAAGATCAGATAGTTGTAGATATGCGGCATTATTTCTGAGGCCTCTGTTCTGTTCCATTGATCTATATCTCTGTTTTGGTCCCAGTACCATGCTGTTTTGGTTACTGTAGCCTTGTAGTATAGTTTGAAGTCAGGTAGTGTGATGCCTCCAGCTTTGTTCTTTTGGCTTTGGATTGACTTGGCGATGTGGGCTCTTTTTTGGTTCCATATGAACTTTAAAGTAGTTTTTTCCAATTCTGTGAAGAAAGTCATTGGTAGCTTGATTTTTTTTTTTTTTTTTGAGACAGAGTCTCACTCTGTTGCCCAGGCTGGAGTGCAATGGTGTGATCTCGGCTTCTGCAACCTCCACCTCCCGGGTTCAAGCAATTCTCCTGCCTCAGCCTCCTGAGTAGCTGGGACTACAGGCTTGTGCCACCATACCCGGCTAATTTTTGTAATTTTAGTAGAGACAGGTTTTCACCATATTGGCCAGGCTGGTCTTGAACTCCTGACCTCATGATCCTCCTGCCTTGGCCTCCCAAAGTGCTGGGATTACAGGTGTGAGCCACCATGCCCAGCTGAGATATTTTGATATAGGCATACAGTATGTAATAATCACATCAGGGTAAATGGGGTATTCATCACCTCAAGCATTTATCATTTCTTTGTGTTATAAACATTCCAATTATACTTTAGTTATTTAAAAATATACAGTAGATTATTGTTGATTGTAGTCACCCTGTTGTACTATCAAAGACAAGATCTTATTCATTCCATCTAATTATGTTTTTGTACCTATTAACCATGCCCACTTTTACCCACCCACCCCCACCTTCTTTCCAGCCTCTGGTAACTTACATCATTCTATTTTCTGTCATCATGAGTTCAATTGTTTGGATTTTTAGTTCTCACAAATGCATGAGACAATGGGAAGTTTGTCTTTCTGTGCCTGGCTTATTTTTCTTATCATAATGTCCTCCAGTTCCATCCATGTTGTTGCAGATGACAGGACTCTTTTTTTTCGTGGCTGAATACTACTCCACTGTGTATATGTACCACATATTCTTTTTTTTTTTTTTTTTTATGTGTGTGTGTGAGATGGAGTTTCACTCTTGTTGTCTAAGCTGGAGTGCAATGGCACAATCTTGGCTCACTTCAACCTCCACCTCTGGGATTCAAGAGATTCTCCTGCCTCAGCCTCCCGAGTAGCTGGGATTACAGGCCTGTGCCATCATGCCTGGCTAATTTTGCATTTTTAGTAGAGATGGGGTTTCTTCATGTTGGTCAGGCTGGTCTCGAACTCCCAACCTCAGGTGATCCACCTGCCTCGGCCTCCCAGAGTGCTGGAATTACAGGCGTGAGCCACCGTGCCTGGTCACATACCACATATTCTTTATCCATTCGTCTGTTGATGAATGGATAAAGGTTGTTTCCAAATCCTGGCTATTGTGAATAGTGCTGCAACAAACATGGGAGTACAGGTATCTCTTTGATATACTGATTTCCTTTCTTTTGGTTATATATACCTAGCAGTATGATTGATGGATCATATGGTAGCTCTATTTTTAGTTTTTTGAGGAACCTCCATGCTGTTCTCCATAGTGGCTATACTAATTTATATTCTCACCAACAGCGTACAAGTGTTCCCTTTTCTCCACATCCTCACCAGCATTTCTTATAGCCTGTCTTTTGGATAAAAACCATTTTAACTGTGGTGAGATGATATCACATTGTAGTTTTGATTTGCCTTTCGCTGACAATCAGTAATATTGAGCACCTTTTCATATATCTGTTTGCCATTTGTATATTGTCTTTTGAGAAATGCCTATTCAGATCTTTCACCCTCCCTTTTTTTTTTTTTTTTGCCTCAAAAAGTGACGTTTATTCAAGGAAAAAAATTACAAGATGTCCATCCCTTGGCTCTCTTTCCTTCCGCCTCCTGCTGCTCCTCAGTTTCCCAAGAATGAATCCTGGCTGGGGCTAGGTAGCAGGATAGCCCCTCAGATGAGGTCAGCAACATTGAGGGCCATCACCTCAATGGAGGTGTTGTATAAGGTCTCAGTTTCTTAAAGAGTCCTCTTGTCTTCTTCTGTTACCATGTTAATAGCCACACCCTTATGGCCAAACCATCCACCTCGACCAATTCTGTGGATACAGGTGGGAAGGTCACAGTTGATAACTGAAGAAACCTGCTGCACATGAATGCCTCTGGCTGCGGGTCAGTGGTAATCAATACTCTGTGAGAGCCAGAACAAAACTCCCTCATGATCACATTTCATTCTTTTGTTCCATATCTCCATGCATGGCAGAGACAGTGAAGTCCCAAGCATGCATCTTCTCAGTGAGCCAATCCACTTTCTTCTTTTTTTTTTTGAGACAGAGTCTTGCTCTGTCACCCAGGCTGGAGTGCAGTTGTGCGATCTCGGCTCACTGCAAGCTCCTCCTCCCGGGTTCATGCCATTCTCCTGCCTCAGCCTCCCAGTAGCTGGGACTACAGGCACTTGCCACCATGCCCGGCTAATTTCTTTTTGTATTTTTAGTAGAGATGGGGTTTCACCATGTAAGCCAGGATGGTCTGGCTCTCCTGACCTTGTGATCCGCCCACCTTGGCCTCCCAAAGTGCTGGGATTACAGGCGTGAGCCACTGCACCCAGCCGAGCCAATCCACCTTCTTTCCAGTATTGATGAAGATGACTGCCTAGGGTGACAATCAGGGTTTCATACAAGCCACACAGTGTGCTCAGTTTCCACTCCTCATGTTCCACATTGATGTAGAATTGGTGGACCCCCTCCAGGGTCAACTCTTCCTTCTTGACAGGAATCCAAATGGGGTCCCTTATGAACTTCTTGGTCACCTCAAGCACATCAGAAGGCCTTGTGGCTGATAGCAAAACCACCTGGGTGTTGCTGTTGAGCTTTTGGAATATGTCATAGATTGAGTCCTTGAATCCATGGCTTAACATTTCATCAGCTTCGTCCAGTACAAACATCTTGATGTATTTGGGAGACAGGTATCTCTGGTTAAGCATATCAGATATATGGCCAGGGGTACCCACGATGATATGGGGAACTTCCATCTGTAGTTTCTGCACCTCAGCATGCACGTTGGTGCCCCCAATACAGCCATGACAGGAGGCACCCATGTAGTCTCCTAGTGTCATGACCACCTTTTCTATCTTTTGAGCCAATTATCAAGTGGATGCTGGGACCAAGGTGTGGGTAGCCTTTAGATCTAATTCAATCTACTGCAGAATTGATATGGCAAAAGTGGCCATTTTCCCAGTCCCAGATAGGGCTTGAGTGATCACATCATAATCCTTGATACAAGAAGAATGGCTCGCTGCTGGATGGCAGAGGACTTCTCAAAACCATAGGCATAGATGCCATGGAGGAGGGATTCCAAGAGGTTCATATCATCAAAACTGTCAACAATCTCATTTCAGTTTCTCTCAATGATGCCTTCAGGCTCCATCTCATCGGGACCATTGTCTCTGGATCAGAAATACTCACTCTTGGCCGGGCGCGGTGGCTCACGCTTATAATCCCAGCACTTTGAGAGGCTGAGGCGGGCAGATCACGAGGTCAGGAGTTCGAGACCAGCCTGGCCAACATGGTGAAACCCCATCTCTACTAAAAATACAAAAATTAGCTGGGCGTGGTAGCCCATGCCTGTAATCCCAGCTACTCAGGAGGCTGAGGCAGGAGAATCACTTGAATCTGGGGGGCAGAGTTTACAGTGAGCCGAGATCATGCCACTGCACTCCAGCCTGGGTGACAGAGCAAGACTCCGCCTTAGAAAAAAAAAGAAGAAATACTCACTCTCAGACATGATCCTTAGAAACTCTCTTTTGCCCGTTTTTAAATCAGATTATTAGTTTTTTTTCCTATTGAGTTGTTTGAGCTCTTTATATATTGTTATTAATCCCTTGTTAGATTGACAGTTTGTAACTATTTTCTCCCATTCTGTGGGTTGTCTCTTCACTTTGTTGACTGTTTCCTTTGCTGTGCAGAAGCTTTTTAACTTGATGTGATCCCATTTGTCCATTTTGCTTTGGTTGCCTTTGCTTGTGGGGTATTACTCAAGAAATCTTTGTGCCCAGACCAATGTCTTGGAGATTTTCCCCAGTGTTTTTGTTTGTTTGTTTGTTTGTCTTAGTATTTCTTTTAGTAGTTTCATAGTTTGAGGTCTTAATTTGAAGTTTTTTTTTTATTATTATACTTTAAGTTCTAGGGTACATGTGCATAATGTGAAGGTTTGTTACATAGGTATACATGTGCCATGTTGGTTTGCTGCACCCATTAACTCATCATTTACAATAGGTATTTCTCCTAATGCTATCCCTCCCCCTGCCCCCCACCCCATGACAGGCCCCTGGATGTGATGTTCCCTGCCCTGTGTCCAAGTGTTCTCATTGTTCAATTCCCACCTATGAGTGAGAACATGCAGTGTTTGGTTTTCTATCCTCGTGATAGTTTGCTCAGAATGATGGTTTCCAGCTGCATCCATGTCCCTACAAAGGACATGAACTCATCCTTTTTTATGGCTACATAGTATTCCATGGTGTATATGTGCCACATTTTCTTAATCCAGTCTATCATTGATGGACATTTTGGTTGGCTCCAAGTCTTTGCTATTGTGAATAGTGCCACAATAAACATACGTATGCATGTGTCTTTATAGTAGCATGATTTATAATCCTTTGGGCATTTATCTAGTAATGGGATCACTGGGTCAAATGGTATTTCTAGTTCTAGATCCTTGAGGAATTGCCACACTGTCTTCCACAATGGTTGAACTAGTTTACACTCCCACTAACAGTATAAAAGCATTCCTATTTCTCCACATCCTCTCCAGCATCTGTTGTTTCCTGACATTTTAATGATTGCCATTCTAACTGGCGTGAGATGGTATCTCATTGTGGTTTTGATTTGCATTTCTCTGATGACCAGCGATGATGAGCATTTTTTCATGTGTCTGTTGGCTGCATAAATGTCTTCTTTTGAGAAGTGCGTATTCATATCCTTTGCCCACTTTTTATTGGGGTTGTTTTTCTCTTGTAAATTTGTTTAAGTTCTTTGTAGATTCTGGATATGAGCCCTTTGTCAGATGGACAGATTGCAAAAATTTTCTCCTATTCTGTAGGTTACCTGCTCACTCTGATGGTAGTTTCTTTTGCTGTGCAGAAGCTCTTTAGTTTAATTAGATCTGATTTGTCTATTTTGGCTTTTGTTGCCATTGCTTTTGGTGTTTTAGTCATGACGTCCTTGCCCATGCCTATGTCCTGAATGGTATTTCCTAGGTTTTCTCCTAGGGTTTTTATGGTTTTAGGTCTAACATTTAAGTCTTTAATCCATCTTGAATTAATTTTTGTATAAGTTGTAAGGAAGGGATCCAGTTTCAGCTTTCTACATATGGCTAGCCAGTTTTCCCAGCACCATTTATTAAATAGGGAATCCTTTCCCCATTTTTTGTTTTTGTCAGGTTTGTCAAAGATCAGATGGTTGTAGATGTGTGGTGTTGTTTCTGAGGCCTCTGTTCTATTCCATTGGTCTATATATCTGTTTTGGTCCCAGTACCATGCTGTTTTGGTTACTGTAGCCTTGTAGTATAGTTTGAAGTCAGGTAGCATGATGCCTCCAGCTTTGTTCTTGTTGCCTAGAATTGTCTTGGCAATGCGGGCTCTTTTTTGTTTCCATATGAACTTTAAAGTAGTTTTTTCCAATTCTGTGAAGAAAGTCATTGGTAGCTTGATGGGGATGGCACTGAATCTATAAATTACCTTGGGCAGTATGGCCATTTTCACAATATTGATTCTTCCTATCCATGAGTATGGAATGTTCTTCCATTTGTTTGTATCCTCTTTTATTTCATTGAGCAGTGGTTTGTAGTTCTCCTTGAAGAGGTCCTTCACATCCCTTGTAAGTTGGATTCCTAGGTATTTTATTCTCTTTGAAGCAGTTGTGAATGGGAGTTCACTCATGATTTGGCTGTTTGTCTGATATTGGTATATAGGAACGCTTGTGATTTTTGCATATTGATTTTGTATCCTGAGACTTTGCTGAAGTTGCTTATCAGCTTAAGGAGATTTTGGGCTGAGATGATGGGGTTTTCTAAATATACAATGATGTCATCTGCAAACAGGGACAATTTGACTTCCTCTTTTCCTAATTGAATACCCTTTATTTCTTTCTCTTGCCTGATTGCCCTGGCCAGAACTTCTAACACTATGTTGAATAGGAGTGGTGAGAGAGGGCATTCTTGTCTTGTGCCAGTTTTCAAAGGGAATGCTTCCAGTTTTTCCCATTCAGTATGATATTGGCTGTGGGTTTGTCGTAAATAGCTCTTATTATTTTGAGATATGTTCCATCAATACCTAATTTATTGAGAGTTTTTAGCATGAAGGGCTGCTGAATTTTGTCAAAGGCCTTTCCTGCATCTATTGAGATAATCGTGGTTTTTTTGTTGTTGTTGGTTCTGTTTATGTGATGGATTATGTTTATTGATTTGCAATGTTGAACCAGCTTTGCATCCCAGGGATGAAGCCAACTTGATCATGGTGGATAAGCTTTTTCATGTGCTGCTGGATTCAGTTTGCCAGTATTTTATTGAGGATTTTCGCATCCATATTCGTCAGGGATATTGGTCTAAAATTCTCTTTTTTTGTTGTGTCTCTGCCAGGCTTTGGTATCAGGATGATGCTGTCCTCATAAAATGAGTTAGGGAGGATTCCCTCTTTTTCTATTGATTGGAATCGTTTTAGAAGGAATGGTACCAGCTCTTCTTTGTACCTCTGGTAGAATTTGGCTGTGAATCCATCTGGTCCTGGACTTTTTTTGGTAGGCTATTAATTATTGCCTCAATTTCAGAGCCTGTTATTGGTGTATTCAGAGATTCAGCTTCTTCCTGGTTTAGTCTTGGGAGGGTGTATGTGTCCAGGAATTTACCCATTTCTTCTACATTTTCTAGTTTATTTGTGTAGAGGTGTTTATAGTATTCTTTGATGGTAGTTTGTATTTCTGTGGGATCGGTGGTGATATCCCCTTTATCATTTTTTATTGCGTCTATTTGATTCTTCTCTCTTTTCTTCTTTATTAGTCTTGCTAGCAGTCTATCAATTTTGTTGATCTTTTCAGAAAACCAGCTCCTGGATTCATTGATTTTTTTGAAGGGTTTTTTGTGTCTCTATCTCCTTTAGTTCTGCTCTGATCTTAGTTATTTCTTGCCTTCTGCTAGCTTTTGAATTTGTTTGCTCTTGCTTCTCTAGTTCTTTTAATTGTGATGTTAGGGTGTTGATTTTAGATCTTTCCTGCTTTCTCTTGGGGGCATTTAGTGCTACAAATTTCCCTCTACAGACTGCTTTAAATGTGTCCCAGAGATTCTGGTACATTGTGTCTTTGTTCTCATTGGTTTCAAAGAACGTCTTTATTTCTGCCTTCATTTCGTTATTTACCCAATAGTCATTCAGGAGCAGGTTGTTCAGTTTTCATGTAGTTGTGTGGTTTTGAGTGAGTTTCTTAATCCTGAGTTCTAATTTGATTGCACTGTGGTCTGAGAGACAGTTTATTGTGATTTCTGTTCTTTCACATTTGCTGAGGAGTGCTTTACTTCCAACTATGTTGTCAATTTTGGAATGAGTGTGATGTGGCGCTGACAAGAACGTATGTTCTGTTGATTTGGGGTGGAGAGTTCTGTAGACGTCTATTAGTTCTGCTTGGTGCAGAGCCGAGTTTAAGTCCTGGATATCCTTGTTAACCTTCTTAACCTTCCCCCATTTGTCATTTACTTTTTGACCCTCTTTAATGTTTTTTTGTAGTACTAACATAAATTTTTATATAGGTAAATTTATTAATGTCTTCTTTGTGTTTTCTGAATATTTATGACATGCCTTAAAAGATTTTTCCCGCTGCAAGACAATAAGAAAATACTACACATGTTGTTTTCTTTTTGTTGTTGTTGCTTGTATTACTTTACTTTTGACATTGACATCTTGTTTTGGTCTGGAATTTATATTGGAGTAAGGCATGAGAAAGGATCCAGCTTTATTTTTTCAGGTAGCTTGACAGATCCCCCAGTTTTGTTTATAGGCTGGCTAGTCCAATTTTTTCCTCATCGATTTGCGTTCTTAGAATTGAATATTGATTGGGAGGTCATCTCTTCTGTTTCTCAAGAAATGCACAGTTTATCTAGAACTACTTGCTGCAGTATGTAGCTAATGAGCACTTGAAATGTGACTAGTTTGACTTGAGATATGGTTTTACGTGTAAATATACACTGCATTTTAAAGGCTTAGTTTTGTTTTAAATGTAGAGAATCTCATTAATAATTTTGTTTGCATGTTAAAATAACTTTATGGAGATATTGGATTAAATAAGATATTAAAATTAACTTCACTTGTTTCTTTTTACCTTTTAAAATACAGATACTGGAAAAATTTTAATTACATATGTGAGTCATATTACATTTCTGTTAGACAGTGCTTCTCTAGAACAAGGGTCAACAAACTACCTGTTTTTGTATGACCTGTGAGCTTAAGGATTTTTTTTACATCTTTAAGGAATTATATGTGGCACACACATCTCTTTACAGAAAACGTATGTTGACTCCTGCTCCAAAATGGCCCACAGAATTGCTCATTTTGCTTTGAGACATCCGGTGACAAGGGAGGCAGTTTATTTCAGAAGTCTTTATATTTGTAGCCCTAGTTAGTTATTACATGTTTCCCTCTATTGTGTCAAATGCTTCCCTGCAATCTTTACTCCTTAGTCAACGATGTCTTATAAAGTAAGACAGAATAAGTCATCATTGTGACATCTAACTCTAGGTACTTAAAGGACTATCAGTTTCTCTTTCCAAGCTAAATATTTTTATTTTCTCACTTATATGTTATGTCTAATAGTTGCTGGATCAGCATTCTTCTTTTCTGCCTTCTTCGTGTATATGCCATATTTTACAACATCCTACTTAAATTGTTAACTGAGAATTGAAGAGAATGTTAGGGTTGGTCAGAGCAGTACGGAGTTTAGCACCTCTACAGCCTCCATAGATAGCTCTTGGTACACTCCAAAATAACAGCATTAAATATAGAACTATAGTACATTAGTGCTGGTGCCCTCATTTTATAGCTGAGGTTAGGTGTTGAGATGGACCAGTGAGAGCTATGCCAAGAAGAGAATCTAATCTCCTGATTCTGGTCCTCAGGCTTGCATCCTCAGAGAGCAGATTGCCTTCTTGGTGATTGGGGTCAGGGAAGAGAAATAATTATTAGACTATTGGCTCCTGTTGTGTTTTGCTCTCAGCTAAAGTCTGAAGGTTGATGACCTATTTGGGCAGAGCCTAAAGATATTTGATGTTATTCCAATGTTAAGAATATCTACATTGTTCACCTCAAACTGTTCAATGCCTTCTTAATAATACCCCCTCTTGCTGATAATAATTTTTCTTAGGTCACCTCACATTGGCCATTAGGTAAAGTTTGTTTAGCTGTATTAGGCTTGTGTGTAACTAGAAAGGAAAACATGAACCATCCACTATTCAGCCCTTTAGCCTTTCTCAGATAGTGTATACATAGTGAAATAGAATCATCTGTTCATGCAGCAAGTTTACCTTGGTGCAGATTTGAAGTAGGGTTTGTAAAAGCATGACCATTTTCAGTGGATTGTTAAGAGCTTAAAATCCACATAGATAGACCTCAGTTGGTGGCAAAAAAAAAAAAAAAAGCCACATAGGGAAAGAATGGCCAGGTGGCCAGATACATGGACTGTCTCGTTGCATGTTTTTGAGCTAGCAGAGTGGGAGGCCATGCAGACTTCAGCTCTTTCAGCACAAGGGCCATTAAGACATTTAATGACCCATTGAGGATATACAGAGCCTTATGGATCAGTTTGTCTGTGGACCACAAGTAAGGAAATGGTTGCCCTTAGAACACCACTGAGACCATGGAAGGCGAAGGAAGGCATAAAAGTCACAATGTTTGTTTTCATGACTTGGTCCTGGACCTCACAAACTTATAGTCCTATGGGGGAGATAAGAAATTAATCAGATAGTCACAAAAGTAAACATGATTACAAACTGATAAGTTCTCTGAAGGAAAAATAGAGTGCAGTAGAGACTCTAAAAAGGGGGCATCAGTTTAGATTGGGAGTATGGAGAGAGCTTGTTTGAGAAAATGGCATTTAAGCAGACCTGAAAATTGAGGAGTTAGCTAGAACATGTAGGGAAGCAAATTCCAAGCAGAGGACTATCATGCAGGGAGAACTAAGTATGAAAAAAAGGCTTCAGTGCCTTTGGAGAAATGAAGGAAGTGTGGCTGTAATTTGTTTTTTGTTTGTTTGTTTGGAGACAGGGCCACACTCTGTCACCCAGGCTAGAGTGCAGTAGTACAATCATGGCTCACTGCAGCCTTGACTTCCAGGGCTCAAGCAGTCCTCCTGCCTTAGCCTCCTAAGTAGCTGCACTCACTACCATGCCTGGCTTATTTTTTATTTTTATTTTTTGTGGAGACAGAGTCTTGCTCTGTTGCCTGGGCTGTTCTCAAACTCCTGGGCTCAAGCGATGCTCTCACTTCAGCCTCCCAAAGTGTTGGGATTACAGGCGTGAGCTACCATGCGCAACAGGGATGTTGTGAGGTAGAAGAAAAATGAAAGAGCCTTGAAGGATTTTTTTTCTCCTAAATTGATCTAGTCTCCCAGAGAGAGTAGATATGAAGGCCCTCTTGTCAGTTATATGATCCCAGTATTTTCTATTGTTATTCTAATTGTAGACCTTGGTATTATAATGAAGTAGTAGAACCAGAACAAAGCAATCTGGTTCTCTTTGAACATGTTATTTTATAAACAATAAGAATAATCCCAACAGAACAGCAGAACCATCCCAGCAGAACCAACCATCATTTTTCTATCTCCTTCCAGTCTTTTTGTTATGTAGGTCATAGGGGTTTGTTATACAGATTATTTGGTCACCCAGGTATTAAGCCTAGTGCCCATTAGTTATTTTTCCTGATCCTCTCCCTCCTCCCACCCTCCACCCTCCGATAGGCCCCAGTGTCTATTGTGTCTGTTGTTCCCCTCTATGTGTCCATGTGTTCTCATCATTTAGCTCCCATGTATAAGTGAGAACATGTGGTATTTGGTTTTCTGTTCACTACTTTGCTAAGGATAATAGCCTCCAGCTCCATCTGTGTTCCTGCAAAGGACATAATCTTGTTCTTTTTAATGATTGCGTACTATTCCATGGTATATATGTACCACGTTTTCTTTATCCAGTCTACCATTGATAGGCATTTAGGTTGATTCCATGTCTTTGCTATTGTGAATAGTGCTGCAGTGAACACACATGTGCATGTGTCTTTATGATAGAACGATTTATGTTCCTTTGAGTATATACCCAGTAATGGGTTTGCTGGCTCAAATGGTAGTTGTTTTTAGGTCTTTGAGGAATTGCCACACTGTTTTCCACAATGGCTGAACTAATTTACACTCCCACCAGCAGTGTATAAGCGTTCCTTTTTCTGTGCAACCTCACCAGCACCTGTTATTTTTTGACTTTTTAGTAAGCCATTCTGACTAGTGTGAGGTGGTATCTTATTGTGATTTTGATTTGCATTTCTCTAATGATCAGCGATATTGAGCTTTTTTTCATGTTTGTTGGCTGCATGTGTGTCTTATGAAAAGTGTCTGTTCATGTCCTTTGCCCACTTTTTAATGAAACTATTTATTTTTTTCTTATAAATTTGTTGAAGTTCCTTACAGATGCTGGATATTAGACCTTTGTCAAATGCATAGTTTGCAAAAATTTTCTCTCACTCTGTAGGTTGTCTGTTCACTCTTTTGATAGTTTCTTTTGCTATGCAGAAGCTCTTCAGTTTAATTAGTTACCAATTTTCATATTTTTAAAGAGGCCACCTTTCAAGGAGTTTGTACCATAACTGACTTGCTTTTTGGTCATCTAGGCCAAGCTTATCCAATCTGTTGCCCACAGGCCACATGCAGCTCAGGAAAAATTTGTATACTTTCTTAAAACATTATGTTTTTTATTTTTGCCATTTCTTTTTAGCCTATCAGCTATCAGTGTTACTATACTGTATGTGTGGCCCAAGACAATTCTTCTTCAAGTGTGGCCCAGGGAAGCCAAAAGATTGGATACTTCTGAAGGGTTATTAGAAGTAATGCTTCTCTTGGTATATTTTTGTACATGGCCTTCTCTTTCAGATTATTTTCTGTAGGATAAATTTTGTGAAGGTTACTTAACCACAGTTAAAATAAATGAAAATATTAATGACTCCAGATTTGCTATTATATGGCTTCCCAAAGCAATTTTCTGTATGAAGTTTTAGCTAATTTGGACATCTGTATCAAATGTTGTGCTTAGTTTCAAGTCAGATAAATGGTACATTGTGGTTGTGAACTTACCTTTTTGCTTCTGTGTTTGGTGTATAGTGCACCCCTGAAGAACCCAGGGGCCACATTGGTATGAGTCTTGTACTTGAAGTGTTTTAAGTCTTTTCCTCTTAGGTCTCATCTGTTGAATTTTGGGTGTTTTCTAACATTAGCTCCTATCATTCTCTCCCTTACCCACTATGGCCACACTGACTACTTTGCTATTCTTTGGACAAGACAACTGAGGCCTCTGGGGGGCCTTAGTACTTCCTTTTTTCTGAAGCCCTCTTCCCCCATTTCTTTTTTGTTTGTTCATTTTGAGACAGAGTCTCGCTTTGTTGCCCAGGCTGGAGTGCAATGGCACAGTCTTGGCCTACTGCAACCTCCACCTCCTAGGCTCAAGCTATTCTCATGCCTCAGCCTCCCAAGTAGCTGGGATTACAGCTGTGTGCTACCACACCTGGCTGATTTTTAGGATTTTTTAGTAGAGATGGGGGTCTCACCATATTGCCCAGGCTGGTCGTGAACTCTTGACCTCAGGTGATCCACCTGCCTCGGTCTCCCAAAGTGCTAGATTTACAGTCGTGAGCCACCACACCAGGCCTTCCCCCACATTTCTAAATGGAGCACTTTCTCACTTAGACACTGCTCAAATGTCTAGCCCCTGTATCCTCTTTTTCTGTATTCCTCTTACTCGCATTTTCTGTCTACTTACTTATTTAGTTAGTAGAGATGGGGTCCAGGCTGGTCTTGAACTCTTGGCTTCAAGCAATCCTCCTGCCTTGGCCTCCCAAAATGCTGGGATTACAGATGTAAGTCACCGTGCCTGGCCAATTTATTTCTTTTTTACCCTCATTTTATTTTTCTTTAAAATGCTTATTATGACCTGAAAAATTAGATGTGTTTTTCTGACTTTTTTTCCAGACTGCAATGTAAGTTTTATGAGTGCAGGGAATTTTTTTATATTTTGTTCACTGCTCAATACCAAGTACTTTGCATACTTGGCTCAATGACCTTCAGGTATCTATTAGATGAATGAATTGTATCCTGGCAAATGATGAGTTCATTACTTGATCAGAGAATAGAACCCACCACATTTTAGAGGTGGAAAGTTCCTTAAAGATTATCTCATTCTAGTGCAACCTTTATTTTAAACTGAGACTGAAAGAGGTGAAGTATCTTTTCATAAGAACACACAGCTTTTGTTAGACAGACTTGAACCTGACAGACCAATAGTTTATACTATTTTACCTGGTGGATAATAAAGTTATTTTTATTTGTTTTGCTCCTCTGTATGATTGGTGGAAAAGGAGGACAGGTTTAAGCTATATAATCTGATAGATAATGCTGTTATTTACAAGGCTGGATTTTATATTAAAATTAGCATCTTAAGCTATATGACCCAAGGTACATTTTAACATTTGAAAACGAAAGTGGTCCTTGGCTTTTTCCTGAGCCTTTGTATTCTGTTTGTCATACTCACATAGCTGGAGTATTTCCAAAGAGGTGGTTTAGACTGGGGCTGTAGGTCTGAGCTGCCCTTTAGCCATAACTTAACCATGGAATTCTGCCTCGTGGATGATGCCACACTATTTCTGGACATGGGTGAACTGCTTGGTAGTTGAGTTATTTGACTGCAAGGATAAGTTCTTTTGTGCTACCTCAAATCAGGGGTGTGGTTATGAGTAACAAGGGGAGTCCAAGAACAGGAGCTATAATATAACCAGGTATCATGGAGGCTGTACTAGGGTGTGTGGCAAGCTGCAGGGATTTGAACAGTGGAAGTTACTAATTATCCATTGTAATCTCCCACCATTGTCATGACTCAGTTTGTATAGTTTTCATATTTCTAGTTGAATTCCAGAGAGAGGGAATTTGATTGACCCAGTTCATTTTTTAACACCTAGCTGTGACATAGGTCATCCTAATGATAGGGCCCTAGAATCCTTGACTACTTAGTAAAAGAAGTTCTAGGGCCAGGTGTGGTGGTTCATGCCTGTAATCTAAGTACTTTTGGAGGCCGAGGCAGGTAGAACACTTGAGCCCAGGAGTTCAAGACCAGTCTGGGCAACATGGTGAAACGCCATCTCTGCAAAAAATACAAAAATTAGCTGGGCATGGTGACATATGCCTGTAGTCCCAGCTACTTGGGAGGCTGCGGTGGGAGGATCACCTGAGCCTGGGGAGGTAAAGGCTGCAGTAAGCCGAGATTGTGCCACACTACACTCCAGCCTGGGCAACCGAGTGAGACCCTGTCTTAAAAAAAAAAAAAAGTCTGTTTCCTTTAGCATGTAGCTGTGAATGTGGCCACTAGGAAGATAAGATGGACATGACAAGCTTGATGATAGATAGCATAACCTCCCTCATTGCCCACTGGGAAAATATTCCATCTCCAAAGTTGCTGTCACTGGAGCTACCAAAAAATGCCTGTCCACCCTGAGCCTTCTACCCCTTGTTCTGCACTAACAGCTGATCCTGATACTGCAATAGCCTCACCTCTCATAGTGGGACAGAGAATATGGGCCCAGGGAAAGGAGCTGGCATCTGCTGTGCAATGAGCACAGCTGTGCTACCACTGTTGAGGCCTCTTGGGCAAAGGCAATGATGGCAGCCAGCTACAGATGTTGTACATGAGTTTGGCCATCTGGCTCTGAAACTGATTTCAGAAGCCAATGATGCTGGCAGTGGAATGGAGGAAGCTGTCATTCTCAGCTTACTTGGGCAGCTTACAGTGTCAGCTTCAGCAGTCTAGGGGCACAGGGTCCAGGTGAACAGAAATAGTAATAGGCACACAGCTTTATACAAGAGTGACCAAACCCTTGTGCACTAATGATTCCCACCCACTTTTAGAAAAGTTTGTATTCCTGGATGGCTATTTCTGCTGGTGATTCTATACGTCCTCTGCACTGGCTAGGCTGGCTTGCCCTCTGGTGCTCTTAACCAAGGTCATGTAGTTGTGGAAGTTTATGCAATACCAGCATGGTTTGTGAACCTGGCACAAGCCAGGCCACATACTATTCAGTTTGAACACAAGCCAGCTAGCTAAGGAGATCCTGCTTGAGGAACAAGGAAGAGGAATCTACTTTGAGTGGGCAAAAACAGGCCATTGTGGAGCTGCAGTGGGCTGCAGTGTAGCATTTATTTCTTTTTCCTTCAACTTGTCTAAATCTGGCTTTGGAAAGGAAAGTTTTCAAACTTCACATTTTTTCCCTTGTAGCATAACTTGAATGGAAATAAGTCAGTGTTATTTTAGGCCAGATTCCAAGTTTTTCCACCTTCTGAGTTACGTAAACTGATCAAGTTGGGAAGCCAAGGGTTTTAGCCTGTATTTAACCTTTTGCAGTTCGTCATCTTTTGAGTAACATTCTGTCTTCCTTTAAGAAAAAAAAAAATCAGGTCCTGGCTTATAGTGCTCACACTGTTTGGTGATTTATGAACCCTATATTTTAATATTTTACTTGATTGTGATTTTCATACCCAGGAAGGATTTTCTTGTAAAAACATGGAAACTGCATTGTGTGATAGCAAGGGTGGGCTTTTTGTTTTGTTTTGTTCTGTTTTGACAGATGGAGTCCATCTATCTTTGCTTTTAAAAGCTTAGCACACTCTCAGTTTACACTTTTATAAACACTTGTCTCTTCAGCATTGTATTGAAGATGAACTATAAAGTTAGTCTTTGCTTTCAAAGCATTTACAGTTTGAGGGACTGTACAGAAAGAAGTCATTAGGAATATATAGTCCACAGGACAAAGCTTGAGCAGCCACGTAAATAACAGAAACATCTTGTTCAAGGTCACCTAAGTACACACTGTGCTATGACCAGGCAGAGGTGATGGGATGGGGGGAAATGCTTGTTTAGTTCAGAGAAGTCATAACTCCTCCTGATGAGAACTTTTATTGAGGAAAAAATAGACTTTAGGAACTGAAATGGAAGGTGGAAATTTGGCAGACTGAGGCAGAGAGGATGTTTTAGAAGAGGATATAGCTTGGGTTGGGACTTGCTGACAGTAGTTAGATAGGGCTAAGGCTGTGAGCAGGTGAGACCAACAGAGGATATGTTAATTGCAGAGTTAGGAATGGGAAGCCAGCTAGGAGGGTCTGGTGAAATTTTTTGAAAACTGAGAGCAAAGACCTGGGTTGTCTTTCAAAGGAGAATGGACCCACTTCAGTCTTGAGAAGACTGGCACAGAAAAAAACTCATTTGAAACAGCATTAAGAACTGATCAGAGGAATGTTAAAGTCCAGGGAGGCGAAGAAATTAAGACTATCAAAGCTCAGGCAGTATATGCACAAGGCCAGACTAAAGCTTCATCTGTCTGTAGGAGAGCATCACCTGGATTGAAACAGAGTTCCCCAGTTGTTTGCTGACTGAGGGAGTGTAACAGGCAGTGGGGCATAAGCTAGGTTTGTGGACTCAGATGTGGGCATCAGCATTTACTAGCTATATGACATTGAGCAAGTAATTTAACCTTTAAGCCTCAGTTTACTTATCTGAGTTAATACTACTCGTTGGGTTGTTAAGAGGATTATGTGAGGCAGTGTGTGAAAGCACTAACACAATACTTAGGCTTATTAGGTGTTGAATAATCTTAGCGTCCTTGGTCCTTGCCTGTGACTTAAATGTAATGCTCAGTAATCATAAAATTACCCAACGAGTTTGACCAGTTCTCTCCCACACCCCCAGTCTGGTCTCAGTTTCCTTGGTCAGGTGCTTGTTTGAACTGACTGTGACTAGAACTGACAGATTGGCAGACTTCACAAGGACCTCTTTATATAGGGAATGTGTGATTATGTAAACAGCAGATTTTAAGTCCAAATGCCCCAGGTCACTGCCCTGGACTGCAAGACTTTGCTAAGAACACAGGAAGTAGATTACCAATTTTGAACTCTGAGGTGGTTCTACGCTGCCGGCTTGTTTTCTTGTCCATTCCCAACTATTCCCACCCCTGCTGCCAAGCAACCAACCCACAAAGAAAGTTGGTAGTGTCGTAGAAAACACAAAACAGGCTAGAATCAAGTCTCAGCCTCACACAGTAAATATTGTTAAAGAAATATGTTTAGTTCTGAATCTAAGCAGAGTGTTTAGGAATCCGTGCACTTAGGCAGTATCTATCTGCAGAGCTACCTCTACATTTTAACTTAGGTTAGTTGTTTCCCTTGGAATGTCTTCTCCGTGTTTTCAATGTTTTCACCTATGTTGTACCATTAAGGTCTGGCCCCTGTGCCACCACCTACAGAAAGCCTTTCCTGATTTCTCTATTCATGTCTTCTCTGAAAGTGATCTTTCTTCTTTCTGTGAAGTCCAACTTTTAAAAATATGTTTACAAAAATACTTCTTAGGATCATTAATGCATTGTTCCTAAGTCAGAGTTCTCTGTGAATTTATTCTATACAATCTTCTAGTGCTAGTATATAAACTCCTTAAGAACAAGAATTTGCTCATGATAGTAGTCCCCTGCAGTGTGTAGATTACATAAGTGTTGAGTAAATCTTGGAGATCAGGTATCCTCATTCAAGAGGAAAATGAATAAGAGATCCAGTTCAGAGACCTACAGTGAGTGCTCTCCGCTGCAGGCAGGGATTGATGAGCTGCTTCAACTCTTACCACCCACCACTCTCAATCCTATACTCTAACTAATGAACTCTGCTCACCGTTGTCCAAGTGAGTTGACCCTTTGGCCTTTCCATGCCGTGGCCTGTGCACCTTCCTGAACTTGGAATGCCTTTACTCTCTGGAAAAGTAATCAGCCTCTGGGTCAGATATGGCCTTTGCTCTTTGGTGTTCCCTGATGTTTGGACAAATCTGCTCCCTTTTTTTCTCCCCAGTGTCCTGTAGGAGATACCTCCAACATAGTGCTTTTAATGTTGCTTATTAGTTATTGACAGTCTGATTTTTTCTGGATCAGGGTTCTTCTTTGGCTTGTTCATCTTTGCAACCTCAGTACTTAGCATCATACCTGGCATCTCCTAGATGTTTTTGGTACCCTTGAATTGAATCCAAAAAAAGTCTCCTGAGGCAAACCAGATAAGTCCTCTGACCTGAAAGCCAAAGTCAGAGAGAATGTTTGGGACAGACTGCCTGTACCAAAAAAAGTCTGAACTCAGGCAGCTCTGGCTAGAGCAGTGCCCTTTAGGTTTCTCTAGGAAGGTCACTGGTAATAGGAAGCTTGATTTTGTGAGAGGAGAGAGCTGCCTGTCTGTCCAGGCCATGGACCTTTCCTTCTAGGGTTGGTCTCAATCCAAAACCAGCCATTCCTTGGTCTGCCATTTTATGAATGCTGCAGTGGTTCAGGATACAGCTCCACAAGCTGAATTTTTTTTTTTCCATTTGTAGTTGGTACTTGAAACAAATACATCACTAATAGTATTAGTTGATTTTAAGAACTGTTGATTCCTTAAAAAAAAAAATACACATCTCTTTTTAGAATGGGAGACCTTGTAGTTTTTTTTCCACAAATTTTTATTTAAAAAAAGTCAAACCTACAAAAAAGCTCTAAGAATAATACAGTGAACACCTATATAGCTTTCTTCTAGATTCACCAATTGTTAGCATTTTGCCACATTTTTGCGTGCATGCTCGCTCACGCGCTGTCTCTCTATTATATATATATAATATATTATATATAAAATATATTTTATATATATATATGTGTGTGTATTTCCCCAATAGCCATTTAAGAGTAAGTTGTAGACCGGGCGTGGTGGCTCACGCCTGTAATCCCAGCACTTTGGGAGGCCGAGGCGGATGGATCACCATGTCAAGAAATCAAGACCATCCTGGTCAACATGGTGAAACCTCGTCTCTACTAAAAATACAAAAAATTAGCTGGGTGTGGTGGCACGTGCCTGTAGTCCCAGCTAATCGGGAGGCTGAGGCAGGAGAATCTCTTGAACCCAGGAGGTGGAGGTTGCAATGAGCTGAGATTGTGCCACTGCACTCCAGCCTGGGTGACAGAGCAAGACTCCATCTCAAAAAGAAAAAAAAAAGTAAGTTGTAGGCTGGGCACAGTGGCTCATGCCTGTAATCCCAGCACTTTGGGAGGCTGAGGTGGGTGGATCACCTGAGGTCAGGAGTTTGAGACCAGTCTGGCCAACATGGCAAAACCCCGTCTCTACTAAAAATATAAAAATTAGCCAGATGTGGTGGAACTTGCCTGTAATCCCAGCTACTTGGGAGGCTGAGGCAGGAGTATCACTTGAACCCAGGCGGCAGAGGTTGCAGTGAGCCGAGATCATGCCACTGCACTGCAACCTGGGCAACAGAGTAAGACTCTGTCTCAAAAAAAAAAGAATTGTAGACTCTCATTCCTAAATATTTCAGCACATATCTCCTGAGAACAAGAAATATCCAGATTGTTTCAGTAATGTCCTTTACAGCAGTTTGTTTTCTTTTGTTTTTTGTTTTTTGTTTTTTTTGAGACAGTCTCGCTCTGTCACCCAGGGTGGAGTGCAGTGGTGCAGTCTCGGCTCACTGCAAGCTCCGCCTCCTGGGTTCTGGCCATTCTCCTGCCTCAGCCTCCCAAGTAGCTGGGACTATAGGCGCCCGCCACCACACCCAGCTAATTTTTTGTATTTCTAGTAGAGACAGGGTTTCTCCGTGTTAGCCAGGATGGTCTCAATCTCCTGACCTCGTGATCCTCCTTCCTCGGCCTCCCAAAGTGCTGGGATTACAGGTGTGAGCCACCGTGCCCGGCCTAGCAATTTGGTTTTTTGTTTGTTTGTTTGTTTGTTTGTTTGTTTTTGTATTTTTAGTAGAGACAGGGTTTAACCGTGTTAGCCAGGATGGTCTCAATCTCCTGACCTCGTGATCTGCCCTCCTCGGCCTCACCAAAGTGCTAGGGTTACAGGTGTGAGCCACCGCACCCGGCGTAGCAATTTGGTTTTTTTTTTTTTTTTTTTGTATTTTTAGTAGAGACAGGGTTTCACTGTGTTAGCCAGGATGGTCTCCATCTCCTGACCTCGTGATCCGCCCGCCTCAGCCTCCCAAAGTGCTGGGATTACAGGCGTGAGCCACCGCGCCTGGCGCAATTTGTTTTTTTTTTAAATCCAAGATCCACTCAAGGGATACAACAACTTGCACTTAGATTTTTTTCTTTAATGAGTATTTTAATTTAGTTTCAGAAAAAAATGGTGCATGACTTCGATGAGAAAGCATAAAATTAAGAGGGTTTTCTGGAAATGCAAGAAAAATAAGTAACCTTTAATATGTTCAATGATAATTTTCTGGATCTTCCTCTTGTGTCAATAGCTATATATATTTCTTCCTCAAAGCAGCTGCTCTAAGAACTAACTAGCCCTCTTTATCTCCCTCTAGCTGGGATAGACTAATTCCCCTCCACCCTCACCTCTCTTCTTTGAATAACACTGCATAGGTGTTAATGGCCTGGGCTCTCACCAGTGAACAGAATTGTCCTTTAAGCCAGCAACCCACAGGCAGTGGGACCCAAACCCTCACCCCCAGTCCCCAGGGCAGAAGCCACAGAGCTGGTATTGTTTCTACTGTCTCAGGAAGAAGGAACCAAAAGCTGACCTTTGGCACAAATCAAAGCCCAATATGGAAAGAGAATAACTGCTTCTAGTCCCAGAGTAGGCAAGTTGTGGGCAAAAAATGGGAATTTTTGCAGCCACCCCATCTTTAGAAACAAGGGGAAAACTAGACCCTTTTCCACTCTTATGTTCTACAAGGTACTCTACTGCTCCAAGGGGATCTGAAAGTGCAAAAGGATCTAAACAAATAAGGAGAACTTTTCCCAGGCTGGAGATAAGAGTGACAAACAGAAAGATGGGTGAATGTAATAATGTGTAGGAATATGATGCTGGGAACCTCCGTTCTTCATATGGCTGCCGGCCCTACAGAGGACAACACAGTAAGAACCAGGACAGCCACTCCAGACTGGTATAGCTGGGGAATCTTCAGGCCTTTTCCTAGGTCTCACATCAAGTGTCAGACCCCATTCCAGGTATGATACATGAGAGGGAAGACGAGTGCAAACTTAGCTGTGTGGATCAGTGCTGGCCCCAGACACAGGGACTTCACCAGCTCCAAATAAGACTCAAAGTTCCCAGGGAGTAACAGGGCTGACATGCCAAAAAGAGAGGCCCCTGCCCTCAAAGCAGTACCAGTGTCATGGTGGCAGATGGCCATTGCCATGGGAAGAGACCAACTGTAGATAGTGACGTGGGGAGATACAGGACGGTTTAAACCTGTGTTCTTATTCCAGAACCGCTCCATCTCTTGTTTGCCTGTGGTTCCCAAAGGAACAGCATTTCTGATACAGAGCTGAGGGCTAAAGTGGGCTCGGAGGCAATGTCGACCAACATGTCTCAGCAAGAGTGCAGCCATCTTGGGTTCCACATTCAGTTGTTACATCTCTTTAATCTCCTTTAATTTAGACAGTTCCCTAGGCTTTTTGTCTTTTATATCATTAGAAGAGTTCATGCCCATTGTTTTATAGAATATCCTTTAATATAGTTTTTGTGGGCTTTGTAGCAATTATATCTACATAGGCCTTAAATTATAGGACTAAAGCACAGGGTGACCACTTACTGCTATTAAAACAATGTCAGGCCGGGCACGGTGGCTCACACCTGTAATCCCAGCACTTTGGGAGGCTGGGGCGGGTGGATCACCTGAGGTCAGGAGTTCGATACCAGCCTGACCAACATGGTGAAACCCCGTTTTTACTAAAAATGCAAAAATTAGCCAGGTGTGGTGGTGCATGCCTGTAATCCCAGCTACTTGGTAGGCTGAGGCAGGAGAATCACCTGAACCCCGGAGGCAGAGGTTGCAGTGAGCCAAGATCACACCATTGCACTCCAGCCTGGGCAACAAGAGCGAAACTCCATCTTGAAACAAAACAAAACAAAACAAAACTGTCAAATGGTCACTGTCATAAGGACATTTTAAAGGCAAGTTCTGTATTAGGGATATTTAAAAGTTTATCTTGCCATTTTTAGATGAGGTAGTATAAATTAATGGGCTCTGGAAACTGATCTGGTTTAATTCCAGATTTCATTCCTGGGTTTTAATTTGAGAATTCCCTTAACCTCTCCAAGCTTCATTTTCCTCATCTGTAAAATGGTAATAATAACAACTGTATTTACCTCATAGAGTTACTGTGAGGATAAAATGAGCTAACATGTAAAATATTTATTAGCAAAGTGCCTAGAACATTGTGAGCATTTAGTACCTGATAGTTGTGGTAGTAGAGTTGTTGATAATTTGTACTAGGTATCAAATATTAAAAAAAAAACATGAAAAATTATGTATTTAAGAGATCAGGAAGCTTTGTTTTTGAAAGGTAGCCAAGAACATTTTGGAGGTTGTTATACTTAATGTGTTCTCAGGTATTAAAAGAAAAAAATCACTACTGGGCACGGTGGCTCACACCTGTAATCCCAGCACTTTGGGAGGCTGAGGTGGGCGGATCATGAGGTCAGGAGATCGAGACCACCCTGGCTAACACCGTGAAACCCCGTCTCTACTAAAAATACAAAAAAATTAGCCGGGTGTGGTGGCAGGCACCTGTAGTCCCAGCTACTCGGGAGGCTGAGGCAGGAGAATGGCTTGAACCTGGGAGGCGGAGCTTGCAGTGAGCCAAGATCACACCACTGCACTCCAGCATGGGCAACAGAGCGAGACTCCTTCTCAAAAAAAAAAAAAAAAAAAAAAAGTCAGCCAGGCATGGTGGCTCATGCCTGTAATCCCAGCACTTTGGGAGGCTGAGGTGGGTGGATCATGAGGTCAGGAGTTCAAGACCAGCCTGGCCAAGATGGTGAAACCCCGTCTCTACTAAAAATACAAAAATTTGCCAGGTATGGTGGCGGGCACCTGTAATCCCAGCTACTTGGGAGGCTGAGGCAGAGAATTGCTTGAACCTGGGAGGCGGAGGTTGCAGTGAGCTGAGATCGCACCACTGCACTCCAGCCTGGGCGACAGAGCGAGACTCTGTCTCAAAAAAACAAAAAGAAAAAAATATTTTAATTAAATTTACACTTCACACACCTGGCCAATGAAATGGAATTATCCTAATTAAGTTCCTTCCCAAACCTTGGTGTTCCTTTTTCTCCCAGAAAATTGCATTGATCAATTTAGGATTGTTGAAAAAAATCCCTCAGTGTTCTACCCTTCTTCCCCAACCTGTTTGGCATCAGTGGGAAAGCAAGGAATTTTCGGCCATCCATTCTACCTGTAACTCAGGGTTGTGTTGGTGACAGTGACTAGGAACTGTTCCTGTTCCCTCCAGAGCCCTGTCTGCTTTCATAGACTGGCTTGGAGCTGAGGGCCTCTCATAGCTTGCCACATCACTGAAGCCCCCACATACTCCTCAGGTTACCATTTCTGAAACTGGAAGAGTTTTATAATCATATTATCTGTTACTGGGTCCGAGGGCAAGAGAGAGCAGAGGAAGTTGATAATTTTTTGGCCAAGTTTTTTTTTTTAATACCTTTCAAACTAATAGAGAAGCTCTGTTTATAGGCATAATTGGTTTTTACTTTAAAATATATTAAAATCAGAAAATAATACTACATCTGACATTCTTGTGGGGGAAATGGCTAATCATATATGAAAGCAGATATTCAGTCACTTTATTGTTTGTTTGCAGTAATATTCAGCCTGTCATTCAAGTAACTTTAATTAGGGCTTTTCTTCAGTATCTAGGTTACTTCTCTTTATTCACCAAATGCTTGCAAATGCAAAATAGAAAGTGCATATTATTATTATTATTATTTTTTTTTTTTTTTACTGGAAGGTGTGTTTAATAACTTAAAATCTTCATCATTATAGTGATTACTTCCTGTGGCATTTTCCTTATTGAATATTAACATAAGTACACACTGTGAGACTCTGCTACAGGGCCTTGTTCCTTATGCCTTGGACATACAGTGGGGGGCAGAGGCAAAGCCCCTACTCCTACTCTCCTAAGTTTGAATTTCCTTTGCCTCCTCAATTAACCCATCTGATTTATTGGGACATCACTGATCTCAGATACAAGAAAACTGATACTGTTGTGGAAGAAAAGCAAATCGTGACGAGAAAATGGCTCTGTTATCACAGGTCTGCACGTTTACATAACAGAAAAAGCAAGGGACAGAATTATATTTGGACCAAATCCAAATCACTGAGTGATTCTACTAAATGATGATCGCATACTAAATTTTTTTTTGTTTTTTCACATACATTTTAAAGTGAGAGATATTATTTTAAATTTTAGAGGGTGAGCATCAAATAACATTGTGGTTTCTGTAATCAGTATAAATTACGCAACAATCAGTTTAAATGGGATCATTTACAACTGCTCACATAGCTCTTGAGTTTATATTAACAATGTAGAATTTAACGCAGGATAGTCTATTCCTCAAAGAAACAGGAATAATGAACACAATTAAATGTTTCACTTTGACCCAGACTATTTTTCAGAACATAAAGTCATCAACATTCATATTACAGCAATGCTTTTTCTTTTCCGCCCAATTAGCACCAATATAAATCGTTCATTCCATCTAAGGCCCTGTATTACTTCAGGGAATATAAATCTAAGTCCCGGCCAGGTGCAGTGGCTTACGCCTGTAATCCCAGCACTGTGGGAGGCTGAGGCTGAAGGATCACAAGGTCAGGTGTTTGAGACCATCCTGACCAACGTGGTGAAACCCCATCTCTACTGGGAATACAAAAATTAGTCGGGTGTGGTGTCACACGCCTGTAGTCACAGCTGCTCGGGAGGCTGAGGCAGGAGAATCACTTGAATCCGGGAGGCGGAGGTTGCAGGGATCCGAGATCGCCTCACTGCACTCCCGCCTGGGCAAGAGACCGAGACTCCCTTCTCCAGGGACGCGTCCATGGCTGAGGCGGTCGGTGGTGGCCCGGCGGTCCCGGGCTCTACTTCCTCCTCCCGCGCCCCGCAGCTCTTTCCACACTGGCAGCGCTGACGTCCCCCGCGCCCGCGGCCGCCGGGGCGGAGAAGAGGAGGAGCTGCCAGGCGGCTCTGCCGGCTGAAAGTGCATATTATTAATTTGAATTCTAATGTTTGTAATGAGACCATATGCAAAAACTCAACTTTAATTTTATCTATTACAGAAATAATTGAAAATGCAGTAAAAGAAAAATCAATACTCACATGACTTCCTAGTTTATGAAACACCTTTTTATACGTTATCTTACAACCTACATCTCTGTAAGGTAATTGGGACAAATATTTGGTTTCTTCATTTGACAGAGAAGAGAGCCAGGATTCAGAAATGTTAATATTCAAGTTCATGGTTCCACCACTTACTGGGTGATCTTGAACAAGTCGCTTAATCACTCTGTGTAATTTCCTTAAATATAAAGCAGAATTCAAAATAGGGCTTACCACATAGGGTGTGTGTGAAGATGAAATGAGTTAATGTCCACAAGGCACTTAGAACAGTGTCTGGTGCATAGTAAATCTCAACAAATGTTAGCTATTAGCTGTTATTATCACATAGCTACTAAATGTTAGGACTTGTACCCGAATCTAGACCTTCTGTCTCCTAGTCCAGAACACTTCCTAGTACCATGTGCAATTTACCTTTTAGTAAATCATTGATTGGATTTCCGCCTCACATTGACCTTGTTATTCTTGAAGGGATCTTTTTCTACTTTGTTTACTTTGACTTTAAATTTTTCAAGATCAAAAGGGAAATATGTTCGAAAGATTCTTCCTGATTTTAAAAAATCCTCTGATTTCTGTTGTCATCTGGGTTTGCTTGACCTTGAAGTATCAGAAGGTGTTTTAGCAGGTGAAGATATCATAAAGTTGTTTTCAAGAGTGATTTTGGGTGTTTCCGGTGAATTCTGTTTTGGTTGGAAGGCCTAAAGTGGGAAGTAGAGTTAGAAGAAATTGTTGAACTACAGCCCAGATTTTGGGGGGTTGGGGGGAGTTTAGCCATGTCTCTTATCTACAGTGCTGAGAGAATATTGCCATTACAGAAAATGGCAGCTTGGTGACCTCAGAGTAAAGATAATTGTTTTGACACAGGATTATTTATAGTAAAAGAGCCATCCTAAAGAAATTGGTAAACTGTTATGGACCATTTCCTGGGAAAGGAGAAATTGTTTATAGATATTTCTCTTGATAATAGTATTTGTAGCAGGCTTTTACTTGTGACTCCCAGTTGTTTTTACTCTATCTACTGCCAGTGTAGATATTTTATGGCTGTGAGATGGGCCTAAGTGAAAATCTGCGTGCTTTTGTGGGAGCTGCTCAGCTGCTATAGGGAGACAACCGCCTTTTCTTTGGATGCCCAAGGTCAATGCAAAACTGGATTTGATGTTGAAGATTGCAGAGGGTGGGCAGTGATGTGAAGGAAAAATGGAGTCAGCCAGGAGGCCTTCTTGAGGCAAGGAATAAGAGAAAGCCCCAACTCACTGGGCATTCCCTATCACCAGGCCTTTTTGATGTGTACATAATACAATATATACATAGATGGAGTACTCTGACTGCAGGGTGTTCAATATGCTTATGATCTTTGTGGATATCTGTACCAGTATTTAACTTGGTAAGAGAGGAGGTTTGAAAGAACCTGCTGAGACCTCCTCTTTGTGATATTTGGACTTTTTAACCCACCTTATCTCTAATATTATCTTTAGTAAGTAGAATTAATGTTCTCATATTAAGTGAAAACACTGAATTTTTAAGATTCCCTGGCACCTGGTGATAGTTCAATACTGTTTGCAAAAGAGGATATGAAGAAATGATGTATGTATTGTCTTTTCTAGTTTTGCAGTCAGGTTTTATTTTTCCTGACTAGCCATCAACAGAATCTTCTGACCTATGCAGCATGAGACCAAAGCCCAGAAAACAGCTCTTGGTCCTAAAACCTTGGCAGTCTCTCTCTTGCAACTACATGGCTGCCCATTCAATTTGGTGCCTTTTCCTGTGTGTTAGTTTCTGCCTGCTATGCTAGGGAGTGGCTGGTCTTTTTTTCTGCTATATTTGCCTGGATGCTCTGTATAGTAGATGGGGAGTTGGAGAAAAGGCTAAAAACGAATAGCCATTATCCATTGCCACTGTCATTACATGTTGCCCAGGACTCCAGAGAGCTTTGCTTCTTAGCCAGTTGATTATGAATTAAACACCTCTGATGTGTGAGAATCTTCTGTATGTGGGGATTCTTATCCTTCTCTGCCATTTACATTCTTCTGATATGCAATGTACCAGAGAAGAACTGTGTTGATGATGGT